>NC_000023.11:13652639-13955669 GCF_000001405.40 Homo sapiens
GGAGGCTGTCACATTCGTTCAACCATCACTGTGCTTTTACTGGCCCTTTGCAGGCAAAGAATGAGAATATGCACAGATGAGAAGTCCAGGATGCACAAGACCACTCAATTAACATTTACTACTTTCATATCAACTGATGCATGCTAGGATGCTAAAAACACTTTTTGAATTAATTACTGCGTTAAATAGATTCACATTTATGTCTACAGTTATGTGAACATCTAGCTGAGCACTGTCTTGACTGTCCTGAGTAGAAGCAGAAAAGATAAGTTGTAAAGTACATCAACAAACTTTGCTGCTAAAAAACGAAAGTGCAGTTTCTTTCTCTCGGGCCCGGGGCGGGGCCATGGCTCCTCCTCTAGGAAGCCGCGCGAGCGCAGTCCCACGGCAGCCATTTCCCTAGCGCGCATGCACTGGGTCCCAGGACCACGTGCGCCGGCCTGTGGGCTTGGATTGGCTGAGCCTTGACGTTGTCCCAGTCCCGGTGATCGGAAGTTCTCCGTGGGCACTGGGCGGCTGAAGGCTCCGGAACTGCGCCTGCGCTTTTCGGTGAGTCATGCTTCAGGTTTGCCAGGGCCTGTGTCCCGCAAAAAGGCGAGCCCTTATTCCCAGCGGAAGCCCACCCCGGCTCGCGGCAGCTTTCCGGTGCGCCCTGGGCGGCGTAGATCCGAAGGTGCTCGCACCCCCGCCCCTTCCTCTCCGACTGTCGAGGTCGCCAGAGTGGGCTGAACCCTCGGGACTGTCGCTGTTTGTGTGCTGGGTGCCGGGCCGTCATCCCAAGATGATTAGCGGCAGGCTTTGCATGTTGCTCGACCCCACCCACCGGAACTCGAACCCGGGCTAGACCGGGCAGTTGGGCTGGTCCCTTCCTCTCGCTGCACCTTTACTAGGGGTCACCATTAAGGGAAATGGTCCTAGTGCAGTGCTGAGTGGCTGTTCAGTAACCGCTACACCGCTGCCAACATTTGGCATCGTTTCTCTCCATAGAGGGCGGGGCTCCCTGTGAAGCTGGGGAGCTGTTAAGTGGGTTAGGGCTAGAAAGTTACAGTTTCTCTTTAGGCTTTAAAGAGATCTAAAGATCTGAACAGATCTAGGTTATTTTTGACTTGTTACAAACTTCTGGAAACATTGTTTCCAGACCTTTCCTCTCGTTCTTCTCAGGGTTTAGGCCATTTTTGTGCAGATGTGTGCACCTTGCTTACTATAATATTAGCTAATCTTTATAAGTTTTTATATGGATCCAATACCATATTTCGTGCCTACTTTTCCTGGCACTGTATACACTTTTTGGTATAGGTATGCACCTAAGCAAGCATTATCCATATTAGCATCAGTTCTAGAACCGTGGCGTCCCAATAATGATAGCCATTAGTTACATAAGGCTTGATCACTTGAAATGTGGCTAGTCCGAATTGAGATGTGCTGTAAGTGTAAGACACAGTGAATTTTCGAGAATTAGCATGAAAAAGAATGTAAAATATCTCAATTTGTTTATATTAATCACATGTTGAAATGACTATTCTGGATACACTGGGTTAAATAAAATGTATAATTAATTTCACCAATTTTTATTTTTTAACATGACTACTGGAAAATTTTAAATCATATTTGTGGTTTACATGTTATATATATGTTGCACAGCCCTGCTCTAGAAAAGGGTCAACAAACTATGGCCTGCAGCCAAATCCAGCCTGCCTGTTTTTGTAAACAAGTGTTACCAGAGCAAGATCATGCCTATCCATTTATGTTATTTTCTGTATCTGCTGTTGCTGCTACAATAGCAGCAGAGTTGAGTAGTCCATAGAGATTGTATGGCCTACAAAGCCTAGAATATATACCTTCTGATCTTTAACAGAAAAAGTGTGCTGACCCCCTGCTGTAGAACAATGCCTGGTTTGGTAGATATTTTTAAGCCTTTTAATTGTAGATTCACATCCTATTATTCACACTTACTGTGTGACAGCCATAGTTCAAAGCACTTTATCAAGACTTTCATTTAATTCTCATTAATCCTAGGATGTTGGATTTCTCCCATTTTGTAGATGAGGAAATTGAGGCACAGAATGGTCAAGAAACTTATCCAACTTGCTCAGCACCCCTCACTTCTGGGAACTGGACCTGCTTGACCTTCCTTATGCAAATGTTTTGACCCCTCAAACCCACTTCATTAGCCCACAGTGGGCACCATGGTTTTTTTGTTTGTTTGTTTGTTTGTTTTGTTTTTTTTAACAAGATTTATTTGAACTAGAATTTTTGAATGATTTTTTTGAACTAGAATCGAGATGGGCTTGGTCTCCTACGAAAGAAGCCAAGGGGCACTGGGCTTAGGTGCAATGAGTACAAGCAAGCTGGTGTGTAGTGAAAAGAAATGAAGCTCCCAAGCAGAGAAGAGAGAGAGCATCCTGGATGCTCATTACTCATTTAACAACAACAAAAATGTGTTAAGTAATAGTAAGCACTGACTGGGTGTTTGCTAGGTGTGTATAGGTGAATAAAACATGTGGATCTTCTCTTATGGTCTTGTGGGGAAGGCAGTAAAAACGTTTTTTAAATGTGATTAACACCATGAAAAAAACTTGCAAATTATTTACTGTTTTTAGCAGGTTTCCTCACCTGTAAGATGAAAATAAGCCATTATCTGTATTGCAGGAGTATTGTGAGGATTGAGATGACTGGAGTGTGTGTGGCCTGGAGAGTTGCTCAATAAATATATGTTGCCTTCCACTGTGAAGAGGTAAGTGAGAGGGTGAATATCAGGAATTGTGTACATTATGACACTTAAAATATTACAGTTGTCATTTGTAATTTGTAGAGAAGGTTGTCAGCTGCATTGTACACAGTAGGTGTTTTAAATCTTTTCTGACTGAATGGGACTCATCTAGAAAAGCCAGTCATAGAGTTGTCTGCATTCGGTCCAGGAGCAGAACCAGAGCTGTCTTTGGGGCTGATGGCAGCCTAACTGGCAGGTCCTGCTGGGGTGTGGAAGAGGGTTGTATGCCTGTGTGTGGTTTAAATCAGAGTCACCCTGGAGAGCTGAGCCAATATGCAGGCCCTACCCTCAGAGATCCTAATTCATCCTATCTGGAGTGAGGCCCTGCCATTGTTTGTTTTTGTTTTTTGTTGTTTAATTTCCCCAGAGGATTCTAATGTGCAGCCAGGCTTGAGAACCACTAATGGTGAGAGATCAGCCAGGCTCGGGATGCTGCTTGAGCAAAGGCACAGAGCCGTGCCCATCAGTGGTTGCGAGTAGTCAAGAGGGAGGCCTGCTAGGGCTCTTTTTGCCACTGGCCAAGGAGCTTTGGCTCCATCATGAAAGCAAGGGGAAACCTCTCAAGGGCTTTCAGCAGGAAAATGAGGGAGTATCTTTCTGAGATCTGTACTAGAGGATGATCCCTCTAACAAAGTGCCAGACTCACAGTTGGGCCTTGTGAGTGCCAGAAGTACAGTGAAGGCAGTAAAGAAGCAAATTGTAGCTGTCCAGATGATGGCGAGCCCAGATAGGGTTTGGTGCCATCCTGCGTGTGTTTCCCCTAGCAGCCAGTGTCTGTCCATGTTGAAATTCCACATGTGTTGTAACTGGCCAGTTTCTTGTCAGTATTACTCCCACTAGGCTATCAGCTCCTTCAAGGCAGAGACTGTCTCTTTAGGCTCAGCATCTAGCACATACTCAATCCCTAATATATATTTATTGAATGAACTATGTAGAACTAAGCTGGACATATGCCTTACCTTGTCTTTTTATGGCAATTGTCAGAATTTTGTATTTCAATGGCTTCCACATTATACCCTCCTAGGGCAATAAATCCTTTATATCCACATGATGGTCCCACAGAGGACTAGAAAGTTTGACTGGATTTAAATCCTGTTAAAAATGTGGAAGGGAATGGAAAACAATACAGTGGGTCCTCAAAAAATTAAAAATAGAATTACCATATGATCCAGCAATTCCATTTTTGAGTATATACTCTGAAGAATTGAAAGCAGGGTCTCAAAGAGAGATTGGTATACCAGTGCTCACAGCAGTGTTATTCACAATGGCCAAAAGCCAGAAGCAACTCAAGTATCCGTTGACATTTGAATGGATAAACAAAATGTGTTATGTATAGACAATGGAATATTATTCATTCTTAAAAAGGAAGAAAGTTCTGACACATGCTACAACATGGATGAACCTTGAGGACATTATGCTAAGTGAAATAAGCCAGTCACAAAAAGAGAAATACTGTATGATTCCACTCACATGAAGTACCTAGAGTAGTCTCATCCATAGAGACAGAAAGTCGAGTGGTGATTGCCAGGGGCTGGAGGGAGGGAAGAATGAGGAGTTGTTTAATGGGTGCAGAGTTTTCAGTTTGGGAGGATGAAAAGAGTGCTGGACATAAGCATCTTGATGGCAGGGACTGTGTCTTTTCAAAAATCCATGGGCTCTGTTTTATAGCACTTGATATTAAATAATCACCACCGAACATACACAGGCTAAGAACACTGAAGTGTTTAGAGAGAGAATTCACACAATCTTCCCAGACACCATATGACAAGTGACATAAAACATATTTACCTTTTAGTAATTCTACTTCTGTGAATTCACTTTAAGGAAACGAGAGATGTGGAGACCGCATATGTACGCATTTTCTTCAAACTTAGGAGAAACTGGAAGGCCCCAAATAGGAGAATGATTAAAAACTATCGCAAACTCCTAGGATGATCCAATAACATAACCATTTAAAAATCGTGTTTTTAGAGAATATTTAATGATGTGGAAAAATAGTCCTAAAGCTAAGTGAAAAAAAATCAAGATGCAAAACTATATGAAAGATTAAACAGTTATATAATCCAGCAGATTCAAGATAAATGAAAACATATGTCCATGCAAAAACTTGTACACAGGCCGGGTGTGGTGGCACATGCCTGTAATCCCAGCACTTTGGGAGGCCAAGGCAGGTGGATCACCTGAGGTCAGGAGTTCGAGACCAGGCTGGCCAACATGATGAAACCCTGTCTCTACTAAAAATACAAAAAGTAGCCGGGCGTGGTGGCACATGCCTGTAATCCTAGCTACTCAGGAGTCTGAGGCACGAGAATCACTTGAACCCAGGAGGTGTAGATTGCAGTGAGCCAAGATTGCACCACTGCACTCCAGCATGGGTGACAGAGCGAGACTCCATCTCAAAAAAAAAAAAAAAAAAAACACACACACACTTGTACACAAATGTTCATAGCAGTATTATTCATAATAGCCAAAAATGGGAAATAATCAAAATGTCCATCAACTGATGAATGGATAAATAAAATGTGGTTTATCCACACAACATAATATTATTCTGCCATGAAAAGGAATGAAGTACTGAAAATGCTACAACATGGATGAACCTTGAAAACGTTATGCTGAATAGAAGAAGCCAGATACAAAAGACCACATACTGTATGATTTTATTCACATGAAATGTCCAGACAGCAAATCTATACAGACAGAAAAAAGATTAGTTGTTGACTTGGTGGGGTGGGACAGAAGGGCAGTGGAGTGAAGAAAGAGGAGTGGCTGCTAAAGTGCAGGGATTTTCTTGGGGGGTGGTGGCACAGATAAATCTTCTAAAGTTGATTTATTTGTGGTGATGGGTTACACAACTGTGAATATACTAAAAGCCACTGAATTATACACTTTAGGGGAATTGTATGGTATGTGAATTACATCTGAATAAAGGTGTTATTTAAAAATAGAATCTGGTCCAAATTTTACTTAAGAATTACATATGGAAAGACTGAAGAGATACGCAAAATTTTAAAGAGGGGCATTTTCTGAATGGTGAGATTTTAGGTAATTTTCATTTGTTCTTTTACTCTTTTCTGTATTTTCTGTGATGAGCATGCATTGTTTTCATAATCAGAAAAGTTATTGGTCTAATATAATTTCATGATAAACTGTATACATTTAAGATACTGAAAAATGGTATGGTGAGAAATGAATCAATCACCTTCTACCCACCTTCCCTCTGAAATGTGAATATCGTCTCTTAAGAGTGGCTATATCACCTGTGGCTTTGCATTCAGATAAGTATTCATAATTGCCTCAGAAATCGATTACTGCATCTCAAACAGGTGCATCTCCCCTCAAACTTTATCCCCAAATATGAAGAGTTAAGTACCCTTACATAACCAAGAGTCTGAGTCCTACATTTTTAACCACCAGAGGGAGCTGGAATGTAGAAAACCTGGGGCAGTCAGTTTTGTTTTGTTTTAAAGTTAGTTTCACAAAGGGCCATCAATTCAGGATCTTATGTAATTTTCCTAATTATTGTGAACCAGCACTTAAAAGATAATTCTTTTTTGCCTTTTTAAAATTCCACTTTTAAAGACTGCATACAGTAAAAGAGGTCTTCCTAAGAATCAAACTCTTAATAAACAACAGGCAAGACAGCACAGAAAAATAAAAAATATTCACACCCTCTATTAGCGAACATTTCTCTCAGAATTGTCTGCTTCAGATCTTGAAGTCACGCAGTTGTGTCACAGTGATAAAGTTTCAAGTTATTCAATATACTTGAGCCCTCCCCGACTCGTTGAAAAGTTTCCTAACAAAGAAGAAACATTCAATGTGCCTGCATTCTATATGCATTACTATTGAAATCAGGATGGAGGTTTGCTAGGCATTGAGAAAGATGGTGAATAAGAGATGGGCCTACAGCGCCCAAAAGGAAGTTAAGCAATATTTGACTCAGGTCAGAATTTCTCAACTGAAGGTCTGAGTTTCAAGGTAATTCTTAAAGGGAATTGTAATTATAGCTTCGGGGTTTCAGTGGGGTGAAAGCAGCAATTTGTCTTACCAGCAAAATGAGTAAATCTATAGAAGTTAATGTATTTATGTATAAACAACCAAAAAGCACTTTGCTCTTCATTTTATATGTTCTTTTATTGACCTTTTCTTCATATTTCTTTAAAAAATTTTAATTGTGATAAAATATACAAAACATAAAATTTACTGTGTTAAGCCCTTTTTTTTTTTTTTTTTTGACAGAGTCTCGCTCTGTCGCCAGGTTGGAGTGCAGTGGCATGATCTCGGCTCACCGCAAACTCTGCCTCCCGGGTTCAAGCAATTCTCCTGCCTCGGCCTTCCGAGTAGCTGGGACTACAGGTATGCGCCACTACATCCAGCTAACTTTTTGTATTTTTGGTGGAGACAAGGTTTCACCATGTTGGCCAGGATAGACTCGATCTCTTGACCTCATGATCCACCCACCTTGGCCTCCCAAAGTGCTGGGATTGCAGGTGTGAGCCACCACGCCCAGCCTGTCTTAAGCCTTTTTAAGTATACAGTTCAGTAGTGTTATGTACATTCTCGTTCCAGAGGGGAGGTGGGTAGAAGGTGATTGATTCATTGCTCATACCATTTTTCAGTAGGTATATCTTAAGTGCATATAGTTTATCATGAAATTGCGTTAGACCAATAACTTTTCTGATTATGAAAGCAATACATGCTCATCACAGAAAATACAGAAGAGGAAAATAACAAATGAAAATTACCTAAAATCTTACCATTCAGAAAATGCCCCTCTTTAAAATTTTGTGTATCTCTTTTCAGTCTTTTCACATGTAATTCTTAAATAAAATTTGGATCAAATTCTATTTTTAAATAACACCTTTATTCAGATGTAATTCACGCACCATACAGTTCACCTAAAGTGTACAATTCAGTGTTTTTT
Organism: Homo sapiens; assembly: GCF_000001405.40. Classification (NCBI taxonomy): domain Eukaryota; kingdom Metazoa; phylum Chordata; class Mammalia; order Primates; family Hominidae; genus Homo; species Homo sapiens. The sequence continues at coordinate 13,660,337 of NC_000023.11, forward strand.
AGTATACTCAGTTGTATAACCCATCACCACAAATAAATCTTGAGAAGATTTATGTGTGCCACCACCTCCCAAGAAAATCCCTGAACTTTATCAGCTGCTCCTCCTCCTTCACCCCACTGCCCTTCTGCCCTACCCTACCTAGTCAACAACTGATCTATTTTCTGTCTCTATAGATTTGCCTGTTTTGGACATTTCATGTAAATAAAATCATACAATATGTGGACTTTTCTGTCTGGCTGCTTCTGCTCAGCATAATGTTTTCAAGGTTCATCCATGTTGTAACTGTATCAATACTTCATTCCTTTTCATGGCAGAATAATATTCTGTTGTGTGGATAAATCACATTTTATTTATCCATTCATCAGTTGATGGACATTTCGATTATTTCCCATTTTTGGCTATTGTGAATAATACTGCTATGAACATTTGTATACAAGTTTTTGTGTGGACATATGTTTTCATTTCTCTTGGATCTGCTGGGTCATATGATAACTGGTTTATTCATTTATTTATTATTATTTTTTTTTAGACAGAGTCTTGCTGTGTTGCCCAGGCTGGAGTGCAGTGGCACGATCTTGGCTCACTGCAAACTCCGCCTTCCAGGTTCATGCCATTCTCCTGCTTCAGCCTCCCAAGTAGCTAGGACTACAGGTGCCCGCCACCACACCCGGCTAATTTTTTGTATTTTTAGTAGAGATGGGGTTTCACCATGTTAGCCAGGATGGTCTCGATCTCCTGACCTCGTGATCTGCCTGCCTCGGCCTCCCAAAGTGCTGGGATTACAGGGTGAGTCACCATGCCCGGCCCATATGTTAACTGTTTAGTCTTTTATATAGTTTTACATCTTGATTGTTTTTCACCTAACTTTATGACCATTTTTCCATGTCGTTAAATATTATCTAAATACATGATTTTTAAATGGTTATATTACTGTATCCTAGGAGTGTGCCATATTTTTAACCATTCTCCATTTAACCATTTGAGGGCCTTCTAATTTCTCCTTAGAAGAAAATTCTTACATATGCAGTCTCCACATCTCTCATTTCCTTAAAGTAAATTTATGGAAGTAGAATTACTAAAAGGTCATTATGTTTTATGTCACTTGTCATATGGTGTCTGGGAAGACTGCGTGAATTCTCTCTCTAAACACTTCAGTGTTCTTAGCCTGTGTATGTTCGGTGGTGATTATTTAATATCAAGTGCTATAAAACAGAGCCCATGGATTTTTGAAAAGACACAGTCCCTGCCATCAAGATGCTTATGTTCACATTTAGACCAGACAGATAAATATAGATCCAAGGGTATTATATAGACAAGATTATGTACATTATGTGGAGGGAAAAAATAGACTGCATAGATAAAAGTAAACATTTGCCTGCCTAGGATGAAATTCACACAGACATAATCATTGAGCAACTCTTTACACTTAAAAATTTTTTAAAAATTAACAAAACCAAAATGTAAGAACCAGTTAGTCTAAAGTCATAAATCATCTGGATCATTGAGTCTGAACCTTTCCCTTGTTCAGAAGACTCCTAAGGCAGCACAGTGTAGCCTGTTGGCTTTTGGGACCCGCAGACGTATCTCTAGCTGCTTTTCAACCTGTGCTGTCTCACATTTTCCTTAGATTGCTTGAGACATTAGCAAACCCTTTCTGTCTTGTTTCTCTTTTATTTTCAGAAGAGTACCACTTTAAAGATTATGAAATGAGCAAGTAGTTCAGTTATATAGCTGACTCTGGGGAAAAATTGTCTAGCACTGTTCAGCATTGCCATATTGATGCTGACACCGGCATGATTTCACCTCCAACATGACCACCGGATTCCGCCCAAATGGATTGACTAATCTAGAAAGATCATTGATTTGTAAAATTGGAGGTGGAAAAGCTATAGCAGATCCTCCGGCAAGCCTCTTAAGCAGATGTTATGTAGAGGCTCTGCAATGCTGTTTGTTTGTTTTTCACTCGTAGGAATTAAACTCTTGAGAGTAAACCATACCGTCACCTTAAAGATTCCATTTTCTAGCGTGTCGCATACATTTGTATTACATGACTCTTTCGGAAAACATTGCCTAGGTAACTGACAGAAAGTGCTATTTTAGTATCCAGAAGCTGCGACTAGCAACGGCAAACTTAAGAAAACTGAAACCTCTTTTTTCTTTGCAGCTGTAAAGATGTCTGACAAGAACCAGATAGCTGCCAGAGCTTCTCTTATTGAGCAACTGATGTCCAAAAGGAATTTTGAGGATCTTGGCAACCACCTTACTGAGCTAGAAACAATTTATGTGACTAAGGAGCATCTCCAGGAGACAGATGTGGTCAGAGCTGTGTACAGAGTCCTCAAAAACTGCCCCTCTGTGGCTTTGAAAAAGAAAGCCAAGTGTTTGCTATCAAAGTGGAAAGCTGTTTATAAGCAGACTCACTCCAAAGCGAGGAACAGCCCTAAATTATTTCCTGTGAGGGGTAATAAAGAAGAAAATTCAGGACCTTCTCATGACCCAAGTCAGAATGAGACACTGGGCATCTGCAGCTCGAATTCTCTGTCTTCCCAAGACGTTGCAAAACTCAGTGAAATGATTGTGCCTGAAAATAGAGCCATTCAATTGAAACCTAAGGAAGAGCATTTTGGGGATGGTGACCCTGAATCCACTGGCAAGAGATCGAGTGAGTTGCTGGATCCCACAACACCCATGAGAACTAAATGCATAGAGCTTCTTTACGCAGCTTTAACTAGTTCTTCCACAGATCAACCCAAAGCTGATTTGTGGCAAAACTTTGCAAGAGAAATTGAAGAGCATGTTTTTACCCTTTATTCAAAGAACATCAAAAAATATAAAACTTGCATCAGAAGCAAAGTTGCCAATTTGAAGAACCCCAGAAATTCTCATTTACAACAAAACTTGCTCTCTGGGACCACGTCTCCACGAGAATTTGCTGAAATGACTGTCATGGAGATGGCAAATAAGGAACTGAAGCAGTTGAGAGCCTCCTACACGGAATCTTGTATCCAGGAACATTACCTTCCCCAAGTAATTGATGGCACACAGACAAATAAAATAAAATGCAGACGCTGTGAGAAATACAATTGCAAAGTCACTGTAATTGACAGAGGAACACTTTTCCTTCCCAGCTGGGTGCGGAATTCAAACCCAGATGAACAAATGATGACTTACGTAATTTGTAACGAATGTGGGGAGCAGTGGTACCATAGCAAGTGGGTGTGCTGGTAACTGTAAATCAGTGTTCTCTTAACAGATAACCGGAGTGATACCTTTTATTTGTACAACCCTTTTGTGCTTTTAAAAATCTTATACACACTACTCTCTAAAACAGAAAAAGGAGGAAAGAAAGTCGTTAGCTGAAGCTGCCACCACCATCCCTAAAAGTTACAGTTTGGGGAGAGGGAGTGGATGACTATTTATATTGTGCCTTGTGGCCATTTAGTACCTTACTGTAGACAGAGTGTGGGTGAGAACAGCCCAGCATAAACTGGGAGACTGTGGGAAATGCATTCCCAGGCCTCACACCATTGAATCCGAATCTGCATTTTGACAGGATCCCCAGGTAATCTTCCAGGATAGGATAGTTTGAGAAGTGCTACTTTAGCAATAGGCCTGTGGCTCTCAGCAGTGGCTGCATATTAAAATCATCTGGGAAGCTTTGAAAACCCACTGGTGCTGAGACCCCACCCTAGAACAATTCAGTTGGAACCTATGAGATGGGACCCAGGCATCAACATTTCTTTTTTCATTCCTCAAGTTATTTTAAGATGCAGTCAGAGTTGAGAACTACTCAGAAATAGGCTCTCATTTGATCCTTTTTACAGCTCTAAGACAAGAATGTTATTCCAGGCACTTCACGAATGAGGAAACAGGTCCACAGAGGTGTGGTGACATGTCCAAGTGACACAACCATAAATAGTACCAATTCTGACAGATCCCAGATTTTCTCCCTCCTGACTCACTGAGACTGGCTCAATATCGACTTCTGAGAAATGTATTCCTGGAGGTCGGGGACAAAATGAAGAATGTGTTTAAACTCCAACATTGGGTGACTAGATCTTCATTCTTTTCCCCTCTCTTTTCTCATTTATAGGTCTCCCTTCAACCACAAAAGTCACCCTGGAACTCATCCCGCAGTTAGAATTTTGTTTGGAGCCCTCTTGCTTAGTTGAAGGAGTTTCGTAGTTGTTTTTTGTTTTTGTTTTTGTTTTTGTTTTTTCCCCCTGTGAACAGGTTTTTCGGGGGTATGTAAACTCTAGGATGTTTAGTTTCTGATGTCAGGAGTCTTCATGTTCTCAAGGACAAGTGTCCTTGAGATGGACATTAATGGTCATTAGTCTGTCAGAGGAAGCCCATCACTTTAGCCTTTGAATGTAGTAACAGACGTTTATCTAATAAATGAATTGAAGATAAAATTACCTCTTTGAGGCCTTTGCAAACAGTGTTTAACCAGTTTATATAATTGTTTGACTACAACACGCCTTCTATGTGATTATGGCTGATTTTTTTTCCTTAAAAAACTCATGGAATGTTCACCGTTTTATAGTTTTAAAAAGTTTACTTTGGCGGTCTCTACAAACCTACCATTTCACTTTCTCACCAGTTCTTTTCTCCTAACTCTCTTCCTTTGTTGGAGCTCTGAAGGCCTAACTGTGTGTACACTTTACCTGCCTGACAGAATTCTCCAAAACATGCATAAAAGTAAAATATGTTCGTATTTTCAAATAATTTGGAAGAGTCGGCTCAATGCCATCAAGTGTAAAATCTATTTTGATATACTTGCTCTCCGTGTCTTCCCAGGGCTGCTTTTTGTGATGCAACATGTTTAGTCCTTAACTTGCAAGGTCATCTAAAACTTGAAGTTTCACAAAGTGTGGTTTCATATGACTTGGAATAATCTGAAAAACTATTCAGTGGTTACGAAAGAGCACAGCACATAAAAACCAAATTTGATTAGTTCAAGTCGGTGTTTATGTTTTGCTTTGGGGGTTTGTGTGTATGTGTGTAGTTTTTATTTATATTGGAATTTGGCAAACTAAATGTTCAGACAAATAAAAGTAATTAAAATGGAAATTTCCTTACTCTCCAAAATATAAAAACCTTCATGGTCTGGCCGGGTGCGGTGGCTCATGCTTGTAATCCCAGCATTTTGGGAGGCCGAGGCGGGCGGATTGCCTGAGGTCAGGAGTTCAAGACCAGCCTGGCCAATATGGTGAAACCCCGTCTCTACTAAAAATACAAAAATTAGCTGTGCATGATGGCGGGTGCCTGTAATCCCAGCTACTCGGGAGGCTGAGGCCGGAGAATCACTTGAACCCAGAAGGCAGAGGTTGCGGTGAGCCAAGATCACGCCATTGCATTCCAGCCTGGGCAACGAGAGAAACTCCACCTCAAGCAAACAAACAAAAAAACCAATCTGCGTGGTCTTCCTCATTTCATTTCATCTTTATTCGTGAGTTTTGCAACTTGAGATAGGAAAATAGTAATCTGTGTGTTTTTCTTTTGGTTAATGAGACAGCATTACATTTTCTGCCTATAGGTAATTCTTTCAGATCCTATGTCCTTTCCCCTAAAAGGAAAGGACTTTCTTTAAAATTGACTGCAGGGTAAAGATTTTTTTTTTTTTTTTTTTTTTTTTTTTTTTTTTTTTTTTTTTAGACAGGTTCTCACTCTGTCATCAAGGCTGGAGTGCAGTGGCGCCATCTCAGCTCACTGCAGCCTCAACCTCCCGGGCTCAAGCAATCCTCCAACCTCAGCATCCCCACTCCCTTGAGTAGCTGGGACTGCAGGCACGTGCCACCATGCCCAGCTAATTTTTGTATTTTTTGTAGAGACAGGGTTTCTTCATGTTGCCAGGCTGGTTTCAAACTCCTGGGCTCAAGCGATCCTCCCAAAGTGTTCGGCCTCCCAAAGTGCTGGTATTATAGGCATGAGTTACCGTGCCTGGCCAAGACTCTTTAATTTAAAATCGCTTTTTCAGAAACAGCAAATGGAAGACCCTGAGACAGGAGACTGCCTGATACACGCAAGTTCCAGCAAGAGTCCACGGCAGCTAAGTCACAGTGAGCAAGGGGAACAAGGATGAGAGATGCAGTCAAAGAGGCCATCGTGAGGGCTCTTGTCGGTCGGCCATGGTAAGGATTTGGGGGCGTTTCTTAAAACATGATGGGAAGCCACTGAAGCTGGGGAGTTTGTGGTGATGAGATTTAACACCCTTTAGGAAGGATCACTCTGGCTGTTATATTGAATTAGAAGGGAAGGAAGCAAGGATGCATGCAGGGACAACAGGTGACCCTTGGCAGTGATCCAAATGTCAAATAACTGGCTTCAAGCAAGAGTACACAGAGTCTGGGCTCCCCGAATCCTTATAGTCAGCAAAGTCCTTGACAACTTTGCAAATGGATATTTCATAAAATACACTAAATCCCAAGTTCCCTACCCATGGCCCATAATAAACAATAATAGACAATGCAGAAATTCAGCATTGGACAAGTATATCCTATACTCGGGTTGCCATGATTACTGGGAGTCCCTGCATAGGGCATAAACACCAGTTGTTATACCTGAATGTAGGAGCGCTCTCTTGACTCTTGATGGATTTTCCCACATCACTCTCCTTTTGTCTGTGTTACTTTTCTGAGATAAAAAGTTGGATACAATTGGAGCTCTGTCTCTTCCCTGAGCACTTCCTGTGATGAGAGGCTCCTTTCATTCGCCACTACCATTCTAAATACCAGTCAGGAAGCCTGCAGCTGGCAGTGCTCCACTGCTTTGGCAAGGGCTGGGCCTTCATCTTCTGGGTCAGATTGCTTTGTTATTTATAACTTCCCAGTAAATGCAAAATATTTTACTAAAGTAGTTATTTTTGTATCTCTCAGATACTGTAAGTACCTAGGCTTTCAGAAGAGCCCCACAATCAGAAGGGAGACCAGATGACAACCTCATATAGTCCCATTTGCATTATTATTTAAAACTGGGATTCCTGGCCAGACGTGGTAGCTCACATCTGTAATCCCAACACTTTGAGAGGCCAAGGTGGGAGGACCACTTGAGCCCAGGAGTTGGAGATCAGTCTGAACCCCGTCTCTACAAAAAATATAGAAATTAGCCAGGCGTGGTGGTGTGTGCCTGTAGTGTCAGCTACCCAGGAGACTGAGGTGGAAGGATCACCTGAGCCCAGGAGATTGAGGCTGCAGTGAGCCATGATTGCACCACTGCACTCCAGCCTGGGTGACAGAGACAGACCCCATCTAAAAAATAATAATAATAATAGATTTCCACAAATGTTAGCATGCATCATCAGAAATGCTCTGTGTTCATGATTGCACATTGCTTTCACTTTTCCAGGTGCCGGGAGCAAAGAGATGATTAAGACACCATCCCAGGCCTCAAGCCCCACGAAACGCAGGGGAAGCGCCATGCTATGCAGCCAGCAATCGTTTTACCTTTTAAGAGCTCTGAGAGAGACACCCACTGGAAAGGGGTGCAGAGGACCCCAGAGGATCAACTAACCCAGTGTGGGAGGGTCAGGGAAAGCTTCATAGAGGCCGTGACCCTTAGGGCAAATCTTGAGAGGAAGATGGCCAGGCAGAGGAAATGGGAAAGTCTGTTCCAGCACCATATTTGCTAGATTCTTGGCACTTTATGTATAGCATCTCCTTTAATCTTCACAACTACCCTGCTGCACAGCATTTTAGAGGTGAGGAAACTAAGGCTGAGAGAGATTAAGTTACTTGCCCAAGGGTACACAGAGACAAAGCCAGGACTAACTCATAACAAAGTGGGTAGGTTTTGTTTATTTTGCATGTCAGATTGCTTCTAGAAATAACAGCAGGCTTCCTATTAATTCCAGGTGAGGTCCTGCTATTTTATAATTGTGGTTTGTTCTTTCAATGCCAGGAGCATGTGGTGTATGGATCCCCCCTTACACCAGTACTGTGCACTCCTCCTGATGATGGAGAGATTGGGAGGGACCACCTGGCTAGGATTGCTGGCTCTCCTGACACCTTCTCGTGGCATCCATGTGGTTTATCCAGTTTTCTGAAAAGTAAGTAATTTTTAAAATACTGAAATTTGACAGTATAAGAACATGTTGCTTTTTAAGGGATATTTACATGTTTATATATTTTTATGAATTTGAAGACTATAAATATATAAATGCAGTTTCAGGTATCATTTCCTATAAAATATAGGGCCTTTCTTTTCTTTTCTTTTCTTTTTTTGAGACAGAGTCTCACTCTGTCACCCAGGCTGGAGTTCAGTGGCGCGATCTTGGCTCACTGCAACCTCTGCCTTCCAGGTTCAAGTGATTCTCGTGCTTCAGCCTTCCAAGTAGCTGGGATTACAGGCATGCACCACCATGCCTGGCTAATTTTTTGTATTGTTTTTAGTAGAGACGGGGGTTTCACCATGTTGCCCAGGCTGGTCTTGAACTCCTGGCCTCATGTGATCCACCTGCTTCAGCCTCCCAAAGTGCTGGCATTACAGATGTGAGCCACCATACCCCGCCAAATATAGGGCCTTTCTATCTTCATGTTCTGCCTGTATGATCTAGGAAAATAACAATCAATTATGAAAAAATAGTTATTTAGAATCCTTTGTTAAATTATTGTAAGTACCCTCCTGGACAGAGAGTCAAAAATAGAATTAAAATTAATTTGTTGGACATACTCTTGCTTTCTTTTAAAATGTAAATGAGATACAAATAGGGGTAGGTTCCAAGTAGTCATTAATCTTTTTCAAATGGTGGCAAATTTTTTTAAAAAATCTAAAACAACCATGGTAAAGTTACATATCCAATTAATAAGCAAGTTAAAACTTCACCCATTCAAAAACTTCTTTACTTTTTATTTTTGGAATATACCATATTCACTTTTGAAATGCAGGTAAACAGATACAGGTAGCTCCCCGGCAGCTACTTTTACAACTTCAGAGTGATGTCATAACTCACGAAATTCCCCTTTGTAGACTGAAACAAAAAATTCAGAAATTTCCAAGGTGCCGGTGAGGCCCTGAGTCATCTGGCTGGATTCCACCTAACGCGCCTATCTGTGAATGATTGAAGACAGAGCTGCAAAACCAGTTTCAGTTTGTTTTTTTTTCTCTAACCACAGCACACCCAGGCACTTGTCCAACAGTTTCCCACGTAGCTCTTCCCCATGGCGTGTGACTTCATGTGCGTGTCAGTTGGGAAGAGCTAAAAGTCAAAGTTCACCCATGTCTAGCAGAAAAGGACTTGAAGATTTTACATGGACTGTGTGTTGGTGTTTATGAGTCCACCAGGCCATCTTGTTTTGTCTTATCTTTTCAGACCGAGGATTTCTATTCCTTCAGTTTTGTTTTCTTTCAGCAGATGGGCTTTTGTCCCCCAGCTTTGTGAAATCTCACGAATTGCTCAGCAGAAAGTTTCCAAATGACTTAGTGGATTTTTATGAACATTTAAAAATGAGGCTGAATGCGGCGGCTCAGGTCTGTAATCCCAGCACTTTGGGAGGCTGAGGCGGGTGGATCATCTGAGGTCAGGAGTTTGAGACCAGCCTGATCAACATGGTGAAACCCTGTCTCTATTAAAAATACAAAAATTAGCTGGGCGTGGTGGTGCGCACCTGTAGTCCCAGCTACCTGGGAGGCTGAGGCACAAGAATTGCTTGAATCCGGGAGGCGGATGTTGCAGTGAGCTGAGATCGTGCCACTGCACTCCAGCCTGGGTGACAGAGGGAGACTCTGTCTCAAAACAAAAAGGACATGGGGGGTTCTTTTTGGGGGTGCTAAAAATGTTCTAAAATTGGTGGTGGTGATGGATGCACATGCTAAACATCACTGAATTGTACACTTTAAATGAGTGAATTGTATAGTATAAATAATATCAATAAAGCTGTTACCCAAAAAAATCAGATGAATGGAAGGAAGAAATTGGAGAGAGGGTCTCTATTGGATATTTATCTCAGTGAGTCATTCTGAACCTTAGTCCCAATTTATACATGCTCGTAATGACAGTCTTTCTCAAAGGGGGCTTTCTGGAGGCCCCAGCCACATCACTGACAGATAAAGAGTGAGTCTCCCAATGCCTTCAAAGTTGTCAGGGCGGTTTCCTGGGCTCTAGCATTTGCGGTTCTGCATAAAACCTGCTTTCACACAGCTCACAGGGCTCAACGGGGATCCCAAATCATCGGTCCTTGTGTTTCTTCCCCATTTCTCAAGCTACAGATCTGAGCTGAACTATCAATGATATTAAACCCCTGGAAAATAAAAAATCCTCTAGAATCAACCCCAAACAGTTGACATTTTCGTTCCCAGTAAGAGTTATACTCAGAAAAGAATTGTAATAACCACAAATGAAATCAGCCCTGCACTCTCGCCCTTCATATTGAGGCCCTGGGATCAATGGCATCAGCATCACCTGGGAGCAAATACCAAAACAAGGGCCGCATCCCAGACCTACTGAATCCCAATCTACATTTTTCACCAAGTCCTCAGCCATCAACTGCATATTAACTGTCCACAGCAGCTGGCCCTACGAAGTCTGCCTTCCTGCTTATACCTTTGGATGAAATGCCTGAGTTCCTAGCATGGAAACTAACATGGATCTCTCTGATTGCCTCGGTCACCAATGACCTCCACCCTCTACGTCACTAAATTCAGGGGACAGTTCTCAGCCTTGAATCCTATCTACAGCATTTGACATGCTTGCTTCCTTCTTGAGAACATTTTCATGTGGCTTGCAGTAGGTTACACTCTCATTGGTTTTCCCTGTCACTGGTCACTCTGTTTCAGTATCATTTGCTGGTTCATCTTTCCTGACTTTTTAACTGGAATGTCCTGGAATGTAATCCTTGGACCCCTTCTATCTACATTCACTCCTTTGGTGATCTTCTCTAGTTCCATGGCTTCCTGCATCATCTCCATGCTAAGGACCTCCCCGCTGTCTATCTTCAGGCTTGCATCTCCCCCTCAGAATTCCAGATCCAGAAACCTAACAGTCAACTTGACAACTCTACTTGCATGTCCAGTGAGCATCTCAAACTTAACATGTTTAAAATCAAGCTTCCAATCTTCTCTCCAGCGCCTCCTTCTCCACTGAATGGCAACTCCATCCTTGTGTACCTTGAGCTAAAGAAACATGGAGTCATCATTAACTCCTCTCTTTCTTTCATATCATACTTCCAATCAGTTGGCAAATCATATTGGCTCTATTTCAGATATATATCCAGAAGCCCAACTTAAAAATGGGCAGGAGATTTGAATAGACGCTTCACCAAAGAAGAGCAAAGAAGATACAGGAGTGGCCAACGTGCACATGAAAAGATGCTCAACATGGTTAGTCCTTAGGGAAATGCAAATTAAACCCACCACGAGAAACCATTTCACACCCACTTGGATGGCCATAATTAGAAAAAAACAAAACAAAACACACACACACACACACACACAGAAAATAACAAGTGTTGGTGAGGATGTGGAGAAATTAGAATTTTTGTACATTACTGGCAGGAATATAAAATGGTGCAGCCACTTTGGGAAACAGTTTGGCAGTTCCTTTTTTTTGAGACGGAGTCTCGCTCTGTCGCCCAGGCTGGAGTGCAGTGGCGCGATCTCGGCTCACTGCAAGCTCTACCTCCCGGGTTCACGCCATTCTCCTGCCCCAGCCTCTCGAGTAGCTGGGACTACAGGCGCCCACGCCACGCCCGGCTAATTTTTTTTGTATTTTTAGTAGAGACGGGGTTTCACCACGTTAGCCAGGATGGTCTCGATCTCCTGACCTCGTGATCCGCCTGCCTCAGCCTCCCAAACTGCTGGGATTACAGGCGTGAGCCACCGCGCCCAGCCTGGCAGTTTCTTAAGAAGTTAAGCATCATAGTAAACATAGGACTCAGTTAAAAATAAAAATAAAAGAAATTACGCATAAATTTACCATACATCCCAGCAATTATACACCTTGGCGTGTACACAAGAGAAATGAACGCATACATTTACACGAAGACTCATCTGTGAGCATCCATAGCAGCACTATTCATAGTAGCCAAAAAGTGGAAACAACCCAAATGTCCATTAACTGGTGAATGGATCAAAAAGATATGGTATAGATATTCAAAGAAATACTATTCCATAATAAAAAGGAGTGAAGTAATGATACATGCTGTAGCACAGATGAACTTTGAAAGCATTTGCTAAATGTAAGAAGCCAATCACAAAAGACCACATATTGAATGACTCCACTTATGTGAAGTGTCTGGAATATACAAATCTACAGAGATGGAAAGTGGATTCACAGTTACCTGGGGCTGGTGGGAGAAAAGAGGAGTGACTACAGATGGGCACAAGGGACCTTATTGGAGTAATGGAAATGTTCTGAAATTGGATTGTGGTAATGGCTAAATAACTCTGTAAATCTGTTTAAAAATCATTGAATTGTGTACTTAAAACAAGTGAATTTTATCATATGTAAATTATACCTCAATAACACTGTTTACAAATATCCAGAATATGACCACATATTATGTTCTCTACCATTGTCTTGTTCTAAGCCAGCATCATCCTCACCTGGCTGACTGTCACCTGGATGACCAATTGTCATACAGATACCACCTGCTAAGTGGTTGCCTGACTTCCACTCTTGTCTCCCAAGTACGTCTCTAACACAACAGCCAGAGTGATCCTGGGGAATATGCAAATCAGATCAGGTTACCTCTCTGCTCAAAACTCTCTGTTGGCTCCTGTCTCCAAGAGAAAGACAAAGTTCTTATAGTGGTCTTTAAAGCTTCACTAATCTGGCCCCTCCTTGTTACCTTTCTGAGCTCCCTGCCTGCTATTAATACTTACCCCCTTGCTGGAGACTGCATTCAGTCACACTGGCCTCCTTGCTGCTCTTTGGTCATACCAGGCACATTTCTGCCACAGGGCCTTTGCACTGGCTATTGCTTCTGCCTGGAATGTTCATACCCCAGATTCCTTTTTTTTAAAGACAGGGTCTAGCTCTGTCCCCCAGGCTTTAGTGCAGTGGCATGATCTCAGCTCACTGCAACCTCTGCCTTCCAAGCTCAAGAGATCCTCCCACCTCAGCCTCCCAAGTAGCTGGGACTACAGGCACATGCCATCATGCTCGGCTAATTTTTAAATTGTTTTTGTAGAGATGAGGTCCCAATGATATTGCCCATGCTAGTCTTGAACTCCTGGGTTCAAGCGATCCTCCCACCTTCGCCTCCCAAAGTGTTGGGATTACAGGCGTGAACAACTGAACCCAGTCTCCCAGATTCCTAATGACTTAACTTACCTCTCTCAAGCCCTAGCTCAAATGTCACCTGGGGCTGTGAGGCTTTCCCTGGCCTCTTCCTACATTCCCTAGCACCCTTTCTGATTTTTTTCTTTCTTTTTTTTTTTTGAGATGGAGTCTCACTCTGTCTGCTGGGTTGGAGTGCAGTGGTATGATCTCGGCTCACTGCAACCTCTGCCTTCCGGGTTCAAGCAATTCTCCTGCCTCAGCCTCCTGAGTAGCTGGGATTACAGGCACCTGCAACTACGCCCAGCTAATTTTTTGTATTTTTAGTAGAGACGAGGTTTCACCATATTGGCCAGGCTGGTCTCCATATCCTGACCTCGTGATTCACCTGCCTTGGCCTCCCAAAGCGCTGGGATTACAGGAGTGAGCCACCACCACGCCTGGCCTCTGATTTTTTTTTTCTTTTATTATTATACTTTAAGTTTTAGGGTACATGTGCACATTGTGCAGGTTAGTTACATATGTATACATGTGCCACGCTGGTGCGCTGCACCCACTAACTCGTCATCTAGCATTAGGTATATCTCCCAATGCTATCCCTCCCCCCTCCCCCCACCCCACAACAGTCCCCAGAGTGTGATGTTCCCCTTCCTGTGGCCATGTGATCTCATTGTTTAATTCCCACCTATGAGTGAGAATATGCGGTGTTTGGTTTTTTGTTCTTGCGATAGTTTACTGAGAATGATGATTTCCAATTTCATCCATGTCCCTACAAAGGACATGAACTCATCATTTTTTATGGCTGCATAGTATTCCATGGTGTATATGTGCCACATTTTCTTAATCCAGTCTATCATTGTTGGACATTTGGGTTGGTTCCAAGTCTTTGCTATTGTGAGTAGTGCCGCAATAAACATACGTGTGCATGTGTCTTTAAAGCAGCATGATTTATAGTCCTTTGGGTATATACCCAGTAATGGGATGGCTGGGTCAAATGGTATTTCTAGTTCTAGATCCCTGAGGAATCGCCACACTGACTTCCACAATGGTTGAACTAGTTTACAGTCCCACCAACAGTGTAAAAGTGTTCCTATTTCTCCACATCCTCTCCAGCACCTGTTGTTTCCTGACTTTTTAATGATTGCCATTCTAACTGGTGTGAGATGGTATCTCATTGTGGTTTTGATTTGCATTTCTCTGATGGCCAGTGATGATGAGCATTTTTTCATGTGTTTTTTGGCTGCATAAATGTCTTCTTTTGAGAAGTGTCTGTTCATGTCCTCCGCCCACTTTTTGATGGTGTTGTTTGTTTTTTTCTTGTAAATTTGTTTGAGTTCATTGTAGATTCTGGATATTAGCCCTTTGTCAGATGAGTAGGTTGCAAAAATTTTCTCCAATTTTGTAGGTTGCCTGTTCACTCTGATGGTAGTTTCTTTTGCTGTACAGAAGCTCTTTAGTTTAATTAGATCCCATTTGTCAATTTTGTCTTTTGTTGCCATTGCTTTTGGTGTTTTAGACATGAAGTCCTTGACCATGCCTTAATAGAGCTTATTCACCATTGAAATACAATGCCCTGGCTGGGCGTGGTGGCTCACACCTGTAATCCCAGCACTGGAGGCCGAGGTGGGTGGATCACTTGAGGTCAGGAGTTTGAGACCAGACTGGCCAACATGGTGAAACCCAGTCTCTACTAAAAATACAAAAATTAGCCAGGCATGGTGGCATGTGCCTGTAATCCCAGCTACTTGGGAGCCCAAGGCCCCGGAGAATGGCTTGAACCCGGGAGGTGGAGGTTGCAGTGAGCCAAGACCATGCCACTGCACTACAGTCTGGGTGACAGAGCAAGACCATGTCAAAAAAAAGAAAGAAAGAAAGAGAGAAAGAGAGAGAGGGAAAGAAAGAAAGAAAGAAAGAAAGAAAGAAAGAAAGAAAGAAAGAAAGAAAGAAAGGAAAGAAAGGAAAGAAAGGAAAGAAAGGAAAGAAAGGAAAGAAAGGAAGGAAAGAAAGGAAAGAAAGAAAAGAAAGAAAAAGAAAAGAAAGAAAGAGAAAGAAAGAAATACAATGCCTTGCTCTTGCTCACGGGGTCAGAGATTTTTGTCTTTTTGGTTCACAGCTTATCTCCAGCCCCTAGAATAGTTCTGGCACACAGAGTGCCCTCAAGAAATATTTGTTGAATGAGTGCACCTAAGAAATTTGGAAGAGCCAGGAATATGACAGATCAACACATACGCACATTTAGGTAAAAGATTAGGCCGGGCACGGTGGCTCACACCTGTAATCCCAGCACTTTGGGAGGCCGAGGCGGGCAGATCATGAGGTCAGGAGATTGAGACAATACTGACTAACACGGTGAAACCCTGTCTCTACTAAAAATACAAAAAATTAGCCAGGCGTGGTGGCAGGCGCCTGTAGTCCCAGCTACTCGGGAGGCTGAGGCAGGAGAATGGCGTGAACCCGGGAGGTGGAGCTTGCAGTGAGCCGAGACCGCGCCACTGCACTCCAGCCTGGGCGACAGAGCGAGACTCCATCTCAAAAAAATAAAAAATAAATAAAAAATTTTTAAAAAAGATTGAAAACAAGCTCAGAGGGAGTGATTGTAGTTTATGACAGGCAAAACAATTTGAGAGTGGAAAGAATGGGCAATTGGAAAAGAGAGAGCATTTTTTTTCCCCAGAACATTTTGGAGCTTTTCTTCTCCATGTATGTAGTATCTTTGAGTAAACCTCACATATACTATAAAGTCTTAGGCCATATATGCTCAAACTCTATTATAAAGCTAATTGTTCAATTGTCTTATAATCCTTCCCTTTCTTGTGTGTTATTTTCTGTTTTAATGTTCAATAGCATTGTTAGAAAGAAAAGGAGATTAAAAAAATTCTATTTGTTCACTGTTTTACTTGCCGGAAGACCCTGCAGGTACTTAAGGAATATAGTTGAAAAGGTTATTAAAATTGTTTGGTGATTTTGTGGTTGTTGACTTAGTTGTCTGTTAGCATGCATTACAGACTGTACTTGGCTATATGTTAGTAATTCTAGAAGTGACTCTTTGAAAATAATTTTCCCCAAATCATATACATAAACACTATTTGTAACTCACGAGTTTTTTAAAGTTTATATGCATTTATTTTTGTTATAATTCAGTGGCTTTTAGTATATTCACAAAGTTGTGCGATTATCATCATTATCTAATTCCAGAATGTTTTCATTACCCCAAGAAGGAATCCAGTACCAGTTAATAGCCACTCTCTATTCCACCCTCTTCCCAGCCCCCAGCCCCCCAACCGCCACCTACTTTCTGTCTCTATGGATCTGCTTATCCTGGACATTTCACGCAAATGGGACCATACAATATGTAGGTTTTTGTGTCTGGCTTCTTTCACATCATTTCTTTTTTCTTAACTCAAGAAGTAAACCATATTTTACTAACCAAATAAACTATACTGACCTTTACTTAAAGTACATCTTTAGCTGAATTTGCATAAATAATTTGACATTTCTACCTGTCACAATTATACTCCTTCCAACTTTTGTGTCAAAAATTATTTTTGATTAACCACATGCAAAGCTTGACATTTTGAAATTCAGATACTCACTGTTATCTACAGATGAAGGTCACAAGATTTTTTTTTCTTTAAAAAAAAGGAAGCAAGGATATTTTACCCTAGTTTTGTAACTTATTTGGCAAAAAAGAATTTAATGAAATTTCATCACTAGAGCCATTGTGTTTAGTAAGGACAAAATTTAGGAATGCTTAGAAGTTGGATCAATTTTTTTCTCCCCTGTATGTCTCCTCCCAAACATACATATCCTGTGGTATAAAATATGTAGGCCGGGCATGGTGGCTCATGCCTGTAATCCCAGCACTTTGGGAGGCCAAGGCAGGTGGATTGCTTTGAGCTCAGGAGTTTAAGACCAGCCTGAGCAAAATGGTGAAACCCTGTCTCTACTAAAAATACAAAAATTAGCTGGTGGCTCATGCCTGTAGTCCCAACTACTTGGGAGGCTGAGGCCAGAGAATTGCTTGTTGAGCTGAGATTGTGCCACTGCACTCTAGCCTGAGAGACAGAGTGAGACCCCATCTCAAAAAATATACATATGTATGTGTGTGTATGTGCGCGTGTGTGTGGGGGTGGTATACAATTGTTTGCATTGCATGACTTATTGAAAAGTAATCTGTTCCTCACACAATTCCATTATATCTCTAAGCTACAGAATTCCATACTTAGCCCATCCTATGAACTTCCTTTATTCCATCTCTGCTCTATCTTATCACTGCTTTATATTATTTGTGAACATGTTTTATTTTTTTTTCTTTAATTGCCCATCAAGTTTCCTATGCAGGTCTTAGTAGTGAGATTTACATCCCCTCAAAGCCCCAAGGTTTAACTCTAGGTTTGGCAGATGCTTAATGCAATTTTGCAAAATAGATTTTTACTTCAAATTACAGTAGAATTTCAATATGCCCTCATCTTTGCTTTGGTTTTGTACAGTGATGTCACACTTTAGAAGCCCTGCATCTAACCTTAATAAATGGGATCAAATATTACTATTACTAATGTTTCAAACCCAATCTCCAGAAAAATAGATTTTTCAAGATAAATTCATTTCATTCATGTTATGGAATTTAAAATTTACCAGATTAATAACAAAGCCCTGAGTTGGGCAATCAGGCAGGAGAAAGAAAAAAAGGGTATTCAATTAGGAAAAGAGGAAGTCAAATTGTCCCCGTTTGCAGATGACATGATTTTATATTTGGAAAACCCCATCGTCTTAGCCCAAAATCTCCTTAAGCTGATAAGCAACTTCAGCAAAGTCTCAGGATACAAAATCAATGTGCAAAAATCACAAGCATTCCTATACACCAATAACAGACAAACAGAGAGCCAAATCATGAGTGAACTCCCATTCACAATTGCTTCAAAGAGAATAAAATGCCTAGGAATCCAGCTTACAAGGGATGTGAAGGACCTCTTCAAGGAGAACTACAAACCACTGCTCAACAAAATAAAAGAGGACACAAACAAATGGAAGAACATTCCACGCTCATGGATAGGAAGAATCAATATTGTGAAAATGGCCATACTGCCCAAGGTAATTTATAGATTCAATGCCATCCCCATCAAGCTACCAATGACTTTCTTCACAGAATTGGAAAAAACCACTTTAAAGTTCATATGGAAACAAAAAAGAGCCTGCATTGCCAAGGCAATCCTAAGCCAAAAGAACAAAGCTGGAGGCATCACGCTACCTGACTTCAAACTATATTACAAGGCTACAGTGACCAAAACAGCATGGTACTGGTACCAAAACAGAGTTATAGACCAATGGAACAGGACAGAGCCCTCAGAAATAATACCACACATCTACAACCATCCGGTCTTTGACAAACCTGACAAAAACGAGAAATGGGGAAAGGATTCCCTATTTAATAAATGGTGCTGGGAAAACGGGCTAGCCATATGTAGAAACCTGAAACTGGATCCCTTCCTTACACCTTATACAAAATTAATTCAAGATGGATTAAAGGCTTAAATGTTAGACCTAAAACCATAAAAACCCTAGAAGAAAACCTAGGCAATACCATTCAGGACATAGGCAAGGACTTCATGTCTAAAACACCAAAAGCAATGGCAACAAAAGCCAAAATTGACAAATGGGATCTAATTAAACTAAAGAGCTTCTGCACAGCAAAAGAAACTACCATCAGAGTGAACAGGCAACCTACAGAATGGGAGAAAATTTTTCCAATCTACCCATCTGACAAAGGGCCAACATCCAGAATCTACAAAGAACTTAAACAAATTTACAAGAAAAAATCAAACAATCCCATCAAAAAGTGGGCAAAGGATATGAACAGACACTTCTCAAAAGAAGACATTTATGCAGCCAACAGACACATGACAAAATGTGTATCATCACTGGCCATCAGAGAAATGCAAATTAAAACCACAACGAGATACCATCTCACACCAGTTAGAATGGCGGTCATTAAAAAGTCAGGAAACCACAGGTACTGGAGAGGATGTGGAGAAATAGGAACACTTTTACACTGTTGGTAGGACTGTAAAGTAGTTCAACCATTGTGGAAGACAGTGTGGCAATTCCTCAAGGATCTAGAACTAGAAATACCATTAGACCCAGCCATCCCATTACTGGGTATATACCCACAGGAGTATAAATCATGCTGCTATAAAGACACATGCACATGTATATTTATTGCAGCACTATTCACAATAGCAAAGACTTGGAACCAACCCAAATGTCCATCAATGATAGACTAGATTAAGAAAATGTCGCACATATACACCATGGAATACTATGCAGCCATGAAAAAGGATGCGTTCATGTCCTTTGTAGGGACATGGATGAAGCTGGAAACCATCATTCTGAGCCAACTATCACAAGGACAGAAAACCAAACACCGCATGTTCTCACTCATAGGTGGGAATTGAACAATGAGAACACTTGGACAGAGGTTGGGGAACATCATACACCAGGGCCTGTCATGGGGTGGGGAGAGTGGGGAGCGATAGCATTAGGAGATATACCTAATGTAAATGAAGAGTTAATGGGTGCAGCACACCAACATGGCACATGTATACGTATGTAACAAACCTGCGTGTTGTGCACATGTACCCTAGAACTTAAAGTATAATTTAAAAAAAAAAGCCCTGAGTCATAACAGTCTGTGTTAGATTGTATTCTTGTTCAAATATTTGATGACCCTCCCGGTGGGACCATTGTAGGATACCACATCACTCAGATCAGGCTTTTCCATGTGATTTGCAATGTCCCTCTCTTTAGGAAGATTATACATCACGATGTGTGACTTGCTTTGGTGAACATCATATGAGGGGAGATGATGAACATCACTTCTGTGTGGAAGCTTCAAGAGCCAGCAGGGGTTTTATTTTTGGTCTCTTTTCTCTCAACCAGTGATACCTGCAATATATCAGACAGAAGCTGATCCATTAGCTCAGGTTCGTCAGGTCCAGAGGGAAGATGACATGGACGGGAACCACAGCTGACCCATAATGGACATTAAGGTGAGAAATAAATCTTTGTTTTTATAAGCCACTGAGGTTTGTGGAGGTCATTTTTTACCACAGCGTAACTTAGCCTAAGCTGACAGATAAATAAGTTTTAAGAGAGATAGAATTCCATTTACCTGCATTTATATTATGAATCCCAGTAAGCTTAGACTAGATAATCTATAAGACATCTACTTCTTCTAACTTAGAAAAGGAATTTATTCAGGGAGATATTAAGTAGCTCTTAGAGGCAAGGCTGAAGTTTGGAGTGTGGGCAGGCACCAAAGGGAATCCACGAGGCTGGAGCTGCAGCCATGGCCGGAACGTGAATGACCTGATTAAGATGCTGTCACTGTTAGGTACTGGAAACTGCCACTGGCATTCTGGACACTAGCACCAATGGTGGTCACTAGATACTAGAGGGTACCACTACCTGTGCCAGAATGAACCCTGAACTAATGCAGCATCTCTTTGTTGCTTGCCCAAGACTCAGCTCTTCAAAGAGAGTATCTGATTGGCTAGTCTTGGGTCTCGTTTCTGTATTTTTGTTGTCAGGGTACTGGAAGAGCAAGTGTCTCTCCATTGGGACTTTTATAATGAAAAGACTCACAAGATAGTTGGTTTCTTAAGTGTCGGAAGGACTTTCAGATGCTAACCAAACCGCATCCCCTACAAAAGACAAATATCCCCCACAAACTTAGAAGATAAGCAAACTTGACTGGGCGCAGTGGCTCACTCTTATAATCCCAGCGCTTTGGGAGGCCGAGGTGGGCAGATCACCTGATGTCAGGAGTTCAAGACCAGCCTGGCCAACATGGTGAAACTCTGTCTCTACTAAAAATACAAAAATTAACCAGACGTGGTGGTGCACGCCTGTAATCCCAGCTACTCGGGAGGCTGAAGCGGGAGAATCGCTTGAACCCTGGAGGCGGACGTTGCAGTGAGCCGAGATCGTGCCACAGCACTCTGGCCTGGGCAACAGAGTCAGACTCCATCTAAAAAAAAAAAAAAAAGAAAGAAGAAAGAAAAAAGAAAAGAAAAAGAAGATAAGCAAACTTTACAGCTCTCTTCTGCATTTCCATTATGGGTGTTGATATGGTTTGGCTGTGTCCCCACGTAAATCTCATCTTGAATTGTAGCTCCCATAATCCCCACATGTCGTGGGGGGTAATTGAATCGTGGGGGTGGGTTTTTCCCATGACAGTGAGTAAGTCGTAGGAGGTCTGATGGTTGTATAAAGGGCAGTTCCCCCGCACACTCTCTCTTGCCTGCCCCCACATAAGACATGCCTTCGCTCCTCCTTTGCTTTCTGCGATGATTGTGAGGCCTCCCCAGCCAAGTGGAACTGTGAGTTCATTAAATCTCTTTTTCTTTATAAATTACCAAGTCTCAGGTATGTCTTTATTAGCAGCGTAAGAACAGACTAATACAGAGGTATGACATAAGCAGTGTAGTATAAATGATTGCATTCTAATTGAAAGTATATGTGATGGATGGACATATTCTAGTCCAGTGCTGTCTGATTTTCTGTGCTGATGCACATGCTCTATATCTACTCCATCAGTTGGGTAGCCACTAGCCACATGTGCCTAAATAGAGCAGTGCAAATGAGGCTAATATGACTTAGGAATTGAATTCCGAATGCTATCTCATTTTAATTGGTTTACATTGAAATTTAGATAGCCACACGTGCGTCTTGGCTACCATATTGAACAGCACAATTCTAGTCCATTCAGGTACCACACCTAATTTTCTCCATGAAGGTCTTCTCTCTTTTTGTGTTAGATTTATTCCTAAGTATTTTATAATTTTGTTATTGAAGTTAATATAGTTTTAAATCGATGTTTTGGCCGGGTACGGTGGCTCACGCCTGTAATCCCAGCACTTTGGGAGGCCAAGGCGGGTGGATCACGAGGTCAGGAGATCATGACCATCCTGGCTAACACGGTGAAACCCCGTCTCTACTAAAAATACAAAACATTAGCAGGGCGTGGTAGTGGGCGCCTGTAGTCCCAGCTACTTGGGAGGCTGAGGCAGGAGAATAGCATGAACCTGGGAGGTGGAGCTTGCAGTGAGCCGAGACTGCACCGCTGCACTCCAGCCTGGACGACAGAGTGAGACTCTGTCTATAAAAAAAAAAAATGTGTTTGAGTTCATTGTAGATTCTGGATATTAGCCCTTTGTCAGATGAGTAGGTTAGAATAGCGATCATTAAAAAGTCAGGAAACAACAAGTGCTGGAGAGGATGTGGAGAAATAGGAACACTTTTACACTGTTGGTGGGACTGTAAACTAGTTCAACCATTGTGGAAGTCAGTGTGGCGATTCCTCAGGGATCTAGAACTAGAAATACCATTTGACCCAGCCATCCCATTACTGGGTATATACCCAAAGGACTATAGATCATGCTGCTTTAAAGACACATGCACACGTATGTTTATTGCGGCACTACTCACAATAGCAAAGACTTGGAACCAACCCAAATGTCCAACAATGATAGACTGGATTAAGAAAATGTGGCACATATACACCATGGAATACTATGCAGCCATAAAAAATGATGAGTTCATGTCCTTTGTAGGGACATGGATGAAATTGGAAATCATCATTCTCAGTAAACTATCGCAAGAACAAAAAACCAAACACTGCATATTCTCACTCATAGGTGGGAATTGAACAATGAGATCACATGGCCACAGGAAGGGGAACATCACACTCTGGGGACTGTTGTAGGGTGGGGGAAGGGGGGAGGGATAGCATTGGGAGATATACCTAATGCTAGATGACGAGTTAGTGGGTGCAGCACACCAGCATGGCACATGTATACATATGTAACTAACCAGCACATTGTGCACATGTACCCTAAAACTTAAAGTATAATAATAATTTTAAAAAAAAAGTGGGCAAAAGTTAACAAAAACAAAAAAAACAAAAAAAAACAAAAAAACAATCGATGTTTCCTGTGTTTTGTTGGTTATATAAAGGGAACTTATTTTTGTTAACCACTTTTTATCTAGCCACCTTGTTAAACCCTTTCAATGATAGATTTTCTATAGTGTGATTTAGATTTTCTAATCATATTGTCTGTGTTTAATAAGTTTTGTTTCTCCCTTTGCAGTCCTCACACGTTTTTGCTTTTATTGCTGTGTGCTAGGACCTCCCATGCAATGTTGAAGAGAGTGGTTGGAGCAGACATTCTTATCTTTTTTTTTTTTTCTATTTTGAAGGGCATACGTAATGGATTTTAACCATTAAGAATGATGTTTGGTATAGGTTTTTAGTAGATATTCCTTATGAGGTTAGGGAAGTCCCTTCTATTCCTGGTTTGCTAAGAGATTACTTATCACAAATGGGTGTTGAATTTAATTGAATGAATTTTTTCTTCACCTATTGAGTTGACTGCATGTTGTTTTCCCTTTGAACTGTTCATGTTAAACTACCCTTGCATTCCTGAGGTACATCCAAATTAGTCATTACAAATGAAATTCTATTATTTTCTCTTATTAGTCACTTTTTCCTCCCTCTTTGCATATCTAACACTTTATTGCATGCGGGACATAGTATATAAATGAAACAGAAATGGTCCACATAATGTCTTCCACCAGTGAGGGTTCACCCTTTCCACTTTTAGGTAGATAGAGTGAGGGATTTATCAAATTTAATCAGGGATTTCGTTTAGCCAGAGCCTAGATGTAGCTGTGACTAGGATCCAGCACCAGCTTGGATTATTTATACTCCTGTGGATGGAGTGAGGGTAGGGGAGGTGAGAGGATAAGAAGCTGGTTATGTGAGAGTGATGGCGGTCTCAGCTCTTAAACCAAAAAGTAAAGAAAGCTGCAAATGAGCACTGGGTATTTAGATAGAAGATCACAGCGCGGCTGGAAGAGGAACACTTCAGCATCACTATCCTGAGTCTTAGGAGCAGCACATATGGTTTTGGACATGTCTGTGTGGGCTTATGTCTGAAGGAAATAGTTGGCAAGATAACTGGACTTTTGCCTTGCACTAACCATTATAGCCTAAGGCAAAGATTAAATTGCAAGGCCTTATGAAGTACTTTTAAAGTTTTTTTAAAATTGCTTCGTTGAAAAACTTCCACTTACTTCCCAAAATAATAATATAACATGGAATTCAAAATTTAAATAAAAATTACCTAGAATCCTACTGCCATAATAATTCAACTGCTTTGATTTTCCTTGCTGTCTTCCATTCTTTTGTATATAAGCACTCATATATACACACTCATACAAACACACACATATACTTTTTACATAATTGTAACCATGATGTGTATGCGATTTTCCTTCCATTGCCTTTAAAGGTTAAGTTCAGTTTTTGACTCATGTTCATCAGCAAATCAGCAAAGGGATTGAATTCCTCACTTCATTCCTGAATTTTAATGCTTGTTCCATTTTGCCATTTTTTTTAATTAACTGAGTTAAGCTATATTTAGAGTGTGGTTGAGAAAGTGCAGCACTGTTCAACATACACATATTATTCTTAAGACAATACATTAGATCTTGCATCGCTAGAGAAAGCATTACAATTTTAAGTTCTTCCACCAGTTATGAAAATTTAATAATAGTTCGCCTGTTTTCTTTATTTAGAAAGATTTATTGAAAGCTGCTATGTGCTAAGTTATTTGTGACCTTGTTTGCTAAGCTTGTACTACTCTTTCCACAGCCCTTCCCATTGCTGCCTGCTCATTCTTAGGGCTCGACATGAGTCACCTCCTCATTCCTGCCTTCTCTGGTATCATCACCCTATATTCCCACCTACTGCACCTTGATTATTTTCTGCAGTCCATTTGTAACTACACATTTGTTTAGTTACTTATTGAATGTCTCCTCCAATCTTCTCTAAGCTCTCCTAGAAAAGGAACTGAATCTATTTTGTTCACCAAGAAAAAGTCACATAACATTTTTTTAAAAACTGGTGGATGGGAGCCAAAATGTGGAGGAGGGTGTTTGTCCTCAGAGAAGGGGATGGTGGCTGGGGACGCCCCCTGAATTCCTCCTGTGTCTTATTTACTCTGTATTCTCAGCACCTAGCACAGTGTACACACTCACTATATATTTGTTGAATAAATAAGTATTAACATGAACTGACTTTTCATTTCCTGCAAATCTTAAAATCACCCAAGGGAAGAGACAGTAAACATGTGTCTATGCTGCAGGCATTGGAGGGATTTGGGTGAGCGTGGTGGTTACCCACAAACTTGAGAGGCGTGAGTTGTGTTGGCTCCTGCCTGCCATGCCCACCTCCCTTCTGACAGTGTGTAGGTTGACAGAAGGAAGCATGGCAATGGCTTTTGACGCCCAGGTTGCCATTTGACAGTGTCCACTGGATAGAATTCATGGGACTCATGAAAGAATATATGTTTTATTTGATTGAGGGCCAGAATTTTCATTTGCTTACATCAATCTGAGTCTGGAAATTCTGAAATTTGCTCACTGGTGATATATGGATTAAGGATGATGCTCCTATTCATTTTTGCTTGAGAACTCCTTTTTAAGCAGAGCAGTGAAGAAATCCAATTTCTGGCATTTCCTTATACATTGAAATTTTATCTGACTTAAGAATCACTATCAAAAGTTCTATATTAGTGCAAGAAACATGCTGAACTTAGTATCTAGGCAAACTGGGTAAGTGTGACATTGGTATAAAATATTGAAGATGTATATATTATATAAATATGTAAGT
Organism: Homo sapiens; assembly: GCF_000001405.40. Classification (NCBI taxonomy): domain Eukaryota; kingdom Metazoa; phylum Chordata; class Mammalia; order Primates; family Hominidae; genus Homo; species Homo sapiens. Next base: position 13,686,286 of record NC_000023.11, read on the forward strand.
ATATAAATAAATGCATTATTAAATACGTCAATATATGTTGAAAAGCTATATATTATAAAAAACGCTTCCTCAACCAAATTGGGATTTTTCTTCCATATACTATTTGGTAATGTTCTTTTTCACTTAACATATGTTGTTATGAATTTTCACTCCGGCTTGACTTTAAAGCCAAATATAACAAATTTTGAGTTACTTTTATGTATATTTTATGCTTTTTCCCCCTCTTAGTACAGCTATAGAAGAACATCTATGCAGTATTACGACCAAATCTGTTATTTGGCCAAACAACTTAGGAAAAATATCAAATTTGTGACTATTTACATATGTAATATAATGGTGAAATGGTCTACAACTGAGTTCTGTGTTTTTCCTTGTATGTGAAAATAAAAGCAGTTCAATTATCATCAGTATTTACTGTACCCGAGTCTAGGGCCCACTTACTTGTAGCTTTTTTTTTTTCTTGAGACAGAGTCTTACTCTGTTGCCCAGGCTGGAGTGCAGTGGCACGCAATCTTGACTCACTGCAACCTCCACCTCCCGGGTTCAAGTGATTCTCCTGCCTCAGTCTCCTGAGTTGCTGGGATTACAGGCGCACGCCACCACACCCAGCTAATTTTTTTGTATTTTTAGTAGAGACGGGGTTTCACCATGTTGGCCAGGCTAGTCTCAAACTCCTGACCTCATTATCCACCGGCCTCGGCCTCCCAAAGTGCTGGGATTACAGGCGTGAGCCACCACGCCCAGCCACTTGTAGCTTTTCATCAGAGATGCCAGAAGTGATTTCTTTCAGTCTCCAGCTTGAGATGGGGTATTAACTCCTAGTACTTATAGTAATAAGTAGGTGTTATTTAAGTAAAAGAATCATTTATGCATAGCAACTTTGGCCTCTTTCTCTCCCGTGAGTGATGCATTGGTGTTTACAGAATATAAAGATGAAAATCTTCGTTAGATGAAGGGAGTCAAACTAGGTTAGTTCTTTAATGTTTTCATCAAGGAACAAGTTTATGGAGCAAGAGAGATAGCAACTGTCTATCCAACTTGCATCAGCTTACCAACCACACACATCCAATAACAAAAATCCCCCAAACTTGCCCTTCAGAGAAAAATCTTTTAACCCACTTTACTCTTGCACTGACATAGAAATGTGGTTAAGAAGTGAATGGTGGAAGAGACCAGAATATACTAACTTTCTTAAATGTCAGTTGGCTAGTATCCAACTGATAGTAATTTTAGAGAAAGTAACTTTCTAAGCTTATTCTTTCTTAAGGTACTATAAGCTACACTCAAATATGTTTGAATGCCTTCTTACATTTTGGAACAGCCTGAGAGTCACTTATGGAACCTTCTTAGAACATTTTTATGAAAGCTGTTGGGTTTGTCAAGGTTTATTTTAACTCAAAATACAATAATTTTATGAGATCACTTGTTAATAGCTAGTTGGCATTAGCAGTTGCACAGATAAACTCCTATTTGATCACTCCTTGACTATGGTTAGGATATACGATTTTCAGGTGGCATTTCTTTAATTACCCTGTGGATTGCTTGTTGCAATTTGACCCAATGTACATGACTTTTTTTTCTATTGGAAAATTAACTCTAGTGTTCATATATAATGTTTTACTGTGTACTTTTAATATGTGTTTTAAAACAAGATAGTGTATATTTCTTCTTCCCCCCAATTTAACAGATTTGTATTTTATAAACGTTTATACATATTTCCTTGGGGAAATGACCTGCAGATAAGAAATAGATTTCTGTTTATGAGAAAACAATTATTTAAGCTTATGTGTCGTTTTCAGAAGCATTCTAAAATTGCCTTTTTAATTTGTGAGGAACTTTCTCAAACATGACCTTTCTAGTGCTGAATGAAAAGTCATTACCTGAAAATGACTCCCCAAAAAGCTGGAGATTATTTAACTTGTTGTGAGCCCCAGCATCATAAAAGTGAGATCTTTGTCTTGGAAAATAAACAGACTAAATCTTTTTTAAAAAGCTTTTATTTTAGGTTTAGGGGTACATGTGTAGGTTTGTCATGTAGGTAAACTGCCTGTTGCAAGGGCTTGGTGTACGGATTATTTAGTTACCCAGGTAATAAGCATAGTACTTGATACCTAGTTTTTTTCTGCTCCTTTTCCTCCTCACACCCTCAACCCTCAAGTGGGCCCTGGTGTCTCTTGTTCCTCTCTATGTGACCATGAGTTCTCATCATTTAGCTTCTACTTATGAGTGAGAACACGCAGTATTTGGTTTTCTGATAAACAAACTAAATCACCGTACAAAACGTATTGAGATGTCCCTATGAGTCCCTCCCGCCTGTAGGGTTCTGTATCATAGGATCCATGCACTCAACTTCATACATAAAGCAAGGACTTAAGGAGAGCTTCTCCAATACCACCTTTTGCACCATCGCTTTCTATTCAGAGATGACAGAGGCAGTATTTTAACAAGATTAAAGGAAAGTTTTAATAGCTTCATTTAAAAAGTTCTTGTTTTTCCACAGTATCACAACTGTTTTCATTTTTCATCCACCTGTTTGTTCTTTGTCCGTTTGACTAGTCGTTTTTATCATTGTAATCACGACATCCTGTGACTGTGCTCATGAGGTCTGTTTATTTCCACTTTACGTAAACTTTTCAAAATGACAGTTATTTCGTACTCGCTGTCGCCCGAACGCAGACGGGAGGACACTTCAGGAGCAATCGACCCGAAGGAAAAGCACGATCCAGGCCCCGCCTGCCTCGGCTCCACCTTCCCCGCGCCCGTCCCCCAGGGTCTCGGCCGCGGGACCCCGCCTTCCAGGCCCCGCCCCGCTTTTTCCCTGGCCCCGCCCCGGCCCGTCGCCATGTTGTTCCCTCCGCGCTGGACGGGAGCAGCTGGAGCGGGAGCCTGGCTGCGCTACCGCGGCTGCCTCCTGCTGTGCAGGTCCCCGACCCTCTCTCTGTCCTCATTGCGCCCAGACGGGCCGGCCCAGAGCTCCCGGGTCGTCTTTCGTGTGGCCGCGAGGTGAGCGGGACTCGGGACTCCTTCGGGACCGGGCGGAGTGCGCGGGTGTCGGGGTCTGAGGGGGCGGCTCGGGCCTCGGGCAGCTGGGGCGGGGTGCGGTGCGCGCGGGGCTAGCGCGGGTCACAAGGCCGCCCCGGGAGAGAGGACGGCTGGTTGTCTCCCTGCCTCCTCTCTGACGCAGGAGGAAAGACGGTCCCCACACCCTTGGGGAGAGGGACTCACAGAAACACACACAAACACTGGAGAAAGGGAGATACAAAAGCCCGGACACCCGTGCACATACACACGGAGAAATACACCCGGTCACCTGGGAACACACGTACACGCCAGCCTTTCCCCCAACCACTCCGGGACACACATCCACAGACCCCAAACCAAATCCTACACCCGAATGATTAATGTAGGGAAAACAAAGGCGCTCCCATGACTTGATTTTGGCGACCTCTGAAGTTCCACCTAGCAGAACGTGTTTGCTCGATGTCTTACGACCACTCGGGTGAGGAATTCGGAAAGTAAAGCCAATCTTAGAGGCTGCAGGCGTTTTGGGGGCATTATCTGATTCAGACGCTGGCTAACGTTTCACAATCGCGTTCCCTTTTTTCTTCCAACTTGGTAAGTAAAAAGGCAAAATGAGAAATTTAAGTGCTGAACTTAATAAATAGTTGGTGGACGTATTGCTTTTTTTTTTTTTTGGTAAGGGATGACACATCTCGTGACTACAGTTCTTTTGAGGAATAACTTTTCTGCTAGTTTCCAAATCGGCACGTGACCACAATCTTTTCATAGGATTTTAGCGTCCTGATAAAAATCAATGGGCAGAATTTGATTGCTTCTTTAAAAATGTGTTTGTCCTTCGGTCTCTGGCACCATTGTAATGGAAAATCCCTACATTGCCTGTACTCTCAGAAGCTGTCCAGTGTAGCAAAACTAGAGATAAAGAAACCTGGAACGATTCAGTTAGGAACTTTTAAGAAGCCAGCCTTTAGTTTTTCCTTTAGAAGATTATGAAGTTATCATGATTGCTTCTCTAGAACTTTAGTAGTTATTTGGATTCCTAAATCTAAGACAATGCTGTGGCAGTCTGGTGCTTTTAGTATTTTTGTGTCTGCTGTGGTAAATTCCTCGTTTATACTACAAAGTTTCTCTTCTGGAGACTTTTGGGATCTGGGCATATTTTTTCGTTTATTATTTGGAATGTTAGAGTAGATAGGCAAACACTAAGTAGAACATCATTGGCTTTGACTCCAAGCCGGGTTTTAGAGATAAGGGAAATAATACCTTAGTGCTATCACTTCTTTTCCAACCTCTCTCATCTCTTTTTGTTTCTATCTCAACCATTTCTTCTGTCTGGACTACAGTACTCTGGAGGCCTAAAGAGAAGATCCTTGAGTTCTCGAAATTATTTTTTTTTAGCCTCCCCTCATTTCTGACCATTTATTGAGCACTCACTCTGCGGCGAATATTCCGTACGTGTAAATCCTGTACGTACATCATTTTATTTAATTTCCATAGCATTTCTTCAGTAAGAGCTCCATGTTACAGTTGAGGAATTTGGGGGGGCATAGGAAGGTTCAGTCTGTTTTCCAAGATGACCCAGGTTGTGATGGGGTGGAGCGGGGATTCAAAGCAGGTCTGGGTAATTTTAGAGTAGTAGTTTTCAACTGGAAGAGAGGACAATTTTGTCCTCGTAGGAGACATTTGGCAATGCCTGGAGGCATCTTTGGTTCACACCTGGGGGCAAGGGAGGTGCTGCTGACATCTAGTGGGTAGAGGCCAGGGATGCTGCTAAACATTCTTTTTTATTTTTATTTTTGTTATTTAATTTTTAAATTTTGCTGCTAAACATTCTATAACCTACAGGACAGCCCCCCACAACAGAGTTGTCTAGCCCAAAATGTCACTAGTGCCACGGTTGAGAAACCCTCCTTTTCAGCAGTCCAAGTAACCCCAGAGCTTACATTTCAACTGCTTTTGTAGTTTTTCAAATGCAATGTCGTTTTCCTATTTGGGATACCTCATCATTTTAACAGTGAGCAGGGGAAAATTCTCTCTACTGAGAAGCATATTCACTTGAAAGATTAAAGAGTGAGTGGCTGGGCACGGTGGCTCACGCCTGTAATCCCAGCACTTTGGGAGGCCGAGGTGGGCGGATCACGAGGTCAGGAGTTTGAAACCAGCCTGGCCAACATGGTGAAACTCCGTTTCTACTAAAAATACAAAAATTAGCCAGGCGTGGTGGCGGATGCCCGTAATCCCAGCTACTCAGGAGGCTGAGGCAGGAGAATCGCTTGAACCTGGGAGGCAGAGGTTGCAGTGAGCCGAGATCACGCCATTGCGCTCCAGCCTGGGCAACAGAATGAGACTCCATCTCAAAAAAAAAAAAAAAAAAAAAAAAAAAAGACCAAATAATTTCTGGTAGCAGAATCTGTTTTTTGTTGTAAGGCAAAAATGACAAAAAGAACTTTAGAGCTATTCAGAGCCATTAAAGTGGACTTAGAAAGTTTAGTTTCTGCATTATTTCAGTTGTCTGAGCAGCCTGTGGGGCACTGATACAAAGGTGCTGATGAGAAGGGCGGTGGGGAGTCCCAACCTTCCTGAAGCTTACAGTCCAATCACAGTCATAAGATTAGGTTCTGACATCATCCTAGAACAGAATTTATTGCCTGGGCTACTCAAGGACAGGGGCCAGGTGTTCATTAAAAAAAAGCAAAACAGGAAAAAAAAGCAAAACAGGCTGAGTGTGGTGGCTCATGCCTGTAATCTCAGCGCTTTGGGAGACCCACACAGGAGGATCACTTGAGCCCAGAAGTTTGAGACCAGCCTGGGCAACATAGTGAGACCCCCGTCTCTACAAAAAATAAATTAAAAAAAAAATTAGCCTAGCTCAGTGTGGTGGTGCATGTCCCAGCTACTCTGGAGGCTGAGGCAGAAGGACGACTTGAGCCCTGGAGTTCAAGGCTGCAGTGAGTCATGATCACACCACTGCATTCCAGCCTGGGCGATAGAGTGAGACCTTGTCGCTAAAAAAATAACAATAATTAAAGAAAACAACTCCACACTCGGCACAGAAGTACCTGTGTCATGGTGTTTACTGTGGGCAGACTTAAATAAAATGGGGAAAACTTGATGTGTGTGTTATAGTTTTGTACGGTTAACCACGTGTGAATATTTACAAGAATCAAATTGAGAAGCCATTCTTGTTGAGCATAAAATTCATCCTTAAATTTCACCTCACCAGACAAATAGTTATGCCTGCATTTTATCACTGGAATCGAGAAAGAAATGATGAATTTTTTAATGGCTTTTCCATAACTTTCTGGTGTTTTCTGGTCTCTTTTTCATGCCTGTCTAAGATCAGGCCTTTCAAAATATGTACTGCTTCATTCTGGTGGCAGTATTAACTGTTAGGTGAACTTTGGGAGGGAGTGGTTGACTGGAGCAGTCAAAAAGGATCGCATCTCTTTTTAGGCATCACTGAGTGTTATTCACGCAATCAACATGGCATCTTTTTGTCGGTAGCTTTGGTTTTTGACTCATGCCAATGCACAGCACGTTCTTTGCTGATGAATAGATTTCTCTGCCTCTTATCAGGAGTTGTCTGCTGTGGGGTAGGGAGGATGTTGAGTTACACACCTCAAAATGATTGCTAGTGCATACACATGGAATCTAACAAAAGTGACGTGTTTTATTCTGGGAAAGGTCGAGATAAATTGGTGCTAGAGTTGTCTTGTTTGATCATTAATTGGCTTGCTCCTCCAGCCAACTTAGGTCACCACATTTCCTTCTGGGTAAAATGAGATGGCTGTGCTTCATAATCTCTAGGAGATTATATGTCACAAAGTAGAGGCAGCAAATTATTAGCTTCCAAGTAGTTCTGCCCAGGCAATGTGTTAAGCAGCAGGAGGAGGAAGTAAGCCAAATGGAAGTGTGTGTGTGTTTGGGCAACGCATCTAACTTGAAAGGTGTATAGATAATAGACTCTTCAGTCAGAACCAAGCATAAGAGAATAGGATTTGTGACTAAGTAGGCCATCAACAGAGAACATTTATTAAGGACTTTTTTGTAGAGGAGTGAGGGTGAACTCAAAAAATGTTTCAGGGAGTTTGGTGGAAAGCTATGATGCAATTGGAAGGCGAGGATGCCTGAGGGAGGAGACGTGGAGCCACCTAGGTGTGTAGGCAGAGGGGAGGGAGGTCGGAGGCGGTCCCAGGCCGTGTTGCCAGAGAGCCCAGGGGTGCCAGGGCTAGTTAGATAACTTGGAGGAGAAATCTCTGTTTCTCACCATGACTCTTGGTACTGTGCATGTTGTGAAGCTGTGTGCTCTGGGTATTTCCACATTCTGGATTTTTCAAATCCTTTTGTTAATTTTTGACCATGGTGAGTTCAGGCGTTGTTATTATGTTGCTTATTATGAATACAGTGAGGATGACTAGGTGTAAATGAATGTAAGGTAACAGCTAGATCTGCCTGAGGTGGAGAGAGACTGGGTGTGTATTTTGGAAAAAAAATGGAGAAGTGAAACAGGCTGTTCAGGCTTCACATTCTGGCTGCATGGAAGCCAGCTCATTGCATTCTCCAGGAGTTCTCTGGGAGTCTGTGGACACAGACTCCACTTTTGTCTTAGGCCTGACTCGTACAAACATATTCTGTTGTTTGACAGGGGATGGAGAAACACTATAGAACAACTGGACACATTCATTTCATTGCCACATTCTTTATTCAAGTGTGACAGAGAGCAAAACAGTATAAAGGAGTTGAACTGACTACTGTATTTTAATTTCAAGTTCCTGTGAATTGGATTAGATTTTTGGGTACAGAAGCTAAGGTAATTTCCAAAAGGTTAGTGCCCATAAGACTGTCTATGTTCTCAGAGTTAGAAAAACCTGGGAAAAAAAAAAGCCTTACAGACCTCTGTTTCTACAACTTGCTGTGCAGAACTCTAACAGATAGGAGTGTTTATGCAGCTAGGTGACTGCTCTGGTCTGTGCAGTTTCACACCTGTGTATTTGATCAGATGTATATACCTGGAAATACATACATAATGTGGTTGGAAGTCAGATTAGAACTGCCTGAGGACTACCCATTGGTGAATGCAGAACATTCTTTGGAATGAGTGCTAGTATTCTTAAATAACATTTAAAAATAGTTGTTTGGGAGCAAACAGTTGCCACCCTCATAATCCACTTTAATTTGTGCCCAGTACTTGATTTTTATCACAGCAGTCCTGGAAAACCTAGCTTCATGAAGATATGATGTCATCGAAAGGAATGCAGTGCAATCTAATTAACTCCCCTCCAGTGGGGTGCCCTACAAATGTCAAGTATCTATGTTTCCCTCAGAAATTTAAAATAGCCCACCCTGCCCTTGTGAATTTGCCGTGATGCTTTGGGGCACCTCAGCATGCAGTTTGGGAACCTCAGGATTAGAAGTTGGTATTATTGGCTCTAGTTTATGGACTACAAGGTATAGTGGTGAGGAGAAAAGGCATCAAAGTCCGTTTTTAATTCTCCATCCCCCCTTCCAGTATCTGTAAGCTTTTCCCTTGGGCCCCTCATTTCCCCCAGAGCTTTGCAGTTTTGGGATGCTACCCTTTTAGTTGCTAAGCTGAGGGGAGGGACAGACAGGAAAGAGACTGCAGTTCAGGTTTCCTGTGCAAATCGTCCCTCCAGCTCCACTTTCCTTTGTGCTTTCTCTCCATTTTCTGCTGGGTGCAATTCCTTAGGAAGTGGGTCTGCTAGGGTAGCACAGGGATGTGGGTCATGGAATCTACAGCCTTTCAGGGACCCCTCGAGCCTCCGGACCCGGCCTGTCTGGAGAAGTCTCGAGAAGTGCCCGTGTGCTGTTCAGTTCTTTTCCAGTTCTCTGGTGGGAATCAGCTTTCTCATTGTTGGCTGCTGCTTTCCGCATTAGGTTTCATTGTCTCTTCACTCTGTCACTCCCGGACCATTTGCTTTCCACTTTCTAAATTTTGTTGCTGTCTTGCATCTACAGTTGTTCTTTCTTGGTGTCCTTTTTGGATTTGTACCTTACGTAGACCTTTTCTGTCACTGGGTGGGAGTGAAGATAACACATACTTGACCTGCCCTATTTAGTTAGACCTGGGGAAGTTTGTGGACTTCTGTTTATTGATCTATAAAACATGGATGATAGTGTCCAACTTGCAGGTAATTTTAAGGTGCTATATGCCAGGTACCTAGTAGATATTCAGTTAATAGTGGCTGCTAATATAATTACAGCCATAGCATTTATTATTTGAGCAAGCAAGGCAATAGCAATAGGTAGTGCGAAAAGTGGACATATTTCATGTGTGGCTGAATGAAGTGCGTAAGAGAAAAGAAAGAGATTTTCGAAATGGAGAAAATAATTAGCTCAGTTTTAGATATGTTGAATTTGAACTACCATCAGGGTACCAGATGAACATACTATACAAGGGGTTGCAAATTCTTGTCTGGCTCAGACATGCGGATGTAGACTTTAGGAATCACTGGTTTTTATAGCCCAGGGAGATACCATCTGGAAACAGGTAAGGGTTTCAGTCTCGTGAAATAGCTTCATGAAGAGCTTGTCAGGAAAGGGAGCTGTCTATGTTGAAGAAAGCTAAGGGGCCAAGGAGGAGAGAAAGCAGAACCTATTATCAGAGTGGTTTTATGGACAATTAGGAAACATTTTCAAGAGGATTACTGCCAGGCTGTTTGGACCTGATAGAAGCAGTAATGGGTGGTAAGTCCTGGCTCAGACTTGAAGGTCTCCCCTGTGCCTCTAGCTAGATGTGTGATCCTGTGTAAGACACTTTCCCAGTTAGACCTGTTTCCTTATTTGTTTTTAAAAAACACTTGAGGCCAGGCACGGTGGCTCACACCTGTAATCCTAGCACTTTGGGAGGCCAAGGAGGGAGGCTTGCTTGAGCCCAGGAGTTCAAGACCAGCCTGGGCAAGATGGTGAAACCTTGTCATTACAAAAAAAAAAAAAAAATTAAAAAAAAAATTAGCCAGTCTTGGTGGTATGCACCTGTAGTCCCAGCTACTCTGGAGGCTGAAATGGGAGGATCACTTGAGCCCGGGAGTTTGAGGCTGCAGTGAGCTATGATCATGCCACTGCCCTCCAGCCTGGGTGGTAGAGAAAGACTCTGTCTTTTAAAAAAAGAAAAAAGACTTGGGTACCCTTCCAAGATTTTAGTTCATGCACATTCAGACAGATGGCTACACCTGAGAGAATTCACTATATACTAGCTGGGCCTCAGGTGGAGATGCTGGTCAAACTTGCAGGTGTTTTCTAGAAACATACACAATGAAGTCCTGAGAGAAGAACTTTTCCCTGTATTCACCTTAGGGTTGTATGTGCCGTAGGGCATTCAGATGAGGACTGAGAAAAAGCCATTGGATTGGCCATTAGGAGGTCTTTGGTGACTTTTGCTGACAATCAGGGGGAAAGGATGGGGTGGGAGCCCTGGTGTCCTATAAACTGAGCAGAGAGTTAATCAGGTTTGCAGGCACATTGAGAAATGGGTAGTGATGGGCAGAGTGAGGTTGGGCTTGGAAAGCTTTTTGTGAGAAAAGTCAGTTTCAACACTTCGATAGGGGCAGACCTGGGGGGATCATTGACAAAGTGACAGTTACATTGGATAAACTGAACTTGATGAAGAGCTGCCTGCAGTGTTGAGCTGGTGACAACTTCCCTGCAGAGTGGTATTTGGGAGCCTCTAGTCTAGTCGAGTCCTATATACCGGACATAGCTGCCCCTCTTTAAATATATCTTCTTAGGAAATCCTCACTCCTTGTAATTAACTTCTCTAACAGTCGAGAAGTTTCCTTTTGCTGTGGCTCCATGCCTTGTGGAGCCCCTCACTCAGTGAGTTTGTATAGTTCCCCAACCCCTAGCTTTGTCTGCTGTAAATTAAAGACATTTGGTTTCTTATCGAACTGGAAGGGAGGCCTCAGAACCAATGTTTCTTTAGGTGATAGCAGAACGTTGCAGATCATTTTTGATTTGTGTTTTGCTGCTTTAATATATTTTTCTGACATATATGTTCAAATTCATTCCTTTCATAATTTGTTTTTCTTCCTGAAATATCTACCTTTAATTCCCCATGTTCTCATCTTGTGACTTTTATCTATGTCTTTGCATTTTAATTCTGTCTTCCAAAGTGCACTCTATTGTCAAAAAGTATTGTAAGTACCTTTTACAGGTAAGTGTCATCGCAGGTAGATTTATGCTTGGTTCTTAAAACTTAAGCAAAACAAAAAAAAATTATTCTCACTTCTCAGGACTAGCAGTTTCCCATGAGTAAGGCTGTTCACTGAACTATCACAGTTTATGGTCAAAGTGTGATATTCATAAAAGTCTCATGGGTGAGGGAGAAAAAGAGGAAATTCTGCTAAAGACAGAAACTCTTGAAGGGTGTTATGAGCTACAGAAATGGATCACACATAACATACAAATGATGCAGGCATGTAGCAATCAGTTCTTGGTGTCCAAACTCCTTAAGATCTGATGAAACATTTTTTGTTCTTTCCAGAAAAAAAGCGCAAGCACACAAGCTTCCACCAATGCTCTCATCCTTATTTCACATGTGATTCTAGGGAGTGTATTTTCTCCCTGAAGCTCATTTCATGGACTCCCAATTAACCACACTCTAGGCCTGCACTGTCCAACACAGTTCCCACTAGCCTCATGTAGCAATTTAAACTAGTTAAAATTAAATGAAAAATTCAGTTCTTCAGTTAGACCAGCTACTTTCCAGTGCTCAGTAGCCACATGTGATTAGTGGCTACCATATTGGACAGTGCAGATTATAGAACATTGTCGTCATTGCAGAAGGGTCTGTTGGATTTTGCTGCACTATATAGTTTCATGATGGTTTAAGATTTAGTTCCTTAACTAAGTCTTCTTTTTCTTTTTTTTCTTTTTTTTTTTTTTTTTTTTTTTGGCCCTTCTCACTTCCTCCTTTCCCACTCCCCCCACCACTGTTAGTGATTAGTTAACATACCTACAGAGGTGCCTTGTTTTAAGAAAAATGTTAACATATTTCTTAAAAGTTAAGTTAGCTGATTCAGCTTCAAAAAAAGTTACTTAATTGAAATAAGTTCTTTCAATAGGGGAGGTGCTCTGACATAGCGATAGTATGGTTTGATAATACAGTTTTTCTCCTCTAGCTGCCTCCTGTTCTTGAGGTAATGCTCAGTGATTAACTAGATAGGACTAGATAATTTATTTCACCTTGGCAGGTCTTGCCTCCAAGTTGGCCTATTCCTATGGTATTTCCTTTTCTTTCTTTTGCTTCTTCCTGCACACTAAGTATGGTATTTTCTGACAGTATTTTTCTTAATTCTTTATTTATTTTTCTTGGTAATTTCTTGCTGTAGAGCTGGTACCCATTAGACATAATGACTTTCCTTGACTTGCTTCTTGCTCATAAATTTCTGTAAGACAATCAGGAAGTTTTTAGAAACAAACAGTGGAACCAATTAGGCTGTTAAGTGAGACACGCCTAAATTAAGCTATGAGGAAATAAATACAGCTCCAGCAAAAATAGAAATAATTTTCAGATTATCCATGCTTTTGTTTCCCTGGTTTTCTTTGAACCTCATTTCCTCAAGCTATGAAGTGAAATGAAGTGGTAAGTACACCTCTAAGTAGGACATTCAGGGTGAATCCAAAGGAACTTGTGAATTTGACCAAAAAAAAAAAAAAAATCTGTTCCTAAATTTAAACCAGGAGTGATAAATTCATTTTAAGTTTTTGGAGGGGTTACAGAGTATGTGTTTTAAAATCTCAAGTTTTGAGAAGGCAGTTTACAAATGATGCCTGCTCTCCCTTTGGCAGCTTATTAAGGAATGTAGTCGTTTTTCAGCATTTGCCAGCTCCCTGTCGCAGTCAGTCAATAGTACTTATTTTAAAGTGGGATTCTCATTGGGATTGCAAGTAAGAATCAATGTTTTTGTTCCTACCCACACATTTTAATAGACCTCAAAAATAGAATGCGGGGAGAACTGATAGAGAAACAAAGAATTTTAGGTACAGAAAGCACAAATAGAATAATAATAGAATAACAAGAATAAAAGAGGAAGTAATATACTCTTCGTTCTCAATGTAGCATTTATTTGCACCTCACCAAATGTAGAGCATTGTACGAGAAGTGGCAGAACAAAAAAGGGACAAGTGAATGGATGCAATTAGGTGTTGTGTGTCCCTCCCAGGGAGTTGACATTGTAATTAGGAAACAGACACATACACAACTGAAGGTGATTAGAGCATAAGTAAATGAGAGCTGTAAAGAGGTGGAAATGATGAGAGCAAAGAAAAGAGAAAGATTAGGTTGCTGGGGCGGTCCTGGCTTCCTACATGAGGTAATCTGGACTAGGCTTCTGATGACTAAGATTGTCATAGCTGTCGAAGTAGGGAGGGGCCTCCCAGGCCAAAGTAACAGCCCGAGCAAAGATATGGACAGAAAATGCCAGTGATAGGTGCGGGGATGGTGAGTAGTAGGGATATAATTGGGACAGGCTTGTAACTGACATTGAATAGCTCTTTGAATGCCATGCTCAAAATCCTGTATAATAAAAATAATAAATAAATGAATTTAGTTATCTGTCAGAATGGAGACAATTAGATCCAGGACCAATAAAAAAAGTCTAACTTCAGTCACATACACAGTCATATTAGAGATTTATATTCTTTTTTTTTGGAGACAGAGTCTCACTCTGTCACCCAGGCTGGAGTGCAATGGCACAATCTCGGCTCACTGCAACCTCTGCCTCTCCAACAATCCTCCTGCCTCAGCCTCCCAAGTAGCTGGAACTACAAGCAGGCACCACCACACCTGGCTAATTTGTGTATTTTTTGTAGAGATGGGGTTTCACCATGTTGCCCAGGCTGGTTCCTGAACTCTTGGGCTCAAGTGATCTGCCCATCTCGGCTTCCCAAAGTGCTGGGATTACAGGCATGAGCCACCGTGCGTGGCCAGCAGATTTAAATTCTTGATGCTTGGACCTTGAGGCTTTCTATTCTTCCCCTTGGTTTATTGTAGGATGTGGCTTTGGAAGCCAGCAAGGGGTTGGAGAAGGCCAGAGAAAAGGGTACTACTGATAAACTATTCATGAACAATTGATAGTATAAGATAAAAGTACATAATGGAAAAGTTGGGAAAATAGTGTTATAAGAAGGAAAGGGTTAACATAAAATGTTCTTTTGTCTTTTGAATTTTGCCGTATCTGCTGGCAATGTGGTTCATTTGTTTTCCTGCCAGTGACCTGCTTATCCAACTTTACATTCGGATTAGTGTATGACACATACAGCATATGTTGGTACCGGCACGTGGTGTGGGAATCCTAAAGTAGTGTCTGTTGTACATGTAAATGATTTATTTAAAGGGATGCTGCTGAAGGGACAAGGAGAACATTTGTAGCTCTAGTAGTGTAAATCTAATTCTAGGGTCATATTTTTAATTCTCAGGAGATTTGCACATATATTTTCACATACAGTAAAAATTTTTTTTTTTTTCAAGGTAGGGTCTCACTCTGTCACCCAGGCTGGAGTGCAGTGATGTGATCACAGCTCACTGCAGCCTTGACCTCCCCAGGCTCAGGTGATCTTTCTACCTCAGCCTTCTGAGTAGCTGGGACTACAGGCATGCGCCACCATGTCCAGCTAATTTTTGTATTTTTTGTAGAGATGAAGTTTTACCATGTAGCCCAGGCTGGTCTCAAACTCCTGAGCTCAAGTGATCTGCCTGCCTCTGCCTCCCGTAGTGTTGGGTTTACAGGCGTGAGCCATGGCGCCTGGCCGAATTCACCCTTTTAAAGTATACAGTTGATTGGTGTTTATAGTATATTCACAGAGTTGTACAACCATCACTACTATCTAATTCCAGAATATTTTTATTACCCCCCCAAAAAAACCCCATACCCATTAGCAGTCCCTCCTCCTTTACCTGCCACTGCCCCCCGCCCCATCCGTTGACAACCATGAATCTACCATCTCCATATTTGCCTATTCTGAACATTTTATATAAATGGAATCATACAATAGGTAGCCTTTTGTTCTGACTTCCTTCACTTAGCATAATGTTTTTGAGGTTTATCTACGTTACAACATTGCATGGATGTATGATGCATTTTATTTATCCATTCATTAATTGATGGACATTGTCTTTCTTTTTAGGGGAAGGTGGTTTGATAATAGTATGGGTATGCATTTTTTTGGTGCAATCTAAAACATTGACAACTCAGAAATGTATGGACATTTCTGTAATTGGATAGTACACATCCATGTAATGTGGGTTAAGAGAGCATGTTTCACTTTTATTAGACATAGTAGGCATGTCAATTACAGAATTCCTTATGGTAAATGGTAGAGGCACGCACAGGATGGTTAAGAGTGTCGAGGAAGGGGGTTCAGTTGGAGATGTCCAGTAGGTGTTCGGGAGGAGGTGAGGTCTAGCTGCATCCACACGGCTGACTAGGAGTTAGACAGGTAAAGGGCCAGGGATTTGAATGTGAACAAGGTAAAACACGAAGTCATATAGTAAATATCTTACTGGAGGATCAAGTGTGAGGTATAACCACCTCAATTTTCATTCGTAAGCCCAGCTGACACTGTTAGTGGAGAGGGATCATAGCAGCATCCATCCCAGCTTGTCCAAGGCCTTCCTCCCCACCTCACCCACAGCCCTTCTCCCATTGCATCCAGTTAGCTTTCTGGACTCCTTATCTGACCAGGTCACCCACTGCTGAAGCTATTTCAGAGGGTCCCCATCATTCCTAGAGTACAGGCAGAAATCCTTTCCATGGCTTCTACTCGCCTCCCTGCTCCTGGGCCTCTTCCTTCAGTCTTGTCTTTGTAGCATACTCTTCACTCTCTAGCCTCCGGGTGCTCAGGCCTACCTTGAGTTCTCCCAGTTCATGCCAGGGCCAGGCTTCTTTGGCAGGGCTTTGGCATGGATTGGTTCCACTTTCTGGTTCCTGCTCCCTCCTCTTTTCTCATAGTTTTCTCTTTCTCCTGCTGAGCTTAGCCTGTGGTCAAACCTACTTCCCCTGGGTCAAATCTCCCTCCAGCAGAATCAGACTTTAGTGAGGGCTGTGTTCTCATGGCAGCACGTGGCTAAAATGATCATGGAGACATTGCTTTGGAACACATCACACTAGAAACCGATGTACAGTCTCTCATTAACACAGTGTAACACAGCCTAGTTTACCTCTGATATTAGAAGTTACCTCTTTTTCCTTAACTGTAGCTCAGCAAGTGAAATAGTTGGCCTGTGTTACAGGATCATGTTTGCATGTAAATTAAGTCCCCCAGGTGGCTGGACTCTCATGGACTCAGGCAACTCCGTAAGATAGTGGCATGGGGAATCTGAGTGTGATTGAGAGAGCCCCAGGTTTACACATTGTGTGTCTCACTCACTGAGGGAGATGGTGGGCAGAATCCCTTGCACTATTTTAAGGTGTTCTTCGATTTTTGGTTGAGTGTGAATAGTTGTACTTTGTACCATATACCTCTCATTTTGTGAGGTACAGTTGTGACTTAAATGCATTTTTGTGTGGATGTCACAAACTTGGGACTGTATGTGTGGCTTGTATCCTCAGGGTCTGGCTCATAGTAGGCACTCACTAAATACTTATTGAAAAATTCCTTTCCCAATCGTTCTACCAAATGGTAAGCTTCTGCAAAATTTGACTCATTTCATGTAAAACATTTTTTAAACTACTTAAACTCTAATAAAGCATAGACACTCACATGTGCTTTATGCTACATGTCAGTAAGATTGGAGATTACTAGTTCTGTCAGGTTAACCTTGCTCTTGAGCAGATTTTGAAATAAAGCAAGTGGTTGAAAGATTCTTACCATTTGCAATTGCTTATTTTCATTCTACCTGCAGCAACAACAGTAGAATCTCAGAAACAGATGCATAGGCAGCTGGGATTGACGTAGCCTAGTGGGTTAAGTGCCTGGGCTTTAGAGTCAGTCGGCCATGTTCATATCTTACTCCCACCTTTTACTAGGTGTGTGACCTTGAGCATGTATGTAACCTCTCTGAGTCAGTATCGTCATGTGTAATAGGTACTAAGAAACTTGTGAGGAATAAACACAGTGTTGTAGCTTGCATACCATACTGGGCTCAAGGCTAGCTGCTGTTGTTGTTGTTTCATCTTCAACCCCAAATGTCAGGATTTTGAAGTCTCATTTTATTATTGATTGAATTTATAAGTTAAGGACTGCTGTATGTAAGTCCCACAAAAATGCCCTTTGCTTTAAAAAGTGGTTGGTGGGGAGAGTGGTTGAAACCTTTGGTTCAGACCAATAGAGGCTAGTACTTTAGCACAGTTCCACATAGTGATCACTGGGAGACCTTGACATTGAATTTGATCTGTAGGACTAGGATCCTTCAGCTTCCTAATGTAGGCCTGTATCATCCTCTAATTTGTTCTGCCTGTTGCCCTTACTGAAGGTTGATGTAAGACATGACCATAGAAAGAACCTGTCTGTAAAACTGCCAGTGAAGACTTCTTCATGTATTCATTTCACAGACACTCTTGCACTCCTGTAATGAGCCTGGCACTGTGATGAAACACTTTTCCCGTGTCGTTTGAGTGCATCTTCTCAACAACCCTAGGAGGTAGGTACTGTTGTCACTGTTGTTCCCATGAGGCTTCAGGATGTTAAATTGCTCGTCCATGGGGCTGTGCTCATGGCATTTGGTGCCAGGAAGAAGTTTTCTTTTCTGACAGTGTGCTTTGATTTGCACAGAAACAAGAGCGTTTTCATTTTTGCCTTGGCTGCCCTGTAGGTGGGCTACCTTGAGCCTTAGCTTGACCTTTCCTATATCACGTTGGTGCCCCTCCCTCACATGGCCCTTTTCTGTCTTCCCTTTTGTGTTATCTTTATTTTATTCTCTGGAATATGACTCATTCTGAGCCACCGAAAATTTGGGCAAGTTTTGAAGAATGAATGAAATATTACACATTTCCTCTTGATATAATTTCATAGCTATCTCTGAATATAAAACTTAGAAAAGAAGATGGGTAGATGAAAAACTTTTTGAAAAATGCAATGATTAAAGTAGAATATTGATTGTATGACTTTTTTGGGCTGAGAAAGGTCATGGATAGTATTCAGGTTTTTAAGTTAAGAATCTGGCTGTTAATAGAAGTCAGATACTGTACTTTAACATTTTAATTCTTCATTTTACTCTTAAAATTATGAAAACATACACTGCTAAGGTGAGCTTTCTAACTTTTTTATGTAGATAATGATGCTTGAATTGAACAATTAAATTAAGGTAAAATTTATGACCTATGTAATATGCTTTTCTTATATAGATTTCTTTCTTTCTTTTTTTTTTTTTTTAGATAGAGTCTAGCTCTGTCCCCCAGGCTAGAGTGCAGTGGTGCAATCTTGGCTCACTGCAACCTCCACCTCTCAGGTTCAAGTAATTCTCATGCCTCCGCCTCCTGAGTAGCTGGGATTACAGGCATGTGCTACCACGCCCGGCTAATTTTTGTATTTTTAGCAGAGATGAGATGAGGTCTCACCATGTTGGCCAGGCTGGTCTCGAACTCCTGACCTCAAGTGATCTGTCCGCCCCAGCCTCCCAAAGTGCTGGGATTACAGGCATGAGCCACTGTGCCTGGCCCCTTATTCAGATTTCTTTATAGAATTTAGCAGAATTACTAATGTTTAACCTTGGTGAAAATTGCCTTTGGACAGTCATTTTAAACTGTGAAGTATAAGAGACTTCACGTTACCTTTTTAGGCAAATTTTGAAAATAACGTAGTAGGATCCCTTTATTTATTTAACTTATACTAAAGAAATTTCAAAGGATTTTACTGTTTTTAAAGAAAAAATAATATTTTTAATGTCCATAAGCTGATTGTGGTTATATTAATGTATAGATCAAATGAAACTGGCTTTTGTTAGATGTCACTGGTAAATAAGATGGTGTGTACAATGATTTATATCACCATGTGTGTTTTTATACAACTCTAGAGTTAGAGAGATATTCATGTAGAAATTAATTATTTTAGCAAATGCAAATATATTCCCAAATAGGAATATCTGGTAGGCCTCAAACTGTAGATGGGAAATGTAAAAAATTGTACCCTATACTCTGTTTCCTGGTGGGCTGGCATACCCCAAATTCATTTGGTCAGAATGAGACAAACTAAGAAGTCCCACATTATTATGAAAAAAGAACTGTCAAAGTGTCTTGGAAAAATTACAAATTACCACTTTCAAGGAATTTCTACAACTTAATTTAGTAGATATATGCAACCAATAGTCTGGGTGGGGTTTGTTAGATTGCATGATCTGGCTTATAATTTGATATAAAGATGCTAAAAATTCAGTGATGTACAGTAAAACTTTGTGTCTGGTAAGGCTGTTAGATCAGTAGAGACTTATTAAAATACTGGAATAAATTATGTCTGTTGTACTCTCATAACACAACATGGAAATTGTGTGAAAGGAACAACATTGGGAGAGTTGCTGGGGCAGGGTTCCCAGTGGAGGTGACCATGCTAAGCAGTTCTGAAGGCACAGCGGTTCATTGGGGGGGTCACCAGCAAGGAGCAGCATATGCCAGGGTGGAGGCAAGAGGGTGTGGGGTGTGCTGAGTGAGTGGAATTGAATTTTAGTTCCGGGTGATGGTGCATTCAGAATGACTGAAGCAGAGACTGTGAGGGGAAGGTGGCTAGAGTGAGGCTGGCCAAGAGCAGGGGCCAGGTGTCTTGCCTTAGAAGTTGGACTTAGTCCTGGATCTCTGGGAAACAACCCGCTGAAGAATTCTGAGGAGACATTAGATAGATGGTTCCCCTATGTCAAAATAGTTGGTTTGCTTTTATGGTTTTCAATCTTTTCTTTTTAAGTTGTTGAAGCAAGATGCCAAAGAATTAAAGCAGCCAATTTAGCACATTGTTACCTATGTCAGGAAAGTAAGGGGCTTGGGACTGTTGCAGTTTCCTCTTTAACATTAATAGTCTGGATATTGAGCAATACATTTGAAATTGAAAAAGTCTCTCAAAAGGTATGCACCTTAACTGCCACACACTTGTGTTGGACAGTTTAAATTGTATTAATATTAATTATAGTAGTAATTACTGTAGTATTAATTTGTTTTGTTTTTTGAGATGGAGTCTTGCTTTGTCACCTAGGCTGGAGTGCAGTGGTGCAATCTCAGCTCACGGCAACCTACGCCTCCCAGGTTCAAGGGATTCTCCTGCCTCAGCCTAGTACCTGGGACTACAGGCGCTTGCCACCACGTCCAGCTAATTTTTTTTTTTTTTTTGTATTTTTAGTAGAGACGGGGTTTCACCATGTTGGCCAGGCTGGTCTCGAACTCCTGACCTCAAGTGACCTGCCCGCCTCAGCCTCCCCAAGTGCTGGGATTACAGGTGTGAGCCATCGTGCCTGGCCTGTAGTAGTAATTTGAAAGAACCAGTAAGAGGTAGGGACTAAGGTATGTCCCATCATTTTTTAATAGTATTTCCCATTCACTTGATTTCTCACTATACAAGCCACTACAAGGTTTTTATCAGAACAGTGGAGCATGTGGCTAGAAGTGCAGAATTCCTACATGTTACAGTAAGTGTTCAGTTACACTATAGTTGCTCACATTGCATATAACCAGGAGACAGCCAGATAATGTTTACTGCAGTGATTTTACAAATTCATCCTGGTCAATATAACAATTATTGTTCATGTCTTTATTGCCTTCCCATGGAGGGATTCATAATACCTACTTTCCTATTAAGGTTATTGACCAAATTTGCTCTAGATCTGTGCTCTCCAATTGGCTCATTAAATGTGGCTATTTATTTAAAATTGAATAAAATTTAAAATGCGGTTTTTCACTTCCATCAGCCTCATGTCAAGTGTTCCACAGTCACATGCGGCTAAGTGGCTGCTATATTGGACATTTCCATTGTTGCATAAAATTCTCTTGTACAGTGCTGCTCTAATAGTTATCTTCTTATATACATTTTAGTATACTTAAAAACCATTTAATACTAAAGTACAGATTAAATGATATAATCTGATTCGAAATAACTGGGGAGAAGGGAGAGTTGGAGGGGTTATGGAGGAAACAAGATTTGCCATAAGTTGATAATTGTGAAGCTGGGTTTAGAGTTCATGGGAGCTCATTGTATTGTACTCATTATATAGAAATTTTGTACATGTTTTACATTTTTCACAATAAAAATGTAAGCAGAAGGATTAACCAGGAACTGTGCTCCCACCAGCACCTAGAAGTAGCTGTCTGTCAACGGGCATCTGAAATCTCACCCCCCACAGGCTGGCTCTTGTAGTGTAGTAAAGTTTTTAATCCTGCCACAGGACTTCTAAAGAACACATATAGTACCACATTTTCATTTAAGGTTTATTTCATTCTACCTGAAAACACACAAGTAGCAGCAGTCTCATGTTCCTTAAGTGTTTGAACTGCCCAAGTGAATCTTGTGGATAGAATGTGCTAGATTATATTAAAAATTCCATTGCTGCTGACATTAATTTGAACAAATTCAAAATAATGTTCTTAATGAAGAGAATAAAGTCCATTTACTCAGTGGTTGGTTCATACTTTATTTCACAGCCAGGTAAGTCAGTTTCTGTCTCTGGCTTTCCTGGTTAACAGCACCTGTGTCTGAAGAGAGGTGGAGGGAGTAGTAGAGAAAGTCCCTGGTAGGAGAGAGGCCTTAAGTGAACACCATCACTGTGCACTGAAGGGCTGTTTGAAGTTGTTAAGAGAAACATGTGGGCTGGGCATGGTGTCTCACGCCTGTAGTCCCAGCACTTTGGGAGGCCAAGACAGGTGGATTGCTTGGGCCCAGGAGTTTGAAGCCAGCCTGGGCAACGTGGTTGAGACCCTGTCTCTACAAAAAAATAGAAAAATTAGCAAGGCATGGTGGTGTGCACCTGTGATTTCAGCTACTTGGGAGGCTGAGGTGGGAGGATTGCTTGAGCCTGGGAGTTCAAGGCTGCAGTAAGCCAAGATGGTCCCATGCACTCCAACCTGGGTGACAGCGAGATCCTGTCTCAAAAAAAAAAACAAAACCAAAACAACAACAACAACAACATGCGAACTTTGGTCTCCTACCCATCTCTAACAAATGGTGGGGCTTACTATGAGCAGAGAGGGGCTTATCATAGAGTAACGGTTCAGAGCAAGGGCTTTGGGGTCAGACTTGGGCTTGAGTGCCAGCTTCACAGTCAACTGTGACCTGAGAAAAGGGAAGAGTGAGCCCTTCCCAGCTGTTTCAGAGAATAATGGTAGAATAGTAGCCTGCACATGGCTAAGTGCTCAGTAAACAACAAGTCTTATTATTAGGTATTCCCTGGGGCCATATGTTTTATTTCAGCTAAATGCTGATATTCGTAGAATCATGTAGAAGAATGTGTAGGTATAAAGGAATGTAATGGTGCCTTTTTATTTTACAGGGTTCTTGAAGCTTTTGAGATTAACAATGGCAGGAAAATCATCACTTTTTAAAGTAATTCTCCTTGGAGATGGTGGAGTTGGGAAGAGTTCACTTATGAACAGATATGTAACTAATAAGTTTGATACCCAGCTCTTCCATACAATAGGTGTGGAATTTTTAAATAAAGATTTGGAAGTGGATGGACATTTTGTTACCATGCAGATTTGGGACACGGCAGGTCAGGAGCGATTCCGAAGCCTGAGGACACCATTTTACAGAGGTTCTGACTGCTGCCTGCTTACTTTTAGTGTCGATGATTCACAAAGCTTCCAGAACTTAAGTAACTGGAAGAAAGAATTCATATATTATGCAGATGTGAAAGAGCCTGAGAGCTTTCCTTTTGTGATTCTGGGTAACAAGATTGACATAAGCGAACGGCAGGTGTCTACAGAAGAAGCCCAAGCTTGGTGCAGGGACAACGGCGACTATCCTTATTTTGAAACAAGTGCAAAAGATGCCACAAATGTGGCAGCAGCCTTTGAGGAAGCGGTTCGAAGAGTTCTTGCTACCGAGGATAGGTCAGATCATTTGATTCAGACAGACACAGTCAATCTTCACCGAAAGCCCAAGCCTAGCTCATCTTGCTGTTGATTGTTAGATTGTTGATGCATTCTAACCAACTCACACATATACACAAAATCAACATGGGGATGGAGAAGAGAATTAGCGTTTGCAGCAGTGTATCATCTACTAATAAAATTAAACTAATGTTGCTGCTTCATTAGTTGGTGGGAGAAGGGACACATCCACTCTTGGAGGAATATATTTACTCAATAATGGCACCTTACATTTATAAATTGTAACAGTTGTCTAATAACGTTTCTTTAATTTAAATATGTAAGTTGCAGAGCTAATAAATGAAATGACCAAGACTTTAATTATAATAAAAATAAGAAACTTGACTATTCTAGAAGTTATACTTGGATTTTTTCCTGGGAAAATGGAGAACTACTTTTTATATGTGTATGTTTTTATGCAATTAGCATTGTATTCTTGGTTCAGGGAAATACTTTCCTAAAGCAATAATGTTAGATATTAAAGATTAAAATCTAATGTATTTGCAATGCATTGTTAATTTACTTCTTCATTCTCTTCAAAATGATTTAACCATTCCTGTTTTCATTCTACATACTAGAATTACTCTCACTAGTAATTACTCATCATTTGTGTGCCATTCATGCACCCCCACCCCCATAAATCATGTTCCACAGTCTCAGGCGGAGGGTGGGCCCCCAGTGGTACAAGAGTTGCTTCATACAGTCTGTAATACATCCAGCTAAATTCAAGTTGTCTATGAATGGAAAGCCTTTCCATAGATAGAGTTCAGTTTTAAGAAAAAGGCTAACTACTGAACTTGGAGAACAGACAAATGTGCATTTGATAACTGATGTAATAATTACAATGTACTGTGTGGAAGATACAAAATTACAATTCGATTAATGGACTAAATATTTTTGTTACTTTCTTGACCCTTGGGGAAAGTTTCTTAATTGAAGTTAAAACATTCCTTTATAACACAAGACACAAGCTGACTTTATCACTCTCAGAAGAAATACTAAGAAGGATTGTACTTTGTGAGAGGGTAAACGAAGACATCTTTATTCGGCAATGTATTTACTTAGTGTCTTCTCTATTACTGAACATTTAGTGATTTGCTCTCAAGGAGATTTTTTGTTAGAAAAAGACTTGTTGCAGTGATCAGACTTGATAAAGCAAATTGTGGTCTTTTGTGGATGAAGTTCATATGCTGTGTGGTTGGTGACTATCTGATTCTATGGAGGCTAACCAAAGCCTAGACTGAGTGTGGATGAGACCCTCAACTGGGGAGTGATGGGGATATCAAAGGACATGCTGGGTGAGAGGAGCTGACTGTCATGTAGGGAGTGAACCACTGCCCCCAGCAGAGATACAGTTCGGTTTTAAGAAAAAAGGCAAGGCCAGGCGCGGTGGCTCACGCCTGCAATCCCAACACTTTTGGAGGTCAAGAGGTCGACACCATCCTTGACAACATGGTGAACCCGGTCTCTACTAAAAATACAAAAATTAGTTGGGCATCGTGCCTGTAGTCCCAGCTTCTCGGAAGGCTGACGCAGGAGAATCACTTGAACCCGGAAGGTGGAGGTTGCAGTGAGCCGAGATCACATCACTGCACTCCAGCCTGGTGACAGTGAGACTCCACCTCAAAAAAAAAAAAAAAAAAAAAAAAAGCAAACTACTGAACTGGAGAACAGACAAACCTGCATTTGTTAACTGATGTAACAATTACAATGTGCTGTGTGGAAGATACAAAATTACAATTCATTAATGGACTAAATGTTTTTATTTTTCACCCTTGGGGAAAGTTTCCTAGTTGAAGTTAAAACATTCCTACTATTACTTGTCTTAGAAGAAAACCTTTTTATATTTCTGTACAAACTTTTCATTTTAATATTGTGACACCACCATGCAAGTTCTCACACAATATCCGTGTCTTGTAGAGTAGTGAAGTGTTTGTTAAGTAGAAAAACACACCAGTGTGGTACCCAGTGAAAGGTGGTGTCTGGAGAGTCAGTGGTTTCTGGAACTCTGGACTGTCAACCAGGAAGTGTTGAAGTGACTGAAAAATTAAAGCACATGGGTAATAGCATGGGCAGAGCAGAGACTGAGACGATCTATGTCCATGCCAAAGGAAGCATCCTAGTAAGTTTCTGGCTATGGCAAGATGACAAAACTCGGTGTACGTTTTATCTGGATCACTTTTGGAGCACTAAAGCAGATAACCAACTTTGTGCTAACATACATGTGCTCAGGAGAGCCTGATTTTAAGACTGACTTCACCCCATTGCTCTTGTGTTCCAGAACCTTCAAGGAACATCACCTACCAGATCCAAGCTTTGCCAGCTTAGCTTTCCTCATGATCAGCTCCTATCTATCTATCAATCAATCAGCTGTCAGTTCCACCCATGTGCCCAAGTGCTCTTCACACCTTCACACCTGCAATGCTTTCCTGTGCAGCCTACCTTGGAGGTCCCACTCAATGCTCCACTTCCCTTCCAGCTCCTTTGAAGACTCAGTCACACATGAAATTTGGCATTTAACTTTAGTAATATACTCACAAGTGTGTTACTAGTGCCTACCTCACCTTCACCAGCCTGGAGAAAAGGCTATTTTCAGGGTACCACTGTTGTGCAGCTGAGCCAAGTCTTCCTGCTCTCAATCAATCACCCTGCTGCTCTTGGCTGCCCTGCATCACAGCCCTCTGGATGATATGCTCATTGAGGGAGGGGCCAACTATATACAAAAAAATACACGTTTGCTGAAATTACTCCTAGATTTCTAGATGAGTATGTAAATTTTTCTGCTCCCAAAGCTCTGGCATCTAGTTTGAGTCAATCTGAGCTCTATAACAGGTGAAGACATCATATTAGTTTGCAGACTAGACTATCAATAGGAGAAATAGGACGAAAGCAGCACTTTAAAAATGGATATTAAACTACCACGATCTTGAGCAAACATCTTTATTTAAGAAATCAAATAGGGTAAAAATTATGCAATTTCACACAAGGATACAAGACAAAGCTTAGAATTACTTGCTCAAAAGTTACTCAGAATGGAACAAAATTGTTCAAGTGCTCCCAATTAGCACAGGCTGTATTACTTGCTTTTCAATGGACATTTACTATTTTACATTAAGATCTACTTATAGGAACAAAGAGACAATTCCCAGCCCCCTCTGGTGTATCACCTAAAAGACTGAATACAAATGTTAATGTAATCCAAGCTTTTCTTTGACAACAATACTAAAAATTGCCTTACAATTTTTTACAAGTACGAGTATCAACAGTTTACTGTCTGAGGGAAAGGAAATATAAGAATATAAAGTGACAGAAGCAACACACTTCACTGTGGCCTGCAACTGCTCCCAGCGTCCTATTTTATAAACATGATTTGGGTTCTCACATTATAGCAGGATCACTATTCCTAGCCTCTGGTGGAAGCAGACATGTGACACTTAGCACTGCACAAGTGTTTCTTTGGCTTCTTGAGTAGTGCTGTGTATACTGCCTATACATTTTTATAACATCTCTAAATGCATAATGTCAACGTATGTGCTATCACATTTCACTCCCAACTGCAGAATATTTTAATTTTAAATTTATCTACCAAATCTTGACTATGACATTTATTTTTGGGTTGTTACATTAAGATCAACCTATCTGGGCCGGGCACGGTGGCTCACACCTGTAATCCCAGCACTTTGGGAGGCTGAGGCAGGAGAATTGCTTGAAGTCAGGAGGCAGAGGTTACGGTGAAACAACTGCCATTGCACTCCAGCCTGGACAACAGAGCGAAACTCCATCTCAAAAAAAAAAAAAAAACCCCAAAGATCAACCTATCTGAATTGGGTAAGTCAAAAGCTTATTCCTGGCCGGGCACGGTGGTTCATGCCTGTAATCCTAGCACTTTGGGAGGCTGAGGCGGGTGGATCAACTGAGGTCAGGAGTTTGAAACCAGCCCGGCCAAAATAGCGAAACCCCGTCTCTACTAAAAACACAAAAATTAGCCAGGTGTGGTGGTGCATGCCTGTAATCCCAGCTACTCGGGAGGCTGAAGAAGGAGAATTGCTTGAACCCAGGAGGTGGAGGTTGCAGTGAGCCAAGACTGTGCCACTGCACTCCAGCCTGCACAACAGGAGCAAGACTCCATCTCAAAAAAACAAAAAACAAAAAACAAAAACAAAAACCCACAAAAAACCAAAAAGCTTATTCCCAATTTTTAAGTAAAAATATTTCATGGCCGGGCGTGGTGGCTCACACGCCTGTAATCCCAGCACTTCCTGAGGTGGGTGGATCACGAGGTCAGGAGTTCAAGACCAGCCTGACCAATATGGTGAAACCCTGTCTCTACTAAAAATACAAAAATTAGCCAGGTGTGGTGGTGCACGCCTATAATCTCAGCTACTCGGGAGGCTGAAGAAGGAGAATTGCTTGAACCCGGGAGGTGGAGGTTGCAGTGAGCCAAGATCGTGCCACTGCACTACAGCCTGCACAACAGGAGCAAGACTCCATCTCAAAAAAAAAAAAAGCGAGCTTATTCCCAATTTTTAAGTAAAAATATTTCATGGTTGGGCACGGTGGCTCACGCCTGTAATCCCAGTACTTTGGGAGGCCAAGGCGGGCAGATCACGAGGTCAGGAGTTCAAGACCAGCCTGACCAATATGGTGAAACCCTGTCTCTACTAAAAATACAAAAATTAGCCGGGCGTGGTGGCACGCGCCTGTAGTCCCAGCTACTTGGAGGCTGAGGCAGGAGAATCGCCTGAACCTGGGAGGCGGAGGTTGCAGTGAGCCAAGATTGCGCCACTGCACTCCAGCCTGGCAACAGAGTGAGACTCTGTATCAGAAAAAAAAAAAAAAAAAAAACATGATTATTGATAATGAACTCTTTATAAATAACACTGTTCACAAGGAAATACCAATTGATCTATTGATACGTGACATGAGACAGAATGTACTATTTTTAAATATAAAAGGAATTTCATTAGGTTTAGATAAGCTGAGAATACACAAAAGTTTTCCAGGCTATTTAATCAAGTAACTTACAATGTACACATTCCTGAGTATACACCATTGTGGTGACATCATTTATTTTGGAATTTTCTGCATTCAGCTTAAAAGGTGTTTCTTCCCAAGAAACTGAACTTTTCTGTCAAATGCACTTGATCGAATAGGAGAATTGGGTTCATAAAATGGATTCATTGAAAACTAGGAAAGAAGAAAGTATTAGTGAAGCAAAAAAGCTGACAAATCTTAAGTTTCTGAAAGGAAATCATTTTAAAGTTTTAAATTAAAAACCAAAGACATTCCAAAGTCTAAAGACCACATTTTTAAGTTTTATTGAAAATGCTGCATTGTTAATAACATCCTCTTAAGGAAATTTTTATTTTGGTGTTTTGGTTTTGAGAAGTATCTGTGGCAAAACTAATGGCAGTATGATAAATGTTGCCTGTGTCAGTTAACTTTCAGAATTTACCGTGTGTGTGAAATACTCATATTCATTATAAATAAATGGATTAATCTCTATGGCCCTTTGGCTACATAAAACAAAAAAATCTGCCATGTGCTCAGAGTTCAGAAAAAGCTATTCTTGTGTGGTAATCTTTTAACAATCAGGTTTTTAATACTCTCCTTTAACACAAGACTGCTAAATGATCAGCTTCTCAAATTAGTGTATCATAACGCATGACAGAAAATCATTAAATGGAATCACTAATGAGGAAAGGCATTGCTGATTTTTATACCTTAATCACTTGACATTGTTCATCTTTATAAGAGGGCTAAATATTACTTACTACCTCTGACTAGGAATACTGTTAAATTGTATTACTGTGCTGATATGCAAGAAATTCTGTCCAAATACAGAACTTATTTAAATTATTAAAAACATATGGGCCAGGCATGGTGGCTCACGCCTGTAATCCCAGCACTTTGGGAGGCCAAGGCGGGTGGATCACTTGAGGTCAGGAGTTTGAGACCAGCCTGGCCAACATGGCAAAACCTCGTCTCTACTGAAAATACAAAAATTAGCTGGGTGTGGTGGTGCACACTTGTGGTCCCAGCTACTTGGGAGGCTGAGGCAGGAGAATCGCTTGAACCTGGAAGGCAGAGGTTGCAGTGAGCTGAGATCACGCCACTGCACTCCAGCCTGGGTGACAGAGCAAGACTGTCTCCAAAACAAAACATACTATTGTTATCACTGCAGTGTAACCATGACGTCCTATTATTATTTTATTTTTCAAAATCAAGAAATGCAAGTGGCGCCATTCTTCTTGAGTGGCTATTTGATCATATAAAAATCACTTCCTGCCAGTTTATGATCTCTATTGCACTGTAACTTATTTGTAAAGTAGATGGAAACATTTTAGATTAAATTATGAAGTAATTTTCCCTTATATAGGCTGCTTTCTTGCTGTCTTTAGGGATCCCTAATAAAATCAGCTATGAGGACAACAAGGTGAAGAATGAAACCAATTTACCTTCACAATCATCTAAAGGTAACTACCATGAAGTTGTGTTCCTAAATACATATTCACCTGGCTGTGAAGACTTACCTGCGGAGGGAGTTGCCAGAGATAGTTCTGATGGGGGAAAGCTAGTCTGAAAGGTAAACTGCAGCCTAAGGGAGTTACTTCAATAGGCCAGTTTCCTGACAAAGGTCGAATCCTTTCTCATCAGAATTTAAAAATTATAGAACATACCATACCTTTATATATAAATCATAAACATCAGTAAAGAAGTTCTTTATTCCATCTTCTTGTCTTATGTCATGAAGCATAATAAACCTCATATGTGAAATAATTAAGGCATAATCTTTCTTAGAAATGAAAAACAAAAAGCAACCAGTTCGTTGATACAGTATTCTTCAAATTAGTCACATGCAGTGTATTTGTGATGGAAAAGTTGAATATATAAACTGGGTTTAAAATTAGCTTAGTTTTATCATAAAGAGAACATAAGCTTTCAAAGTTAGAAAATAACTGTAAAATAAAGTAAAATCACCCTTGATAGGGTCCAGATAAACTCTTTTTGTGTATGAGACTTAGTTTTAAAATTAGCTATTAAACAAAATGTTTTTCCCCCCTAAAAAAAGAAAAGTAGCCCCATAAATGGAAACTTACATTTTCACCTGACTGTGAAGTCTACAGACTCAGAGCCTGGCATCTATGTTCCATGTTCTTCTGGTTTGTGAGCCCAAACTTTAGTTAGTTACCTTTACTAAGAAGGTAAGGATATGCCCCGCAGTGACAAATGCCGACACAAACCACTCGTTGAACTTGTCCACAGTTTTCAAGTACATGTTGTTCGATAGCCACATGTTCTCATCTACGAGGTCGAGAGCAGCATGAGCTATGAACTGGTTCAGATGACGATGGTCGTCCTAGATGACAGTGTGAGCAACCACAGATTAACATTTGCATATGGCATCGAGAATGCTGACATTTCATTCTGTAAATTCTATAGATGGTTTTCTTGTGGGGAAAAAACAGTTTGCTTTTATACTTTGTTATTGTCATGAGACTTATAAAAGATCTGTTTTCATATTATATTCTATTTTTAAATTTGATATCTACATCTCAACAGAAACAGCCAATTAATAAATGAAATGTGTATATAGAGGATTTATACAAAATCATTTATTGAAAATCTTTTTCATATAAATTTTTTTTCATGTTTCAAGAAGGAAGTTACCGAATTCTGTAACCATCTAAACATGTAAAAAAAGGATACTATGTTAAAAAAAAAAAAAAAAAAAAAAAAAAAAAACAAGATCCTGTGGAGAAGAGGTGCCATTCACACTAGGCCTCAAGGTCTGGGAGGAAACTGAGAGGGCGGGGCTTCCTGCACAGTGGCACCAGGTAAGCAGTAGAGACAGTTGAAATGGCGCTTATAACGGCCTGCCAGAGGCCTCTTTCCAGTGCATGGAGCTTACATGACAGCGGGACCTAGGAGTAGTGGGAGGTGATGCTCAGCCCCAGCTGTGAGCAGTCGCCTGTGTCAATAGCAGGACACAGTCCTGTCAGAGCTGGGAGTGTCCTTTTCCTGGGCTGAAATGGCTTAAGTGAACAGAAGGTGGGACTGTCTGACCATAATGTGAAGACGGAATTCAGAACTTGGAATGCAGTCTTACTCCAATGTAGTTCTTTGAAAATACATTTTTTGGCCAGGCGCGGTGGCTTATGCTTGTAATCCTAGCACTTTGGGAGGCTGAGGCAGGTGGATCACCTGAGGTCAGGAGTTCAAGACCAGCCTGTCCAATATGGTGAAATCCCATCTCTACTAATACAAAAATTGGCCGGCTGTGGTGGTGCATGCCTGTAATCCCAGCTACTCGGGAGGCTGAGGCAGGAGAATTGCTTGAACCTGGGAGGCGGAGGCTGCAGTGAGCCGAGATCACGCCATTGCACTCCAGCCTGGGGGACAAGAGCAAAACTCCGTCTCAAAAAAACCCAAGCCATTTTTCAAAGAATACCTGTTATGGGTTGAAGTGTTTCCTCTCTAAAATTCCTTTGTTGAAGTCCTAAGCAACAGTACCTCAGAATGTGGCCTTATATGGAAAGAGGGTTGTTGCAGATGTGGTTAGCTAAGATGAGGTCACACTGGAGTAGGGTGGGCCCCTAATCCAATGGACTGGTGTATTTAGAAAAAGGGAACATTTAGAGATGCACACAGGGAGAAAAATGCCACATGAAGACTGGAGTTATGCTGCCACAAGCCAAGGAACTCCCAGAAGCTGGGAGAGAGGCCTGGACAGACCCTTGTCTTTGTGCCTTCATAGGGAGCATGGCCCCACTGACACCTTGATTTCAGATGGTGGCCCTCAGAACTGAGACAATAAATTTCTGCTGTCCCAAGCCACTCAGTTTTTCGTACTTTGTTACAACAGCCATAGGAAACTGAGACGGCTTCCTTGCCAAGGAGGCTGTTCTCATGCCTGGGCTGGAGGAGGGCGGCCCGTTGCCGTGGAATCCCATGCATAGTTAAAGCATGTTTTACTTCACTCATGTTGCCATGACAAAGCTAAGTGAATCCTTAGAGAAATGGATGTTTTTGTGTCTGGCTCACAGCAGTGTTTTCTTTTACAATGATGATCAATCCTGAAGAATTAGGAGCAAACTGAAAACGCTTTAAGAAAGTGAGTGGTAGCAGGAGAAAGAACTAAAATCAAGTTATGCAACAAAGTATTTTTATGTGTGCTTTGTCCAACACAAGGGCAGTGGAGTGCACAGAAATTACATACAAGTAGCTGCATCCCACAAAGCAGTACTGGTACAGAGATACCTCAAAAACAAGTTTTAATGAGTAGTGTTCTCATAATATGAGAAAATAATGTCACAACTCCACCTCATAGAGAATCCCGTAAACAAATGCCTATCTTATTTTGGTGGCAAGGCCTGAATAGTTGAAAAATACCATATATTATGCATTACAATTAACTTAAAACATCAATTCCTTAAAGGACATTAAAGCCAATTTTTGGAGGTTGGGAGAAACATAGCAAACTTGTCAGCAATTTATTAGAAACAGAAATTGGAAAGAACTGGGCTCTTCTCGTGTCAAAACTCTACAGGTCTGGGCCAGGTGTAGTGGCTCATGTCTGCAATCCCAGCACTTTGGGAGGCCGAGGGCAGGCAGACCACCTGAGGTCAGGAGTTCGAGACCAGCCTGGGCAACATGGCGAAACCCTGTCTCTACTAAAAATACAAAAATTAGCCTGGCACAGTGGTGCGCACCTATAATCCCAGCTACCTGGGAGGCTAATACAGGAGAATTGCTTGAACCCAGGAGGCAGAAGTTGCAGTGAGCTGAGATCGTGTCACTGCACTCCAGTCTGGGCGACAGAGCAAGACTCTGTCTCAAAAAGAATAAATAAATAAGATCCAAATGGTTTTATTTTAAGCATTTGGGATGGTAATCTTTCTTAAAATATATGGTCCATTTCCTTGTCTCAAAAAAAAAAAATACTCTATGGGTCTGAATGGCAATATGTCCTCGAGCTAAGCTTGGTTTTTGGAACCATTCTTGACAAGCAAGTTGGGTGGTATCACCTCTGGTGCTGCTTTTGAGCTTCCTGTGTATGGCCAAGGTGTCACTGGGGAGGGGAGCATACAGGCTCAACCCAGCCAGGAAGTGCTGCAGAAGGCCCCTGAAGTGAGGTGCTGCAGACCCAGTGGCAGCAGGAAGACAGGGAAGTAAGGGTCTTTTCTAACCCAGTAGGTCCTGATGAAAAACATGATTCATGAAAACAGCCTGGACTTTCATGGTATTTCAAGGCGGCAATCCACTACAGGTGAACTATGTCTTTATGTGCTTAAGCAACAGCAATTCATGGTGGGTGACATAGTGAACTGAGTATGATGGGAATGCCAGAGCGTCATGCTAGTCTGTGCTGAACTAAAGGATGAATAAACATCTCCAAGGACATACCCTGGCTGGCTTCTATCAGTCTGTGGGCTCCTGAGCAAGCCTCATTTAATTGTGGTGGATTTCAGTTACCTTATCTGTCCAGATCTTCCAGTTCTAAAATCATATTATACCATATCATTACAATAGCATAAAAATTCTTACGTACTTTGGATTCTGCCTTCCCAGCTGGCAAAAACTCCATTTCAAAAACTGGATTATCATGGTGGCCAACAATTACAAAGTAGAAGCTCCCAGACATGGTCTTCAATATATGGCTCCTAATTAAGTGAAAAATAGTACATATTTTTAGTAGTCAATCTTCAAATTAAAAAATGACTAATGGGAAGTGTAGAATTCTTTTTTAAATTTAAACCTGACATTGTAGAGGAAGATGCTACTAAGCTTGGCAGTTTCCAGTATACTAGCGAAGATACGTAGCTTCTGGAATAAACAAATTATGTATCTATGATATGAATCTGTGAATCTAATGTATTTTCTTAAGTAAACTGGAAGACCTCTAACATGAAATCACAAAGACAACATTCTCATGATCTGAAAATATGGCTCATTCAGCTCAAGGGGCCCTAAGTGTCTGGTAGAGTAAGCTGGGCTTCATTTGGACTGGACCAGTTAGTAGCAGCACGGACACCTAGAAGGATTAACAGAAGGTGGTGGTAAGTCAAGGACAATACAGAGTAGTGGGAAGACCAAGGAAGTAATTACCTTGCCTTAGAAATTTCCAGGAGGCATCCGTCGGGGGAAGCTAAAACCAACTCTACCTCATGTCACTTACCTAGAAAGGACAGACACTGTATCACTGATTCGCAGACTGCGTGTGCTGTATTTGTCTTCTTTCTACTTGAAGTATGTGTGCTATAAATGTAAGTCTTTGCAAATCTAAGAGCCTATGATATGCCTCTTTATATACCAATTTATAAGAAAGGAAGAGTTTTGTATTCTAGAAAAGATGGAAGAAATAATCCATAAAGGAAGACATTCTGAGGCACTGAAAGATCTTGGAACTAAGTTTAACATGTTGGGCCCGGTGCAGTGGCTCACGCCTGTAATCCCAGCACTTTGGAGGGCTGAGATGGGCAGATTGCTTCAGCCCAGGACTTCGAGACCAGCCTGGGCAACATGGTGAAACTCCATCTCTACATGAAATACAAAAAGTAGCCAGGCATGGTGGTATGTGCCTGTAGTCCCAGCTACTCAGGAGGCTGACGCAGGAGGATCACCTGAGCCCAGGGAGGTCAGGGCTGCAGTGAACCAAGATCGCACCACTGCACTCCAGTCTAAGTGACAAAATGAGACCCTGTCTCAAAAAAAAAAAAAAAACAGATTGGCAGAAGAGATGAAACTACGAGAAACTGGGGGGAAAAATATAAGTGATTCCATGGCTTTTAGCACAGATAATTGAAATCTAGATGAATGATGGATGGGTGGGGGCATGGATGGATTTACCCCAAGGTAACCCCACGGTGTGTATTTTTAACACAAGGACTTTGGAGTCAAAGTTAGGTTCAGGTCTAGCTCTGCTACTTACTGGCAGTGTGACCACAGGCAGTCCTTAACTTCCTAATGTCCGTTTTCTCATCTGTTAAATAGTGCTAACACTGTAGCACCTTATGGTGCACTTATGAGGATCACACAATCTAATGCATGTAAAGTACCCAGTACAGTGTCTGACCCACAGTACATGCTCAATTAATGTTAGTGGAATAACATGGGAGACCGTATGCACACTGGGATGTGGTGACTAGTAACTTCTCAACACGGAGTGGAAATCAAGTAAACCGGGAGTTACAGTCAGTCTCCTAGAACATACATCTGAGGTGTGTTAGAAGCCAAGACTTAGCAAGCCTCATTGGGCCTTCTGCTGATTCACACAGAACACACAATGAAATCAGAAGAAATCTGATATGTACTTGCTAATGAATGACACATTTTATAAAGGAAATCAAGGCACAGCTGGCACTTTTAACTCTAGAATTGGAAGGCCATGACTATGGAAGAAAAGGCAGATCAGAACTCCTGGCATGATGACGTAAGATTTAAAATGCTATTTGGGGCAGGGGTGGAGGGGTGGGGGACTATAGACTGCAGGCCAAATCTAGCCTTGCCCATCATTTTGCGACCATCTAAGGCTGCTCTCACGCTTCAATGGCAGAGTTAAGCACCTGTGACACAGACCAGCTGTCCCACAAAGCCAACAATATTTACTATCTGGCCCTTTAAAGAAAATGTTTGCCCCTGTTTTAGGGGAAAGATAAGAAAAAGGTCCAAACAGAAAAAGTGGATAACAAAGACGAGCTGGAATGATAAAAAAGCTATGCAAAACTAGAAGAACTGGCAATAATTCTCCAAAGTGAAGGGAAGGACAGGGAGTTGAAATTTGAACCAAGTAAACAATGATATCATGAATTCTTGCTGGACTAGATTTCAGAGCTGGAGTTTGCCAAGGGAAGGGCTTCTTACTTTCTTCAGTACATTTAAGCAGCAGCAAAAAAAAAAAAAAAAAAAAAAAAAAGCAAAAGCAGCAGCAGAAGGAAATATATGTACACATATGTATAAGCAAGATAACATGCATCCCCACACTCACCCCTATATGGAAAGCCACGAATGGGCAAGCAGCATGGCGCTAAGTCAGCAGGAAGACAGAAAGGGAACTCAAAGACCGACTGCATGAGGATGCTGTTACCAACTACCCAGCTGCGCAAAAGATGAGACAGAGCTTTCTTTATATACATTCCATGCTTGACTTCAGCTGCCAATTATTTGATTTTGTAAACAGCTGAAGAAGCAAGAAGGGCTGTAGCTTTTCATTCAGTTCTGCCAAGGAAAAACTGACAGGTGAAGTGGAAGAACTGAAAACCCTGGGAGAAAATGACCTCATTGTCTCGGGAGGGGAACAGCTGCAAACACTTAGCAAATACTTGAGGGTATGGAGCAAAGGTAAGACACACGCTAGGATTCTGCGCTGTCCAATCTATGGAACTTTCTGCGAGGACAGAAATGTTCTACACCTGTGCTGTCCAATATGTGAGCTAGTGTGCATTAGAAATGTGGCTAGTGTAGGCCAGGCGCGGTGGCTCACGCCTGTAATCCCAGCACTTTGGGAGGCCAAGGTGGGCGGATCACGAGGTCAGGAGATCGAGACCATCCTGGCTAACATGGTGAAACCCCATCTCTACTAAAAATACAAAAAATTAGCCGAGTGTGGTGGTGGGCACCTGTAGTCCCAGCTACTCGGGAGGCTGAGGCAGAAGAATGGTGTGAACCTGGGAGGCGGAGCCAGAAGAATGGTGTGAACCCGGGAGGCGGAGCTTGCAGTGAGCCAAGATCGTGCCACTGCACACTCCAGCCTGGTGACAGAGCAAGACTCCATCTCAAAAAAAAAAAAAAAAAAATGTGGCTAGTGAGAATGTAGAACTGAATTTTAATTAAACATAAATAGCCATATGTGGCTAGTGGCCACAGTACTAGACAGCACAGCTCTAGATCAATGATTCCAAACTAGTGGCACAATCTTAGCGCACTGCAACCTCCGCCTCCCAGGTTCAGGAGATTCTCCTGCCTCAGCCTCTTGAGTAGCCAGGAGTATAGGCATGTGCCACCATGCCCGGCTAATTTTTGTATTTTTAGTAGAGACGGGGATTCACCGTGTTGGCCAGGCTGGTCTCACACTCCTGGCCTCAAGTGATCTGCCCACCTTGGCCTCCCAAAGTGCTGGGATTACAGGCATGAGCCACCATGCCCGGCCTGATTCCAAACGTTTTATAAAAGTTCTGTGACTTCCTCCACCTTCCCTTCACCAACAAAAACAAGTATTACTTAGAATTCCAATATATAATACAGATAAAGCAACTGCCATTACTGAATTACCTGCGTTGACATGACTGTGTATGTATGGTCTGCTCGATTTTCCCATCGCCTTAAATAGGGGCCTTTGAAGCATCTCCAAGAGAGGCTTGGCCCAGAGGTGTTGAGGAGGTAGCTACACAGAATTTGGGAATAGATTAAACTGGGAAATTGAGGACAAGAGGAGAATCTAGGATGGTTTCCATATGTCTAGCTGAGGTGAACAAGCAGAACAGTGGCCCCTCTCCTAAGACATCCACATCCTAATCTCTGCAACTTGTGAGTATGTTAGGGCCCACGGCAAAGAGGAATTAAGGTTGCTCATCAGCTGACCTTAAGATAGGAACATTGTCCTGGATCATCCAGGTGGACCCAATGTCATGACAAGGGCCTTAAAAGTAGAATAGGGAAGCAAAAGAGGAAAGTCAGGGGGAAGTGACAGAAGAATGGTCACAGCAATGTGATCTTGACAGCTTTGAAAATGAAGGAAGGGGCCACAGCCAAGGAATGCAGGAGGCCCCCAGAAGCTGGAAAGTACAAGGAAACAGATTCTTGTTTGGCTCTCAAGTGAGAGCCAGAACTCTCACTTGTGGTGGAAACAGCAGCTGTCTTCAGTGGCTAGGGAAACCTGGGCTTTTGAGAAGGAGAAGACTAAAGAAATAAACTTGGTGATACAAAGAGCTCTCTGACTACCTTAAATTTAAAGAGGCCACATGGAAGATGTAAGAAGTAGGACACTAACTAGTAATGAACATAAAAACGGGACCAGAAATCAGTGAGGCTAGCATCAGAAGGGCAAAGGCCTACAATGAGTTGAAGTGTGTAATATATATTTAAAAAAAAAAAAAAAAAAAGAGGCTTTTTAGGCTACGATCAGGAAAAAGCAAGGGAGAAGGGTCAACTGCTTCAAGCGCTTGCTACACACTGAAATAATGGTGGATGCTGACCTGTTTAACTTCCATTTTCTCTGTTAAATGACTTTTCAAATAGCAAGCATGGAAGAAACAAGGTTAGGCAGGCTGCGAACCTCAAGATAGGTATATTAAGAAAACGTCTAGGGATCCGTTCCAAGATGGCCAAATAGGAACACCTCCGGTCTGCAGCTCCCAGCGTGATCAACGCAGAAGATGGGTGATTTCTGCATTTCCAACTGAGGTACCTGGTTCATCTCATTGGGACTGGTTGGACAGTGGGTGCAGCCCATGGAGGGCGAGCTGAAGCAGGGCAGGGCGTCGCCTCACCCAGAAAGTGCAAGGGGTCGGGGGATTTCCCTCTCCTAGCCAAGGGAAGCCATGACAGACTGTACCTGGAAAAATGGGATACTCCCACCCAAATACTGTGCTTTTCCCAAGGTCTTAGCAACCGGCAGACAAGGAGATTCTCTCCCATGCCTGGCTCGGCAGGTCCCACGCCCACGGAGCCTTGCTCACTGCTAGCGCAGCAGTCTGAGATTGAACTGTGAGGCAGCAGCCTGGCTGGGGGAGGGGTGTCCGCCATTGCTGAGGCTTCAGTAGGTAAACAAGTGGCCAGGAAGCTCGAACTGGGCAGAGCCCGCTGCAGCTCAGCAAAGCCTACTGCCTCTAGACTCCACCTCTCTGGGCAGGGCTTAGCTGAACAAAAGGCAGCAGACAACTTCTGCAGACTTAAACATCCCTGTCTGACAGCTCTGAAGAGAGCAGTGGCTCCCCCAACGTGGTGCTTGAGCTCTGAGAACGGACAGACTGCCTCCTCAAGGGGGTCCCTGACCCCCGTATGGCCTAATTGGGAGACACCTCCCAGTAGGGGCCGACAGACACCTCATATAGGCGGGTGCCCCTCTGGGATGAAGCTTCCAGAGGAAGGATCAGGCAGCAATATTTGCTGTTCTGCAGCCTCTGCTGGTGATACCCAGGCAAACGGGGTCTGGAGTGGACCTCCAGCAAACTCCAACAGACCTGCAGCTGAGGGACCTGACTGTTAGAAGGAAAACTAACAAACAGAAAGGAATAGCATCATCATCAACAAAAACAACATCTACACCAAAACCCCATCTGTAGGTCACCAACATCAAAGACCAAAGGCAGATAAAACCACAAAGATGGGGAGGAACCAAAACAGAAAAGCTGAAAATTCTAAAAATGAGAGTGCCTCTTCTCCTCCAAAGGATTGCAGCTCCTCGCCAGCAATGGAACAAAGCTGGACGGAGAATGACTTTGATGAGTTGACAGAATGAGGCTTCAAAAGGTCGGTAATAACAAACTTCTCTGAGCTAAAGGAGCATGTTTGAACCCATCTCAAGGAAGCTAAAAACCTTGAAAAAAGATTAGACGAATGGCTAACTAGAATAAACAGTGTAGAGAAGACCTTAAATGACCTGAGGGAGCTAAAAACCATGGCACAAGAACTTCATGATGCATACACAAGCTTCAATAACTGATTTGATCAAGTAGAAGAAAGGGTATCAGTGATTGAAGATCAAATTAATGAAATAAAGCGAGAAAACAAGGTTAGAGAAAAAAGAATAAAAAGAAACGAACAAAGCCTCCAAGAAATATGGGACTATGTGAAAAGACCAAATCTACGTTTGACTGGTGTACCTGAAAGTGATGGGGAGAATGGAACCAAGTTGGAAAACACTCTTCAGGATATTATCCAGGAGAACTTCCCCAACCTAGCAAGGCAGGCCAACATTCAAATTCAGCAAATACAGAGAATACCACAAAGATACTCCTCGAGAAGAGGAACCCCAAGACACGTAATTGTCAGATTCACCAAGGTTGAAATGAAGGAAAAAAATGTTAAGGGCAGCA
Source organism: Homo sapiens (assembly GCF_000001405.40). Classification (NCBI taxonomy): domain Eukaryota; kingdom Metazoa; phylum Chordata; class Mammalia; order Primates; family Hominidae; genus Homo; species Homo sapiens. The sequence continues at coordinate 13,726,355 of NC_000023.11, forward strand.
GAGAGAAAGGTCGGGTTACCCACAAAGGGAAGCCCATCAGACTAACAGCAGATCTCTCAGCAGAAACTCTACAAGCCAGAAGAGAGTGGGGGCCAATATTCAGCATTCTTAAAAGAATTTTCAACCCAGAATTTCATATCCAGCCAAACTAAGCTTCATAAGTGAAAGAGAAATAAAATCCTTTACAGAGAAGGAAATGATGAGAGATTTTGTCACCACCAGGCCTGCCTTACAAGAGCTCCTGAAGGAAGCACTAAACATAGAAAGAAACAACCGGTACCAGCCACTGCAAAAACAGGCCAAATTGTAAAAGACCATTGATGCTATGAAGAAACTGCATCAGTTAACAGGCAAAATAACCAGCGAACATCATAATGACAGGATCAAATTCACACATAACAATATTAACCTTAAATGTAAATGGACTAAATGCTCCAATTAAAAGACACAGACTGGCAAACTGGATAAAGAATCAAGACCCATCAGTGTGCTGTATTCAGGAAACCCATCTGATGTGCAAAGACACACATAGGCTCAAAATAAAGGGATGGAGGAAGATCTACCAAGCAAATGGAAAGCACAAAAAAGCAGGGGTTGCAATCCTGGTTTCTGATAAAACAGACTTTAAACCAACAAAGATCAAAAGAGACAAAGAAGGCCATTACATAATGGTAAAGGGATCAATTCAACAAGAAGAGCTAACTATCCTAAATATATATGCACCCAATACAGGAGCACCTAGATTCATAAAGCAAGTCCTTAGAGACCTACAAAGAGACTTAGACTCCCACACAATAATAATGGGAGACTTTTAACACCCCACTGTCAATATCAGATCAACAAGACAGGTTAACAAGGATATCCAGGACTTGAACTCAGCTCTGCACCAAGTGGACCTAATAGACATCTACAGAACTCTCCACCCCAAATCAACAGAATATACATTCTTCTCAGCACCACATTGCACTTATTCTAAAATTGACTACATAATTGGAAGTAAAGCACTCCAGCAAATGTAAAAGAACACAAATCACAAAAAACTGTCTCTCAGACCACAGTGCAATCAAATTAGAACTCAGGATTTAAAAACTCACTCAAAACTGCTCAACTAAATGGAAATTGAACAACTTGCTCCTGAATGACTACTGGGTAAATAACGAAATGAAGGCAGAAATAAAGATGTTCTCTGAAACCAAAGAAAACAAAGACACAAAGTATCAGAATCTCTGGGACACATTTAAAGCAGTGTGTAGAGGGAAATTTATAGCACTAAATGCCCACAACAGAAAGCAGGAAAGATTTAAAATCTACACCCTAACATTGCAATTAAAAGAACTAGAGAAGCAAGAGCAAACAAATTCAAAAGCTAGCAGAAGACAAGAAATAACTAAGATCAGAGCAGAACTGAAAGAGATAAACACACGAAAAACCCTTTAAAAAATCAATGAATCCAGGAGCTGGTTTTTTCAAAAGATCAACAAAATTGATAGACCACTAGCAAGACTAATAAAGAAGAAAACAGAGAAGAATCAGATAGATGCAATAAAAAATGATAAAGGGGATATCACCACCGATCCCACAGAAATACAAACTACCATCAGAGAATACTATAAACACCTCTACGCAAATAAACTGGAAAATCTAGAAGAAATGGATAAATTCCTGGACACATACACTCTCCCAAGGCTAAACCAGGAAGAAGTTGAATCCCTAAATAGACCAATAACAGGTTCTGAAATCGAGGCAATAATTAATAGCTTACCAACCAAAAAAAGTCCAGGACCAGATGGATTCACATCCGAATTCTACCAGAGGTACAAAGAGGAGCTGGTACCATTCCTTCTGAAACTATTCCAATCAACAGAAAAAGAGGGAATCCTCCCTAACTCATTTTATGAAGCCAACATCATCCTGATACCAAAGCCTAGCAGAGACACAATAAAAAAAGAGAATTTTAGACCAATATCCCCGATGAACATTGATGCGAAAATCCTCAATAAAATACTGGCAAACCGAATCCAGTAGTACATCAAAAAGCTTATCCACCATGATCAGGTCAGCTTCACCCCTGGGATGCAAGGCTGGTTCAACATACGCAAATCGATAAACATAATCCATCACATAAACAGAACCAACGACAAAATCCACATGATTATCTCAATAGATGCAGAAAAGGCCTTTGACAAAATTCAACAGCCCTTCATGTTAAAAACTCTCAATAAACTAGGAATTGATAGAACATATCTCAAAATAATAAGAGCTATTTATGACAAACCCACAGCCAATATCATACTGAATGGGCAAAAACTGGAAGCATTCCCTTTCAAAACTGGCACAAGACAAGGATGCCCTCTCTCACCACTCCTATTCAACATAGTGTTGGAAGTTCTGGCCAGGGCAATCAGGCAAGAGAAAGAACTAAAGGGTATTCAATTAGGAAAAGAGGAAGTCAAGTTGTCCCTGTTTGCAGATGACATGATTGTAAATTTAGAAAACCCCATGGTCTCAGTCCAAAATCTCCTTAAGCTGATAAGCAGCTTCAGCAAAGTCGCAGGATACAAAATCAATATGCAAAAATCACAAGCATTCCTATACACCAATAATAGACAGAGAGCCAAAGCATGGGTGAACTCCCATTCACAATTGCTACAAAGAGAATAAAATACCTAGGAATCCAACTTACAAGGGACGTGAAGGACCTCTTCAAGGAGAACTACAAACCACTGCTCAGTGAAATAAAAGAGGATACAAACAAATGGAAGAACATTCCATGCTCATGGATAGGAAGAATCAATATCATGAAAATGGCCATACTGCCCAAGGGTAATTTATAGATTCACTGCCATCCCCATCAAGCTACCAATGACTTTCTTCACAGAATTGAAAAAAACTACTTTAAAGTTCATATGGAACCAAAAAAGAGCCCACATTGCCAAGACAATCCTCAGCCAAAAGAAGAAAGGTGGAGGCATCATGCTACCTGACTTCAAACTATACTACAAGGCTACAGTAACCAAAACAGCATGGTACTGGTACCGAAACAGATATATAGACCAATGGAACAGAACAGAGGCCTCAGAAATAACACCACACATCTACAACCATCTGATCTTTGACAAACCTGACAAAAACAAGAAATGGGGAAAGGATTCCCTATTTAATAAATGGTGCTGGGAAAACTGGCTAGCCATATGTAGAAACCTGAAACTGGATCCCTTCCTTACACCTTATACAAAAATTAATTCAAGATGGATTAAAGACTTAAATGTTAGGGCTGGGCACGGTGGCTCAAGCCTGTAATCCCGGCACTTTGGGAGGCTGAGGTGGTCATATCACCTGAGGTAGGGAGTTCAAGATCAGCCTGACCAACATGGAGAAACCCCGTCTCTACTAAAAATACAAACTTAGCCGGGCGTGGTGGCACATGCCTGTAATCCCTGCTACTCGGGAGGCAGAAGCAGAAGAATTGCTTGAATCCAAGAGGTGGAGGTTGCAGTGAGTCAAGATTGCACCATTGCACTCCAGCCTGGGCAACAAGAGTGAAACTTCGTCTCAAAAAACAAAAAACAAACAAAAAAAAGACTTAAATGTTAGACCTAAAACCATAAAAACTCTAGAGGAAAACCTAGGCAATACCATTCAGGACACAGGCATGGGCAAGGACTTCATGACTAAAACACCAAAAGCAATGACAACAAAAGCCAAAATAGACAGATGGGATCTAATTAAACTAAAGAGCTTCTGCACGGCAAAAGAAACTACCATCAGAGTGAACAGGCAACCTACAGAATGGGAGAAAATGTTTGCAATCTACCCATCTGACGAAGGGCTAATATCCAGAATCTACAAAGAACTCAAACAAATTTATAAGAAAAAAAAAAACCCCATCAAAAAGTGGGCAAAAGATATGAACAGAGACTTCTCAAAAGAAGACATCTATGCAGCCAACAGACACATGAAAAAAATGCTCATCACTGGTCATTAGAGAAATGCAAATCAAAACCACAAAGAGATACCATCTCACGCCAGTTAGAATGGCAATCATTAAAAAGTCAGGAAATAACAGATGCTGGAGAGGATGTGGAGAAATAGGAACACTTTTACACTGTTGGTGGGAGTGTAAATTAGTTCAATCATTGTGGAAGACAGTGTGGCGATTCCTCAAGGATCTAGAGGTAGAAATACCATTTGACCCAGCAAACTTATTGCTGGGTATATACCCAAAGGATTACAAATCATGCTACTATAAAGACACAAGCACACGTATGTTTATTGTGGCACTATTCACAATAGCAAAGACTTGGAATGAACCCAAATGTCCATCAATGATAGACTGGATTAGGAAAATGTGGCACATATACACCATGGAATACTATGCAGCCATAAAAAAGGATGAGTTCATGTCCTTTGTAGGGACATGGATGAAGCTGGAAACCATCATTCTGAGCAAACTATCACAAGGACAGAAAAGCAAACACTGCATGTTCTCACTCATAGGTGGGAATTGAACAATGAGATCACTTGGACACAGGGCAGGGAATATCACACACTGGGGCCTGTCAGGGGGTGGGGGGCTGGGGGAGGGATAGCATTAGGAGGAATACCTAATGTAAATGATGAGTTAATGGGTGCAGCAAACCAACATGGCACATGTATACCTATGTATCAAACCTGCATGTTGTGCACATGTACCCTAGAACTTAAAAGTATAACTAAAGAAAAAAGAAAACATCTAGACATTTCAATAAATCCAAGTCATCAGGTCCTGACAAATTATATACCTTGGATTAACAAATGTGATTGCATAACTGCTGATCAGTGACATTTGAGAAATTGCAAGAAAAATGCCATATCATCCGCTAGGTTAAATGCTATTCCTATTTTCAGAAACAGGAAAAAGGCTTATCTCCTAGTCTATAACAGGGTACATTCAGAGCGACTAGAACACCAACAGAAACGTGTATTAAATGTTTATTTTCAGTCAGATGCCATGCCAGGCACTTTTATTATACATTAACTCATTTAATGTGAATCCCTAGATAAAAACAGATTATTCATTCATATACTCCTGGTTGTACTAGAACAAGTCATACCAAATTTACATTTTTTGTTTCTGAAGGGAGATACGGTAGGTAAACAGAAAGTCATTTTACGAAATATTTTGGTATCTACCTAAGAACAAACTGGAGTCCTGGAGCCTGAGTGAAAATACAGTCTTGCTAGAATGTTGCCCTCCATGAGAGCAGATACACCATTCGTCTCATTCACTATGGTATACCTAGAGCTACAACAGTGCCAGGGACCCAGAAAGCACTCATTATTTGCTGAATGAGGGATGGCTCATAGCCGACTTGAGTGTCAATACTCGGAGAACATTGGGTGCTCCGTGTCAATTTATGGCACAGGGTCTCTAGTAAGGCTTTGAGGTTGACCTTAACCTAGTCTAGCTCAGTATTTGAATCAATAACTTGAATGAAGATAACTTATCACATTCAAAGATAACACCAAGGGCAGCTAACTTATTAGAAGGCAGAAGTTAGGATTAAAAAAGATCTCCATGGCTAGGAGAGTAAGGTGAAATTAACAAGATAGAAGTTAAGAGGATAAGAAAGCAAGCCCTGTACTTGGGCTTAAAAATCAACTGTACAAAAGGACAAGGGAAACCTAGATTAAGAACAGTTCATCTACATCAACCCAAAAGTTCTGCAAGCTCAGTAAGAGGCAAAAGTCTGATAGGTTTGTCAAAAAAGCTAATCAATTCTAGGTGGCATTAAGAGCAAGGTCAGGGAGAATGCTGATGTCCTCTTCAATAATATTATCATCTTTGGGGAAGGTACTCAGTTCTGGGAATCATATTGTAAAAGGATCAATAACTCTGTGTGTTACAGGGGAAGGGAGGGCAGGATCTAGGCTAGGAAATGCTCTGGAAACCAGACAAGAGCAACTGAAGTAACAGAGGATGTTTAAACGGAGTAGGGGAGACCTTTTTGGGGTGGAAAGGGAGTGGGGTACAGCACAGTACTATCTTTAAATACGATAAGCTATCTAATGAAAAAGGGACTTGGCTAGGGATGGCAAATGAGTTTCCTTTCATAAGCGAATTCTAATCAACTGGTAGTGACTGCCAGGAACTGGCGCTGAGAAAGATTCTGAGACTAAATGTGGTCACCAGGAAAGAATGCTGTGATCAATTATCCATGTCTGCTATGAATTTGGGGAAGTGCAGTACCTACAGGAGGGCCAAGTATTTGCTGACTCTGGACTACACAGACTTATTCCAAACCGTTCCATAGGCCAAGCCCAGGGCTGCTCATTTGAAGTCACTGGGAAACTAGAAACTAAGGGGTGGGTGGAACACCAACAGTGCCAGAGTGGGAGGATGCTCAGTGAACTTGGAAGTCTCTTAAGTTGTAGACAAATGCAAGATAAAACTCATGGACTCCAGTTCCAAAGACATCCATTTTTGTAGCATGCCTCTTTACAACCTCTATAGAAGAGCTTCTAGAAAAACTGCCCTGTGCTCGCGAGAGCAGTGATTTCAGTTGTTCCATAAACCTGGGGTCATGAGACTAAACTGGTATGGCATGGGACATGTCTATTACAATGAGGAGGGGCAGTAGGAATACTACTGATAGGTCTTTAATGTGACATTTTTCTATTAATATTATAAGCAATTCTCCCTCCCCTAGAAGTTATGCTAGTTTTTGGAGAACATTTTATCTAATTATATTCATGTATTCAACTGTGGGACCAAAGGTGGAGGTGGGAGTAAGGGGGTCTTCAGGAACATTTTTTTTTTTTAAACAGTGGACAAGTGATTCTACTTAACAACATTTACAACATATCAACATCTTTTTAGAACACTGTTTTCATCATTCCACTCAAAAGCCTTTGATGCATCTCAGCTACAGGATCATGTACTAGTATTCAAGATTCCCACATTGCTCCACGTGTCTTTTCTCAGCCCTATTGTTCCACCTCTGCTAGCGTTGACTCGTTTACTTATTTTTTCTCCCAAATTCACTTTGACTATATCGAGTTCAGAGCTACTATCATTTCTCTCTTCATGCCTGGAATGTTCTCCTTTATTCTGTCTGCAACCACTACCCATCCTTTAAAATCCAACTAAGCCTCTCCTCCTTTTCCATTGTTTCCAACAAAAACTTACAGGTTCTCCACCTCCTATGAAGTCCTGTCACTCTTACTGCCTCTTAAATACTTTAAGTTTTTCACAGCCAGAGATCAAAACTCATCGTACTCATCTTCAATGCTGTACACAAAGCTGACATCCAATTCTGTCCTCACAGGACTTAGATACCATATAAGGCTTATATTCCCAGCACACAACTCTGGAGTCAGGCTAGATTCCTCACTGCTCCCAAGAAGGTCGTGGCTTTTTTTTTTCTTTTAATGATTCCTTTGCTCATTTTTCCCCTTCCTGTGATGTTCTCCTTTTTGCTCACCACCCGAATCCTACCCATCAAGGCCCCGATAAAGACACACTTTTTCCACAGAGATGATCTGGATCACTTCCATCTTCAACCACCTCCCCTTTAAACTCTTTATCCAGTCTACAATGTATCTTAGTTCTTGTTCAATTCTCTGGCTGTAACATTTTCATTATCGCTTCTGAGAGGTTTGGTTCCTTTCCTTTCTAATTACATTTAAGCATCATGAGGACTGGCTCACCTTTACCTCACAGCACACAATGGTTGGTACTCTAAAACGTTTAGCTCTGTGGATCTCAACCCGGAGCGATCTTGCTTCCAAGAGGACATCTGGCAATATCTGGAGACATCTTTGGTTGTCACACTTGGGGGAGAAGGTGATACTGACAAAATAGAGAGCAAGGATACAGCTAAACCTACAATGCACAGGACAGCCTCCCAAAACAAAGAATCTTCCGGCTCCAAAAGGCAACAGTGCAGCCGTTAAGAAACCCTGGGTTAGCTGAATGACCCAGTGAACCGCGAAACCACAGCCCCCGAGAGGGCGGACGTCTGCAGGTGGAAGGGCTGCGCGGATGAGCCAGCGGAGGGCTGGCAGGTCCGGCCCGGCCACCCCGGGGAGGGGTGGAGGTACAGGACCAACATCCGCGTCACGCAGGGGCTACGAAGTCCTCCAGGGACTCAAAACACCCGCCCCCCGCCGCACTTGCTCCATTCCCTACCTGCAGTGGGAGGCCGACAACGGAAACGCAATGTCAGTTTCCGCGGAAGAGACCCGCGCCCCGAACCTGTAGCCAGAACGCCGAAGCAGTTCTCGCGATACCCTGGGATGTGCTCTCGCGATACGTAGGCGGAGCTTCCGGCCGGTGCTGGGCAACCAAGCTCATGCGCCGTAGCTCTTCAGCTCGGGAAGGCTATATTTAGCAGGTTTCCGGAAGTTGCCGGACTGGCTGTGAGGCGGTCCTGCCTCGCTGCCTTCAGTCCCTAGTGTCTGGGTCCCCGCCCTCCAGCCGCCTTTGAGTCGTGCCTGGGTCCTCGCCCTTGCCTCAGAACCGCGAAGAAAGGAAGCTCGCGTGTTTGCTAGAAAACCTAGTTGGGAGTGCGAGGCAGAGAACGTTCAGCACCTTTGTTCCTCCCGAACCCTCGGGACAGAGGCAGGGTTCTGAGGGCAGGGATTCCCCCTCGTCTTGGCCCCACCGCCCGGGCTGGGCACTAAACTCGGGCCGCGGCGGGGCGAGCGAGGCGGGCTCCGGAGGGAGCTGACGCCTGATGATGGCGCAGGTAGACACACCTGCCCCTTCTCGGGCGGAAATAAAGTCTTGTTTTGTGTTCGTTAAACTTTCGCCGCTAGGCCTCTTATGGCTTCCCCGGAGGCCACTGGTCTGTTTTCAGACGTTCACGTTCCCTCTGCCCCGCAGGTAACCTATAACCATTTTGTCTTTTAGTCCAACATGTTTACCGTGGCTGATGTGTTGAGTCAAGATGAACTGCGCAAAAAGCTATACCAGACGTTTAAGGATCGGGGTATACTGGATACACTCAAGGTATCGGATTTAGGCGTATCTGTGTCAGCTTTTACAAGTGTAACCTGTAACAGGTAGTTCAAATTCAATCAAGGTTTAGGTTTTAATAATCGTATGATACATAGATTGTATTGGTGAATTACATTTTTATATTCCCGAATAACTCTGTATCCTGAAACATTACAGTCTCTTGAAAATGTTTGAGAAAATGTTGAGTTTGAGTCGTCTTAAAGGAGCATATTCAAATAATTAATTGAACTGACAATAAGATAGGAGAAGGAAATATTTGTATAATGAACACAGTAAGATTAGGCTTGTTTTATAAATATGGCTTATAGGTTCCTAAATTAATAAGTGGGTTTGTAATACATTTGGATGAAGGACATTGACACCATATAGAAAATACTAGTGTACTGCTTAATAATAGTTTGGGAAATGAAAAATTTTATCTTTAAACTATATTGAAATGTATGAATGTTTAGTTTGGGCAGAAAATACCTATTAGTATGCTTTATATTTGGATTAACAGCCAGGAGTAGGATTAGCTCAACGTGTTTTCATTGAAATATGCATTTCAAAAGCATATTTTACGTTTAAAATATGTAGCTATATCCTGTGTATGTATCCTTTTTTAATTTAAATTATATGGTGAGCATTTCCCTGTTTCCTTAAAAGTTTTTTGAAATCTTCATTTTCAGTGGCAACAGGCTTATCTTTGGATATTTTTGTAATGTATATAGCAGTCCCCTGTTGTTGAATATTTTGGTTATATTCTCCAACAGTCCACAGAGGTGTGATGAAGTGGCAGAATTTTTTCCTATACTTAATATCCCAATCGTAAGCTGCTGAAATGGGCTTCTAGGGAAGTGAAGTTATGAGTCTGCAAGTGGATCTGGCTAACCACCCGTTTCATTTGGAAGCTGGGGAAAGAAAGCTTTTTCTAGAACCCACTGGACTGCTTGTCTCACGGGGTAAGACAAAGTGTGCAGGGGAAGGTTTCTAACTTCTGGCCATGGATCTAGAACCATTATGGAAATAGAAGGAAGGTTTCCAATGAATGTAGCTCATCTGTGTATATCTCTAATGAAACAGTCCTGCTGAAATTTCTTTCCCTTGTGTTTCTTTTTTATTTTTGTTTTTATTTTATGCTAGACACAACTTCGAAACCAGCTAATTCATGAGTTGATGCACCCTGTATTGAGTGGAGAACTGCAGCCTCGGTCCATTTCAGTAGAAGGGAGCTCCCTCTTAATAGGCGCCTCTAACTCTTTAGTGGCAGATCACTTACAAAGATGTGGCTATGAATATTCACTTTCTGTTTTCTTTCCAGAAAGTGGTTTGGCAAAAGAAAAGGTAAAGTCTTTCCTTTTCTGTTTCTGAAGTTTTTATTAACAGGTTCTTCCTCTGCTGACAGTAAAGTGCTGTATGATAGCTAAGTGCTCCTCGACTAGGTCCATTTCTGTTTCCTCTTTGAATTCACATTGTACCTGCACATAATATATTTGTTATATAACAAGTGGGTACTAAATTTGAAATTAATTTCTTGGCGTCTCATTTAGTCTCACATAAAACAGTGATGTATAGAATCTCTAAATGTTTCAGACCTATAATTGATCTATCTATCCTCTATCTTGTCTAATAAGACTCTGCCAATCTGCTGAATGTCTGCTGTAAGCTTGGCACTGTGATAGGCACACTGCAGATGTTTTGTGTGTTACGGATGAGGAACCAGACTCTGGAGAGGTGAATCAATTTGCCCAACATCAAGTAACTTTTAAGTGACAATGCAGGGTGGTAAATCTAGATCTCTAACATGAGCTCTTTTTTTCCTGCACTAGTTTCTTCAGATGTTTCTCTTTGTAATTAGATAAGTGAGAAATACGTAATTTAAAAAATCTGTAAAGTTCTCAAATATTAAAAACACTTGTTTTTTTTTTTTACTACTTTTCTAATTATTTTAACTATATTTCTTCACCATTACTGTTGAACATTAGTACTACTTTATTATTTTAAAGGCAGATACAGCAGACTTTCCCTGTGGATATGTGCGTGTTTTTTTTTTTTTAATAGACTTTATTTTTTCAGAGCAGTTTTGGGTTCACAGCAAAGTTAAGTGGGAAGTACAGAGAATTCCCATATACCTGCTGCCCCTACACACTCATAGCCTCCCCCACTGTCAACATCTTGCATCAAGGTGGTACATTTGCTACAATCTATAAGCCTACCCTGACATGTCATTATCACCCAGAGGCCATAGTTTACAGTGAAGGTTGCAGTGAGCCGAGATCATGCCACTGCACTCCAGCCTGGGTGACAGAGCGAGACTGTCTCAAAAATAAAATAAATTTCACTCTTGGTGGTGTTCATATGTTTTTACTTTCTTTGTGTTTTCTGTAATTATCCAAAAGTTTCATATTCCAAAGTTTTAGTGACACAAGCTTAGTACAGTATTTGAATGAAAACTTAAATAATTTGCATTTCTTCATAAGCAACCAAATTTTATTTGTCAGCATTAGGAATTTATTTATTAATTTATGTTTTTGAGACAGAGTCTTGCTCTGTTACCCAGTCTGGAGTGCAATGGCGCAGTCTTGGCTCACTGCAACCTCTGCCTCCTGTGTTCAAGCAATTCTCCTGCCTCAGCCTCCCAAGTAGCTGGGATTACAGGTGCCCACCACTACACCTGGCTAACTTTTTTATTTTTAGTAGAGAGGAGGTTTCACCATGTTGGCCAGGCTGGTCTCGAATCCTGACCCCAGGTGATCTGCCCACCTCAATCTCCCAAAGAGCTGGGATAACAAGCATGAGCCCTCGTGTCTGGCCTGGAATTCATTTTTGATACATCATTCTCTAACTTTCTAATCACTTTATACTTTTACTTATTGTGTAATAGTCAATAATACAATTATATAGCAGGAATTAATCCTATTCATACAACTTAACGGTTTCTACTAATGTAAAATGCCCATGCAGAATATTTACTTTAAAGGAAAACCAATTGAAAACAAATATCAGTGTTCTCAGAGCAGACATAGTGAATGGTATATACTGTAGTAGAAATATATTTTAATAGCTACCCAAAATGTCTGTTAAACAATATTTTAAGTACACTTTAATTACGGTTTTAAGGACAGTAAAAATCTATTTACATTTTTAAACAATGAATACTTTTTAAAAAATTGTAATTGAATGACCCAGGAACTCAGTCATGTAGTCATTGGTTCATCAGATATTTCAGTGTCATCTGTAAGGCATTAAACATTTAGGCATATCATCTTTGATGTGAAGTACTTAGAAGTTAATTAGATGATAAAGATATTTTATCCTTTTGACCTTGATATGTTTATAGTAATTTATTTAACAGTGTAAGAAAGAGCTTGAAATTTGCTTTATTAGCATAGTTATAATCTTATTTAATCTGAAGGATGTTTCTTAATTTCATATTCAGAAACATATCCTAATTTATCATTTAAACACTGATATAAAAATATGTCTACTTAGTAACCTATTTTTTCTTAAGGTATTTACTATGCAGGATCTATTACAACTCATTAAAATCAACCCTACTTCCAGTCTCTACAAATCACTGGTAAGATGGCTTAGTTTCTGTAATCTACTTTGGTTTGTTAATTATAACTGAATAGCTGAATAAAAGTGAAATATTTTCTTTTAACAGGTTTCAGGATCTGATAAAGAAAATCAAAAAGGTAGGAGCCGTCATCTTTGTAGAGAACAGCAACAGTTTTCTATGTACTTTTTCCTCTAAAAGAATGAAGCAAATTTTTAGGGAGAAGAGTAAAATTTAATTTGATTTAAATTATTTGATTTCTGCAGGTCATTTCCCCTATATTTCCATTTTTGTAATAACTTTTAGATATTCAATTAAAAAAACTGTAGACAGTATCAAAGGCCCTACAGACAGGCTGAAAGATACTGTTTGTAAAAATACCCACTGTTGGGAATATTTCTGCAAAAAAAAAAAAAAAAAACTAATAACTTTTAGGCCAAGTGTCTTTGTATACTAGGTATCCCTCTCAAGTATAATTGGTAGGGTATTAGATGTATTAATATTTCCTTAAAGAATGAGAGTTGTGTTCAGTAATGTGTTATATATCTTTTGTTCTTAAATGTTTATACAGGCCGGGCGTGGTGGCTCATGCCTGTAATCCCAGCACTTTGGGAGGCTGAGGCGGGTGGATCACCTGAGGTCGGGAGTTCGAGATCAGCCTGACCAACCTGGAGAAACCCCGTTTCTACTAAAAATACAAAAAAATTAGCTAGGCGTAGTGGCGCATGCTTGTAATCACAGCTACTCAGGAGGCTGAGGCAGGAGAATCGCTTGAACCCGGAAGGCAGAGGTTGCGGTGAGCTGAGATCACGCCATTGCACTCCTGCCTGGGCAACAAGAGCAAAACTCCGTCTCAAAAAAAAAAAAAATGTTTATATAGACCTAATAAATTGCCTTAATTTTGGCCTTGATAATAGCCATTCATAGAGTCCATAACTACTGTGGGTTTCAGGCCATTGGTTAGACTTGATGATGGGCTTTGTAGCATGAACATAAGCTGGCAACTTGGCTTTGATGCATAGTTATTCTTTAGGTCTTTTAAAATAATCTGTTAGTAATAGTCCTTTTGTGTTGGTACACCCTTGGATTTTGTCTGTTGCCTGCACTATCATCCCCACAAGGACATTCATTTATTCATCCATTCATTCGCCAATTCATTTAGAACTTAATCATTTGAATACTTATTTTCTGCCAGCCATTAAGTCTGTGACTTAATCGCCAAGTCTCTTGGTAGTAATGTTAGCAGAATATAAATAAATTGGAGCACAAGATATTCTGGACTGCCCGCAAACTAGACCATCTCTACTGAAGTTCAGTATGGTAAATGATCCTATATTCTGTACTCTAAGTGTCGTCCAGTGTGACTCTCTGTGATTATGGAAATGTCTGTGTCTATGCTGTTTAATGTGGTAGCTGCTATCCTCATGTGGCTTTTGAGCCTTGAAATGTGGCTAGTGTGACTGGATAACTGAATTTTTAATTTACATTTAATTAGCTACACTTGCATAGTGACTACCATATTAGCATAATTCTGAGGTATATAGCTAGTATCTTTTGCTTAACTATTACTTCAAAAGGAAATTTGTGGCTTGAAGGGATATTAAGAAATAATCTATGGGCCAGGCACGGTGGCTCATGCTTGTAATCCCAGCACTTTGGGAGGGCAAACCTGGCTGATCACTTGAGGTCAGGGGTTCAAGACCAGCCTGGCCAACATGGTGAAACCCCATCTCTACTAAAAATACAAAAATTAGCCAGGCGTGGTGGTGAGTGCCTGTAATCCCAGCTACTTGGGAGGCTGAGGCAGGAGAATCGCTTGAACCAGAGAGGCGAAGGTTGCGGTGAGCCAAGATAGCGCCACTGCACTCCAGCCTGGGTGACAGAGCTGGACTCCATCTCAAAAAAAAAAAAAAAATCTATGTAGTTACTATAGATACATTATCCTTAAAAGTAGTTTTTCCATGGCCGGGCGCAGTGGCTCACGCCTGTAATCCCAGCACTTTGGGAGGCTGAGGCGGGCGGATCACGAGGTCGGGAGAGCAAGACCATCCTGGCCAACATGGTGAAACCCCGTCTCTACTAAAATACAAAAAAAAGTTAGCCAGGCCTGGTGGCGTGCACCTGTAGTCCCAGCTATTTGGGAGGCTGAGGCAGGGGAATCGCTTGAACCCAGGAGGCAGAGGTTACAGTGAGCCAAGATCACGCCACTGCGCTCCAGCCTAGCGACAGAGCAAGACTCCGTCTCAAAAAAAAAAAAATAGTTTTTACACAGTCTCTTTAAATGCATCTGGTTCAGAAAGACATCTGGCCGACAGCCCTTACCAGCTTCACCTAGCATCCCAGTAAAATTTCTGGAAGCCAGAAAAACTATGAGTAGCAGATAGGTCAGGCATCCTAGTGCCAAAATTTGGATAGAACTCTTAGCTAACAAAATAGCTCCTGGTAAGATAAAATTTTTTTAAAAATTGGTGTCTTCTAATTAAGTAACAGAAAACATGTAGGAAGATATTGTGTACTTAACCGTTGTCTGTCCCCTGACTCAGACCTATGGTCTTATCCTACCATATCTATGCTCAGGGGGTGCTAAGCTGTTGAATGGCCTTGGTACTTTTCCTCCTAGATTCTAGTCACCCATTCTTCCCACTGCTAATTTTCCTTTCAGAGATAATGATATCTGTTATGCGTGTCTGTGTGAAGAGACCACCAAACAGGCTTTGTGTGAGGAACAAGGCTGTTTATTCACTTGGGTGCAAGTGGGTTGAGTCCGAAAAGAGAGTCAGTGAAGGGAGATAGGAGAGGGGCAGCTTTATAGGGCTTGAGTAGGCAGTGGAAAGTTACAGTTAAAGGTGGTTATTTATTGTTAGCAGGGGAGGGGGTCCCAAGGTGCATGGTGGAGAGATCTTGGGACTCATTGTCCAGAAGAAGAATGTCACAAGGTCGATTGATCAGTTGGGGCAGGGCAGAACAAGTCATAATGGTGGAATGTCGTAAGGTTGGTCAGTCAGTTAAGGCAGGAGCTGTTTCACTTCTGTGGTTTTTTAGCTGGCTCCTGCAGGCCATCTGGACGTATATATGCAGGTTACGGGGGTTACAATGGCTGAGCTTCGGCTCAGAGGCCTGACAATATCCAGAAAATGATGTGCACAAAATTTGGATGAGGGAAGAAAATTTGGACATCGGCCCTTTGCTTTTTGGAAGTAAAAATTCTTATCTGCAATTGGCAAAAGAATAAGACATATACATCAATGGGGACAGAATTAGGAAGTCCAGAAATACATCCACACAAATATAGTCAATTGATTTTTTTTTTAACAAAGGTGCAAAGGCAATTCAATAGAGGAAAGATAGTCTTTTCAACAAGTGGTGCTGTAACAGTTGGATATTCATATGCGCAAAAATGAACCTAGACACAGATCTTATTTATTATACCTTACACAAAAACTAACTCAAAATGAACCATAGACCTAAATGTAAAATGCAAAACTATAAAACTTCCAGATGAGAACAGTAGAAAGTCTGTGATCTTGGGTTTCGTGATGAGATGTAACACCAAGAGCAAGATACATGAAAGAAAAAAGTAGATCAGTTAGACTTTATTAAAATTAAAAACATCTCTGTGAAAGACACTGTTCTTTTTGTTTTGTTTTTGAGACGGAGTTTCACTCTGCCACCCAGGCTGGAGTGCAGTGGCGTGACCTCGGCTCACTGCAGCCTCTGCCTCCTGGGTTCAAGTGATTCTCCTGTCTCAGCCTCCTGAGTAGCTGGAACTACAGGCGCCTGCCACCACGCCTGGCTAATTTTTTTGTGTTTTCAATAGAGATGGGGTTCACCATGTTGATCAGGCTGGTCTCGATCCCCTGACCTCAGGTGATCGCCTGCCTCAGCCTCCCAGAGTGCTGGGATGACAAGCGTGAGCCACTGTACCCTGCCAAAAGACGCTGTTAAGAGAATGAAAGACCCAGTGTCGAAACCCATAGAGCTTTACGTCATCAAGAGTGAACCTTAATGTTTGCAAATTTAGGTCAGGTGATCCCAGGATGGTATGCAGACTGTGACAAAATCTAATCCCCTTCCTGAAGGGAGTGGGGGTGGGGGAAAAGGTGCTGAGCTAACTACTGTTTTTAGTTCCAAGAAACTAAACATTTCTTAAGTAATTTATGCTTGTGGTTTAAAACAGTTTCAAACTATTCAGAAGGATATAAAGTGAAAGCAAAGTAGCAGTTTCTGCCCATGTTCTCTAATCTCACGCTCCACTGATAACTAGAATTAACAGTTTCACTCCACTGATAACTAGAATTAACAGTTTCTTGTTTATCTTCTAGAATTGTTTGAGGTTAAAACTATGTATTTGTAATTAAAACACAATCAATTGGGATTATATCGTAGATACTGTATGCAATTTGCTTTTTTTAATCCACCAATGTATCTTTCTGTAGCAGTATAGACTAATTATTTTTAAATAATGTATTTAACCCCCTATTGATGGAGATCTGGTTGTTTTATTGTTTGCTTTTTGCCATTACAGGTAACCTATGTGCAGTGTGCACCCTTTGTGCCCTTGTGAAAGTATACCTGTGTAAATTCATAGAAGTGGAATGACTAGATTAAAGGGCACATGCATTTCGAATATATATAAGCACTGACAAATTTCTCTTCCAAGTGAATGAGTATAGCTATATATCCACTCCCTTGCCAACACTTAGCATTATACAAGTTTTAATCTTAGCAGTGTTATAGGGAAAATAATGGTTTCTCTGTTGTATTAATTTGCATTTATGATTTTGTTCATGTTTATTCAGCATCTAAAAATTGTGTTCATCTTTGACAATGTAGTTTTTTCTGCAAACTACCCATGTTTTTCCCCATTTTTCTGATTTTTTTTTTTTAAACTGATTTGTAAGAGTTCTTTGATGTTATGAAAATGTCATCACTTTAGTCTTGGTTATGCCTCCATATTATTGCAACTATTTTTCCCAGTGTGTTATTTTTTTATTTTATGCCATATGTAAGTTTTCAGTTTTTATGTAGTTAGATTGATAAATATTTCTCCTTATTCCTTCCAGGTTCTGTATCATGCTTGGGAAGGCCTTTTCTCAGATTTATTAAAAGATATGACTGGGCACAGTGGCTCATGCTTGTGATCCCAGCACTTTGGGAGGCCCAGGCAGGAGGATTGCTTGAGGCCATGAGTTTGAGACTAGCCTGGGCAACATAGCAAGACCCTGTTTATACAAAAAGTAAAATTAGCTGGGCGTGGTGGGTGGTGGTGTGCACCTCTAGTCCCAGCTACTTGGGAGACTGATGTAGGAGGATTGCTTGAGCCCAGGAGGTCGAGGCCGCAGTGAGCCATGATTACACCACTGCACTCCAGCCTGGGTGACAGAGCAAGACTTTTGTCTCTAAAAAAAAGGAAAGATATATAATGTAAAAAATGATAATGTCCTAAAACTAAGATTGTAAAAACAGTGACTGAGCAGTGGTTGAAAGTTCTGAAACAAAACTGTATGCATATGTTTTTTAGGTTTTCTTATGCATTTTTTAAAAGAATTGGCAGAATATCATCAAGCTAAAGAGAGTTGTAATATGGAAACTCAGACAAGTTCGACATTTAACAGAGATTCTCTGGGTAATTATAGCCTTCTTTCTTAATTTCAGTTCTGCTGTTTTCATTTTGAATGAAGGAAATTATCTGATTTACCATATTGTGTGATTGCTCCTTGAACTGGAGGGATGCAGCCGGCAGGCAACAAGGGAATTCATTTCTGGAATCATCTTGGGGGACCAGGAAGTGCTCTCCAGTGTCATTCCCTAGCCTCATGAATGCCAGGGCTACACTGGCCAAATCATGCAGGGATTCAAAGGCCCATATTCTTCCTTGTTTGTTGAGTTTGACTTCTCTTAACTGGGAGGTTCTTCCTCGTGTCTTGTCTAACTTTACAGCCACCCAGTTAGAAGATTATAAACTACTTGCTTTGCAAAGTACTAGAGAAGTCAGTGACTTATCACTTCATTTTATAGTTGAGGAAACCGAGGTCCTCAGAGGAAGAGCAACTTGGAAACACTCAGTCTGCATCAGAACTAATAGTGGAGTCCAAGTTCTCCCATCCATGATCTGGAGCTTTTTGTACTATCCAGCTGGTCTGCAGTACCATCCTGTCTGTCAGTTTCGTGCTCAGTAGAGATGGGAAATAGCTGTTTAAAACGATATGCTTAATGGATTTCTTGGCCCTTCCTTACTCTTAAATGGTAACTTGCAAGAAGATAAGTTCATAATTCATAAAATGTATTATATGACTATGCCTTTAAGTGTATTTTTAATTCAATTAGAAACATATTACTTGCTAATTATCAAGCAGTGCTGTTCAGTGGTGTGAGCCACATACATAATTTTAAATTTTCTAGTAGCCACGTTGAAAAAAGTAAAAAGAAACGGGTGAAATTTGTTTTAATAATATATTTAACCCAATACATGCAAAATATTATTTCAGCATATATTCAATATAAAAAATACTAAGATATTTCACATTTATTTTTTGCACTGTCTTTGAAATCTCATGTGTTTTTTACATTTAAAGCACATCTCAGTTGA
Source organism: Homo sapiens (assembly GCF_000001405.40). Taxonomy (NCBI): domain Eukaryota; kingdom Metazoa; phylum Chordata; class Mammalia; order Primates; family Hominidae; genus Homo; species Homo sapiens. The sequence goes on from NC_000023.11 coordinate 13,745,483, forward strand.
GTCTGGTCACATTTGAAGTGTCAATGGCCCCATGTGGCTGGAGAGTCCTGTGTTGGACAGCATCTGGAAAATACAGAAAAGTAGATGGAAAAACATGTCTAAAGTCATCCCTACCAGAGATAAACACTATCGATGTTTTAATCTACTTCTGCCAGCCTTTTTCCCCTCTGTGCATACTTTTTGGGTGGGCGTTATACACGGTTGAGATTGTACTCTGGGTTCAGATTTGCACTTTGCTATGTGGTTGATTCTGATCCATAGTTGGTTTGAGGGCCATGGACTAAGGGAAGAGTCAGTAGACCTCACTTTAATCCTGGTTATGCTGTCATGTAGTCACTTATTAAGCTATATCAGCATTTGTTCTTTATGTGTAAAGGGGAGGGGTTGATATACGTGATCTTTGATTCTTTTAAAGTTATTGTTTTGAATATGTAAGTCAGCTTTAACCAGAGTCCAATAAAGAGCTCTCTGCCTTAGCACTTAGAGAGTAGGAAGAGACTCCAGTATTTTCTGACTTAAACTGTACTCTTGGCTTTCTTTTTCCTCTAACATTTCATGATGAACATTTTCAAACATACAGAAAAGTTGAAACAATTTTAGCGAACACTTGTATACCCACCACCTAGATGTCACTATTACACTTGTGTTATACTTGCTTCATCATTTTTATCTGTCCATCCATTCATCCACCTTCCTTTTTTTGTATTTCAAAGTAAGTTGCAGATAATCCCTACACTTTCCCCTAAGTATCCTCTTTACTTTTGAACCAGAGGTCTGGCGTCTTACGCACCTGACGATGTTTCTATGTCCTAATTTGATGTGTTATTTTTTAATAGCTGAGAAGCTTCAGCTTATTGATGATCAGTTTGCAGATGCTTACCCTCAGCGTATCAAGTTCGAATCTTTAGAAATAAAGCTAAATGAGTATAAGAGAGAAATAGAAGAGCAACTTCGGGCAGAAATGTGTCAAAAGGTAAGCTTTATCTTGTTACTGTAAACAAGAGTGATGTTTTTGTTTGTCTTCTAAAGTCTTAACCATAGGTATATGGGAAAATATCTAGAACTTTTAATAACGAATGGGATACTGTACTGTTGTGCAAATTTTTTTTTATTTCTGGTGACATTTGTTTATGCCTTTTGAGTGAATCCTACAAATAGAGTGAATGAGATAAAACTAACATGAAATAAATATATTTGGACAGAGCATTAATGTTAAACCTAGATGTAGAGAGAGAACTTGTTCCTGTTTTTATAGTATAATAGTTGGTATTTTTAATTTTTTGTGATCAATTTGCAGTTGAAGTTTTTTAAAGATACCGAGATAGCAAAAATTAAAATGGAAGCAAAAAAAAAGTATGAAAAGGAGTTAACCATGTTCCAGAATGATTTTGAAAAAGCTTGTCAAGCAAAATCTGAAGCTCTCGTTCTTCGGGAAAAGAGTACCCTTGAAAGAATTCACAAGCACCAAGAGGTGGTATTTACAAATATTTTATGGGTGGCTATTTCCTGCAGCTATTAGTAGGTTGGCTCGAGATCCAGCAACAGGATGGTACAGTTGATGGAACAAGGCCCCAGAAGAGCAATAGGGACTGGGGCCAAGAGTGCAAATAGAAGGATGGTCCTTGAAAAGGATACACAAATTTGCTTCCTCTGAGACTGATGGAAAGGCGAGAACTGTGGAGGTGAACAATCAAGTTGGGATTATGAGAAACACACCCTAAATAAGCTCCATCTCCTCAGGCAGATTAGAGGGTTAGATCTTGGGTTTTAGGAGCAGATTGGAGGTGCAGAGTAGTTCCTGTGGGTAAGGGAAGAACAGCCCTTTAAAGCAGAGAGGACTGATCACCTGTATTGAGGGCTCAGCTGTGGTTGGGGGAGCCTGGAATTGAGAGAGGTCAAACCAGGTGCTTGTAAGTGAGTTTTCTGTTCTAGTTCTGGGGAGGATTTGTAAGTATCTCTCTGTCCCTTTCAGTGAGGGTGGAAAGATGGAGATGCTTGGGAAGTAGAGCTTTTCAGAGCCTTATTTGACTAGAGAAAGGCAGCCTACTTAATCGAAGATTCTGGGGCTCTCTTGGGTAGTGAAGGGAAGCAGAGGAGAGGGCAGGTGGCTGCTAACCTAGGGGGAAAGGAAGGGTTGAGTGGCAGTCTCAGTGATCAAGGACTCGATCTGGATAGACTGGTAGGTGGAAGAATGAGGATGGTCCAAGATTACAGAATTGCAGGATGAGGTTTCAGGTGGAGACTAGAAACCAAATGCAGTATGCTGCCATTGGAGAGAGCCATGGAAATGAGCAAGGGTGAAGGTCCCTGGGGTAAAGGAGTCACCACAAGGGTCATCCATGTGACCATTTGATCTTGTCACCCCAGAAAGTAACTGGACAGGAGACAGAGAGGGTGAGGAGTGAGAGGGAGTCCATGTTGGCAAGCAGGATTGGATCTACTCCTTTAAATCATATTCCTTTCCCAAGGGCGTGTCTTAGACCAAACTAGATTTACAGCACTATTTCCAACATACATCCAGAACTACTGCTGTCAGATGTTGAAAGTAGGAATGCTTCCCCCTAGTGTCCACTCTCGCCTGGGGCTTCTCAATAAGACCTAGTTGTTTAATGCTAAGGGCACCCCCTCTAAAATTTTGTATAGCATTTCTGGGAATTGGGTTTGCTTCAGCTATAAAAATGAATGTCAGAAGCACATATCTTTGAGATGATTGGATTGTGTTTAGACTAATAACTTCAACCTTCAAGATAGGTGACTGACTAGATCCCTGTTTATTTATCTGATCATCTGAAGGCTTTGAAGAAGATTGTCATCCTCATAAGAAGCACCATGTCTTTATTCCCTCACCTGGACTGTCCATCCCCTTCTCTCCCTGATAAAAACCATAGTGTCTTTCAAGACCCAGCTTGGATGTCACCTGGGTGATGCCGTCCCTGACTCCCACTGAGCGACCCATTTAGGCCTCATTCCTGCATCAGTCTTTATGTACTTCAGTTACAAAATCATCACATCTTAGTGTGATTGTTTCTCACTCCCTGACTAAATTGTGAGGTCTTTAGAGATGAGGACTATATCTGTCTACCTTTTTATATCCAGTTCCCAGTATGCTGCTTGACATGTCATAGGTAGTTAGTAAATTCTTTCTCTGTGAACACACAAATGGAAGGATGGCCCATTCTTTTAGGAGTTCATATGAGCTTGCTAACTCTGAGTCAGAATGACCCGTGAACTGAAACATTCAGACGACACCACCACTAAAAACCATGGGGATTCAATTCTTTTGGAGTTTTACTGCTGAATGTACATTTTGCTTAATTTTTCTTTCTGGGGAACTTGCCAAAATTTAGGTAAGGGCGCCAGGTGTGGTGGCTCATGCTTGTAGTCCCAGCACCTTGGGAAGCCAAGGCAGGCATATCGCTTGAGTCCAGAAGTTCGACACCAGCCTGGGCAGCATGGCAAAACCCCATCTCTACAAAAATACAAAAAATCAGCCGGACTTGGTGGCGTGTGCCTGTAGTGCCTGCAGCTACTCGGTAGGCTGGGGTGGGAGGACCCCTTGAGCTTGGGAGGTGGAGGTTGCAGTGAGCCAAGATCACCCCACTGCACTCCAGCCTGTGTGACAGAGTGAGACCCTGTCTCAAAAAAAAAAAAAAAAAAATTTTTTTAGATAAGGGACTGAGAGATGTTAAAGAACTAAATAGCATAAATTTCACATGGCATGTTAGGACTGTAGGGTAATGGTAGTTTAACAGTCATTGGGGGAGTAAATTTTTATGCAACTAGAATACGCAAAAAGTATACCTTGAGTCGGAATCTCTTGAAGGTGAAATTGTTATCCTAAATGTCTGTACTTTGCTTTTTGGAATGTAGGAAGCAGTATATTCATTCAAATCTGTTTTGCTTTCATTAGCTTGCTTGCTAAAAATTAATGCTTTTCTATACAGATTGAAACAAAAGAAATTTATGCTCAAAGGCAACTTTTACTAAAAGATATGGATTTGCTAAGAGGAAGAGAAGCAGAGCTGAAGCAAAGAGTTGAAGCTTTTGAATTGTAAGTAATGCATGTTCATTTTGGATATTCAGAATGATGAGATTAAAAAGAATTACTAAATATATATCTAAATATTCTAATGTTCATTGCCAAGTAGAGTTCTTATTTGTAAAGGGGATATCACCTAGAAGGTACAAATTAAGAGGAACAAACACTAGGGTTTTGTTTTTGAAATATTAAACATTAAGATGAAAAGACGAATGAGATGCTATCATCAGGCTACAGTAAGACCAGACAGATTATTTGGAGAAGCTGTTAATACTGGAACAGATCGTATGTTTTGCAGTTACATTCAGTCCCTCAGATCTGATAGTTCCGTGTGTGTATGTATAGTAACTGAATTCCATATATCCAGGCCTGCAGCTTTTACCAGCTGTGTGCTCAGAAAAGGAAGTATGGTGGTCCAACTTGACTTGTACTTGGTGAAACCATTTCTTTGTTACTCACTGTTTCTAAGTGCTCACAAATGTTTCATCCTTGAGATCTTACCTGGGATTGATGGCAAGTTCACCTGTCTATAGTTTGTGCAATAAGCCTTCTCTTCCTTTGGGAATCTGCTATTGACACCCATAGATACTCCAGGAATCTTAGTTCATTAAAGAATTTGGCTCCATTAATGTTTTTTTCTCACTTCTATAGGCTTGATTTGTTTGATTTCAACTCTCTGTCTACCTTACTCTCTTTTTGGCAATAATGAAAAGGTAAATTGATCAAGAGAGAGGAAATAGGCACAAAATTGGGGCAGAGAGAGTTCATCATTCCTTTACCTCCATTTTCTCTACTCTTGTTCCCTCCTTCTCAGCATATAAACTAAATAAATGTAGTTTACCTCTCCATGGCTTTCCAGATTACCAGCAGAGGGAGCTAATACCTAGAGCCTTTACCTGTTCTTAGACTAGTCAGCATTTTGTAGCACTTCTCAGGATGGCTGGATCTCACCACCCATGAACCTACCTCCCTGGCTAAGGAGTTGGTGCTATGGTTGATTTAAAGTCTCACTATGAAGACCATTCTATTCTTCAGTATTTGGAAGCCCTGATTGATCCATCTATCTTTTGCCCTCTCTTTTGGTACTTTTTTCAATATTCAATCAATAGGGTTTTTTGTTTGTTTTGTTTTGTTTTTAAGACACAGTGTCTCTCTGTATTGCCCAGGCTGGTCTCAAACACTTGGGCTCAAGCAATCCTCCTGCCTCAGCCTTCTGAAAAGCTGGGATTATAGGTGCGGGCCACCACACTTGGCTAAAGCTGATTGGTTATTAAATGACAAAAACACATATTGTACCTTGAATATGTATGGACTAATTAATTAAATCCCACAGTTAGAAACAGCATTATAGAAGATTTAAGCACATAAGTACACTTATTTGTTACTTTGTAACTAATAATATCATTATTTCATCCCAGGATTGATTTTGGCTATTTATCACCTATAACCATTGTTTGAGTGTTTATTTTCAGTGAGAAACCACTTCCCTCTTGAGACTCTCCCACTCCCCTCAGCCCAAAGCACAGTCAATTCTGCTAGTTTCAATATGCTGTAACTAGGTCAGTTCATAAAATACACTGAGGACTTCTGGCTCTTTCCTTCTACTTCCCAGTAGTGATATCATGTAGCAGTTTTAGTCTGTGGAACTAGACACATGTGATTTTTTCCTAAATTTGTTAGCTCAGCTATGGTAGTTTATTTACTTTTTATATTTTTGTTAATTTCAGGAACCAGAAGCTCCAGGAAGAAAAACATAAAAGCATAACTGAGGCACTTAGGAGACAGGAGCAGAATATAAAGAGTTTTGAGGAGACCTATGACCGAAAGCTCAAGAATGAACTTCTAAAGTAATTGTTTAGCATTTTTAAATAACTAATATGTTTAAATTAAATTGGTAGAAACATAACAAAAACTGACAAAGTAGTCTGTAACTTAGGCAAACTTTAGTGTTTGAAAAAAAAAAAACATAGTTTTATCGATACAGTCAATCCTTTCCTGCATTTGAGTTAGGATAGTTTTTAAAAGATAAGGGCCGGGTGTGGTGGCTCATGCCTATAATCCCAGCACTCTGGGAGGCTGAGGTGGGCGGATCACCTGAGGTCAGGAGTGCAAGACCAGCCTAGCCAACATGGTGAAACCCCATCTCTACTAAAAATACAAAAATTAGCTGGGTGTGGTGGTGGGCACTTGTAATCCCAGCTACTGGGGAGGCTGAGGCAGGAGAATCACTTGAACCCGGGAGGCAGACGTTGCAGTGAACTGAAGTTGTGCTACTGCACTCTACTAGCCTGCGTGACAGTGACAATCCATCTCAAAAATTAACAACAATAAAAAAATACAGAGAAGCACATCCTCTGCGCTTCTTATGGCTTCTCTAACGTTTATTGTGGGCTGTGATTTGCTTTAATTTTCAGGACACCTTGTGACTTGCTTAGCTTGCATAGTTGATAAGCTGTAAAATTGGAATTATAACCACTTTTAGTTATCTTTTCCTCTACCTCACTCATACAGTCAGAAGGATGGGGTTATCTGACAATATATAAATTATACTAGTGGTCATAGTATTTGTCAGTGAACATGTGCCTTGTATTCCTTCAAGATTCAGCAAAGCCAGAATCAAAAGAGCTAAAATTAACTATGTGAGGCAAAAAGTGATATAGGGAAAGGAAAATATGGACAACTATGGTAACTTTGGCTTTTCTGTAGTCTGAGTTTTGTGTATCAGTGAATAATATCTCAGTGCTACGACATTATGCCCATGTGGTAACATTTCTCTTCAGTGTGTGGGAAAGCATCTGGCACATAAAAAGTGCTCAGTTAATATTTGTTGTAAATGTGTCACGAGGAAATGATTCAACTCAGGTGCTCTGGGCATTTCTTATTTGGCCTCTTTTATTGCCTTTCTCATAATTTGTCATCGATATTCCATTACATAATATTGCAAAGGTTTCTTGAGGTAATCCTTTAAACAAATCCTATTTTTAAAAAATATGGCAGCTTTTTTATCTATTGATTTTGAAATGATGTATTTTACCCACATCTTCTATGTCAGTTTCTATACTAAAATAGCTAAAATGGAAGTGTCTGTAGTTGCTGAATTTTTAGGAATAAATGAATTAAAGTATGTGTGTTAATTTTACATAGTTATGGAGCTAGTGAACTATTTGGTGTCATTGTGACAGCTTCCACAGGCTGCATGGTGTCTGCCTGGCTTTGGGAATCCTCATATGACTTTGGCAGGTGTTGGAGTTTGGAGGCTCTTCGCCACAGGAGTGCTTCTATTTCCTTTTGGAACCAAAAGGGCAGCTGGTAACAGCTGGGAAAGGGAAGTGAAACTGTGAAAATGTGCCTTTTGGTATTGCTAATCCGGATATAATGCTCTTGGCAGTTGGCTCTCAGGACTGTGCTTAGTCCCTGAGCACAAAAGTTCTTACCTTGGTTGGGGGTGGGCAGATGGTACAGGTGGATTGGAAGTGACCGTCTGATTATCATTTGGGATTGAGTCTGTTGTGTGCTGTGTAAATTTAATTTACCCCTTTGCTCTTTGTGTCAGTTGAGACCAACTGAAAAGTGATTGCTTTCAGTAAGTAACCTTATGATAACACGACGCTTCATTTTGTGTGATTGAGTTTTGGGACCCAGTTTATAGGATCAAGGAAGGGTTTTACTGGGCATTTTATGTTCAGGGGTTATATCCCTGGCTTTAGTATTGAGGACTTTGAAGTTTACAAGTTGTCATGTTTAGCACCCTCAGGTGCTCCTGTGCCATAGATAAGCTCCTGCACTGATAACAGTCTTTCCAGAAAAATGCCTGAGGAGCTCATATTTAGTCATTCTGATTCTCAGGTATCAACTTGAACTGAAGGATGACTACATCATTAGAACTAATCGACTGATTGAAGATGAAAGGAAGAATAAAGGTGATGTTTGGGGGGAAAATAAGCTGTATTTTTCAGTTCTGCTGTAGGTTATTAGCTTCCCAAGTTGGGTCTTTTCTATATTCTAAAAAATACAGCTTACACTTCATTGTTCATACAAAATTACACATTTTTTGTAATTTTAATTTTATAAATTAAAAATCATGGTCTTCACTGCCTTTTGAGGAACCTTCATGTTTAATAGTTTGTATATTCACAAAGGCCAGTGATTTATCATGGATATTTTATCCAACTTTATTTCATATATTTTGATAAATCTGCAATTGTCAGGAACGTAGCAGCAACTTATTGCTGTCAAGTACGTATTACTCCTAACCATGAGAGACTTTATTTTTCACTTACGGAAAACTTTTAACTTCTCTGTCCTCTGTGACCTAGTTTCTTATTTCTTTTGCTTCTAATATATTTTTATGCTTTATAATATTTTTACTTGATGTATAACCTTCTGAACTCTTGTGTACATTGGCCTGAGACTATGGAAGTTGAATAATTTTTCAATCTTCAGATGTTTTACATTTCAGTGTATTTTTTTTTTTTTTTGAGACGGAGTCTCGCTCTGTCACCTAGGCTGGAGTGCAGTGGTGCGATCTCGGCTCACTACAAGCTCCACCTCCCAGGTTCACGCCATTCTTCCACCTCAGCCTCCCCAGTAGCTGGGACTACAGGCACCCACCAACACGCCCGGCTAATTTTTTGTATTTTTAGTAGAGGCGGGGTCTCAGCGTGTTAGCCAGGATGATCTCGATCTCCTGACCTCGTGATCCGCCCGCCTCGGCCTCCCAAAGTGCTGGGATTACAGGCGTGAGCCACCACGCCCGACCCATTTCAATGTATTTCTAGGAAATTGCTGTAACAAGAAGTTGAAGTTTTGGTGGAAATTTCAAGTAGATTCCTGGGAGGAAACCAGGGTTAGATAGTTGATGTTGACCAGATACCCAATGTGTGGCTACTGTCTTTTTTTTTTTTTTTTTTTAAGAGACGGAGTCTTGCTCTGTTGCCCAGGCTGGAGTACAGTGGCACAATCTCAGCTCACTGCAACCTCTGCCTCCTGGGTTCAAGTGATTCTTGTGCCTCAGCCTCCCAAGTAGCTGGGACTACAGGTGTGCGCCACCATGCCTGGCTAATTTTTGTAGAGAGAGAGTTTCACCATGTTGGCCAGGCTGGTCTCGAACTCGTGACCTCAGGTGGTCCGCCTGACTTGGCCTCCCAAAGTGCTGGGATTACAGGCGTGAGCCACTGTGCCCAGCCCCTTTTACTATCTTGTGGAGACTAATACTTCTTTTATGCATTAATACCATTACGTATGTAACAAATTATGGTTTGATGATATATCTACATAGACTTGTGTTAGATGAAGTGAAAACTACAAAATAGTAACTACAATATAGTAACAGACAGATCTTTGTCTTCAAGGAAGTTAAGAGCTGTGGGTATTAGGGCCCTGTGCTTTGAGCACATGGTATAACTCTGGTTAGCATGTATAGCAAGTGGAATTTCACCACATATATGACAGTTACAGCTTCACATCACCTGTTGGGTAACAGGGTTTATTTCTTACTTGCCCGCTACATCTGCTATTTGGATTGTGAAATAGTGGTCATTAGGTCTGACATACTGGCCATAAATATTAAATGGCTTTTGTATTCACTAGGAAAACATTATGGTGTTTAATTGGTGGGCTCTTTTTTCAGAAAAAGCTGTTCATTTGCAAGAGGAGCTCATAGCTATTAATTCAAAAAAGGAGGAACTCAATCAATCTGTAAATCGTGTGAAAGAACTTGAGGTAATTGTTAAGCATGTTGGTTTTTGAAATAGATTTTAAGCAATATATGAAATTTTAGTCATACATAATTTATCCTAAGTCATCCTGTTGAGATGTTTGGACTGCCATTTATATGGCTAAGAAGGTGTTAGCTGAAGTTAATTCAATAGTTCTTAATTTCAGTCAGTGTCACATAGGAAAGTGTAGATAGAGCTTTGGGTCCTGGAGTCCTGCCCACATCCTGTCTGTGTCTCTAACTGCTTGTGTGTCGCTAGGTAAGTTCTGTGACTGCAGGTTCCTGAGCTGTAAACTAGGATGTTTTCCACATTATAGGGTTGTTGAGGGAATTCAGTAAGCTAACTTATGTGCCTAGTTCATAGCAGGTGGCCATTACTATTAGTTTCTACATCAGCCTGTTATCTCCTTCCATCAGCAGCAGGTAAACAAAATTCCTGTCATTACATTGTTATCTTACAGATTAAAACAAAATGAGGTACATTTTTCACATATCATTGCTTCTTTACTTTTCTGTTCATTCGTGTGCTTGCTGTCTGAAGGATGAAGCTGGAACTTTAGGTACTTACAACATATTTTGTATATGAAATTTATTTTAGCAACTGTGACTTATGTGAGAACTTTGTAGGCTTTTTACTCAAATATGAGATATACTAAGAAAAGGGAAGCACTTCACAACATTTTACAGAATCTTTTTTCCTTTCTTTCCCTTTTTTTTTTTTTTTTTTTTTTGAGACAGAGTCTTGTTCTTTCGCCCAGGCTGGAGTGCAGTGGTGTGATCTTGGCTCACTGCAACCAACCTCCACCTCCCGGGTTCAAGTGATTCTCATGTCTCAGCTCCCAAGTAGCTGGGATTTCAGCCATGTGCCACCACACCCAGCTAATTGTTGTATTTTTAGTAGAGATGGGGTTTCACCATGTTGCCCAGGGTGGTCTCGAACTCCTGAGCTCAAGCAATCCTCTTGCCTCAGCCTCCCAAAGTGCTGCGATTACGGGCGTGAGCCACCATGCTCAGCCATTTTTATCTTACCTTTCATATTTAAAAAATATATATTGCTATGATGTGTGATTATTGTTGGGTTCTTGGTTGCCTCTGGAAAATGGGATGATAATCTTAGAAGGACTTGCTTCATGGGATGCGGCCTATAAAAGTTCTGCCCCAACTGTAGGGCGGAAGATAATTTTCGTTATTGTAGTTAGAGTCTTATTGTAGAGAATCAGACTTCTGTCTAGTGACCTTAATTAAATTGTGACACCATGCTTAAAGGAGCCTGCCAGCTTTTACTTTTGCAGTACTGTAAAGTCATTATTCAAATGTAAATTTTCCTTTTTGAATTTTAGCTTGAATTAGAGTCTGTCAAAGCCCAGTCTTTGGCAATAACAAAACAAAACCATATGCTGAATGAAAAGGTTAAAGAGATGAGTGATTATTCACTACTAAAAGAAGAGAAACTGGAGCTTCTGGCACAAAATAAATTACTTAAACAACAACTGGAAGAGAGTAGAAATGAAAACCTGCGTCTCCTAAACCGTATGTATTTTTCTTTTCTTCTGACTTGCGTGTTTTAGTAATTCGCATTAGGTCAGTATTATAAAACTATGCTTTGTACTTGTATAAGGTAGGGGGCTTACATTGGGAAGATTTATAAAATTAAGATTCTTGGATTAAACTCTGCAAACCTGCCTATAGGTGGTATCAAAGCTTCCCTTGCCCTCTGACTGCTGATTGGGTTTGGCCAGTGGGGACACCAGCCTCTACATACAGTGGCCCTAGGCTGGCCACTGTGCCTCATGGCCAAGTGAGGCCATAGTGCCTGCGATTACCTCTTCCAAGTGCTCTGCACCACCACCCTGTCTCTAGTGCTGAGAATTTCTCCCTCCTCTGATTCCCCAGGCCCAAGGAGCGCTAACAGTATGGCCCTGTTACTAGCCCACCCAGGGAACTCCACCATCCTTTGTGCATACCCTGAATAAGTCAACCTTTATTAAAGGGTTCTTAGATGACCTTGACCGTGAGAGCCATCTGCCTTCTGCCTGGATCCCAACTGCTGCTGTCAGATGCCCAGATCATATTGGATCCCAGGGCTGTCATCAACAGGTAGACCAGATAGAGAGCTCCTTCTGTGCACAGTAGAGGAGAGAAACAGGCTTTCAGGTTAATTTGAGAATTTGAAAGAGTTCTTTTACTTGGAGTAGGACTCCAAGGGTAATAAAGTTTGCATTAACATGCACTAAATTCTTTTGTTGTGAAATTTGAGAGTCAGGATTGCTCTGAGCTCATTTAATAGAATTATTATCATATTTATTGAGTCAGTACAAAGCAAAGAACACTTTAAAACCCCTTTAACTGTTTTTGTTAAGTTAAATAAGAAAACTTAAGGTTGGTAATGACTAGGATTTTTTTTTTTTTTTTACCTTCTTAGGCCTAGCTCAGCCGGCTCCTGAACTTGCAGTCTTTCAGAAAGAACTACGGAAAGCCGAAAAGGCTATAGTGGTTGAGCATGAGGAGTTCGAAAGCTGCAGGCAAGCTCTGCACAAACAACTGCAAGACGAAGTGAGTATTGCTCTTCTTCAGTTCTAGTGTGATACCAGTACACTTCATAGTTACGTAAACTTGGCACAAGTCACACTAGTGTAAATCAGATTTATTTTAACATCAAACATTACTCCCCCAAATATGCTAAAGGTATCCTTTCTCATCTGAGAAAATTCTGCAGTGATAACGTGACTTTATATTCGTAATAGTAATAAAATGGAGAAGAAAGCAAACTCACCTAAACATAAAATTTTCTGAGTGCCTGATGGTGCCCACTGTTATCTCTCGATTCTCACCCTGATAAGTATTACAAACATTCACTGTCTTCTGATTTCTGCCTGCATGCCCTAGAGTTCTTTGATATGACTGAAAAAGATGGTGAAGAACTTGTTTGTGTGTTCTGCTTGTGTTTTTTTTTAATAGGGACCCTGTTGTTTACTGTCATAAAGCTTCTTGGAATTGGCAGAACAAAAAGAGTACAAACATGATAAGAGAACTTTTCCTTTTGAAGCAAGCTGTGATTTGTTTTACATTGATTTCTTTTCCTATTCTGAATCTTTTCAGATTGAGCATTCTGCACAGCTGAAGGCCCAGATTCTAGGTTACAAAGCTTCTGTAAAGAGTTTAACTACTCAGGTTGCCGATTTAAAATTGCAACTGAAGCAAACTCAGACAGGTTAGAGACGTTTTAACCCATAAATATTTTTGTATGTATAAAGCTTCTGGTGTCTGTGAAAATGTAATGATCATAATTTATTGAATATTAATTATTGTTTTAGGGGAAAAGCCATAGAAATATGTGTCATCTTAGAAGTAAAACTCCCTATCCATTTTGGTAATACCATCTGGATCATCAGCAAAAGTATTTTGCTTCATAGGTGCCTCATGGCTTGGGAGAGTCTCATGCCCCAATAGGAAAGGCGTGGTGGTAACATAGAAGTCCCCATATTCATTATAGGATTTCCTTTTTTATTTGTTACCCCAATGTTAACACCAATTCAGTAGTTTTACGGATTCCTTGATAGATATATAAATATACAGGACAAGCAGGGTGGTTTAGCAAAAAGAATATTGCCTTCAGAATCAGAACTGTTCTTCTTTTGGACCCGTTTTGAAGTTGTTTGACCTTGGGCATGTTACTTTAACTTCCTTGGGCCTCAGTCTCCTCATTTGTAATGGGGATAATAATACCTACTGAGCCATGATGAAAAAGATGAAATGGGTTTCAGTCCAGTGCCTGGGACATAAAAGACACTCAGGAAATGGTTATTGGTATCATTTTATTATTGTGTCTTCACTGTGGATGCATCTCTGCCCCTTCCTACTTCGTAAGAAGGATATTAAAGTTCAGATACTTTATTCTTCAGTTGCTTTCAAGTTCAAAGAAAGTACGTATGTGTTACCAGTTCAACTGGGTCTGAGCCTTCCTTGTTCCCACCTGCATTGTTTCCTCATCAGCTCCTTGCTCTCTTCTACCAGCACTTGTTTTATTTTTATCTCTACTCGTTTCTGCTTTTTTCTGTTCCTCATTTTCTTTCAGTTCTGTTTGTGAAACTTCTCACAGCTGAAATCATAGCAGTCTCCTATCAATAAAAAATAGTTGAATGAGGATAGAACTCTTTCGCATGCATGTGTTGCCGAGGGCAAGCTTCTTTCTTGTAGCATCACGGGGAGGCATTGCAGGAGAGAGGGGCAGGTGCACTGGCTTTGCATTAGGAAAGCCCAGTAGCTCTTAGACTTGCTAACCGTGTGACCCAGCCTCAGTAAGCTTTAGTCCCCCCATCTGTAAAATGGGAGCAGTGAGAGTTTCTTGACCACAGTGTTGTTGTGAATGCAGGTCCTCACTTCCTTATATGAAACTCGGGCCATATGCTGTGGATTTCGCAATAGCCCTGGGAGTTCTGAACAGCATCCTATAGTAAAGCACATTAATTATTTTGCAGTCAACTGTATGAATATTCATGCTGGGATAAATAAAGATTATAAATGGGTTTACATCAGTTCAGGTCAAACTTTTCAACCAAATGAGTTCAAGTCTGGTTGGGCTTTGCCACCAAATAAATTATGAATAAATTTTCAGTTCTCAGAGCCTTGTGGCTTTCAAAATTGTGCATAATGGATTCTGAAATTATATCATGTTACAAAAGACATACAAAGCTGTAGCTGGTACAATAAGCTCTCAGTAAATGTTAGTGGTTATCGTTACCATGGCTTCAGAAACTGTATAGTGCAAGTTTGTCCTTATTACTCTCTTCCATTTTTCAAAAAAATAATATTCTCAAGTATATTTTCTTCTCTGCCTTGTCCACTTACTTCTGAAATTGGCTTTTTGTACCCTGCAGCCCTAGAGAATGAAGTGTACTGCAATCCAAAGCAGTCTGTGATCGATCGTTCTGTCAATGGATTAATAAATGGCAATGTGGTGCCTTGCAATGGTGAGATAAGTGGGGATTTCTTGAACAATCCTTTTAAACAGGAAAACGTTCTAGCACGTATGGTTGCATCAAGGATCACAAATTATCCAACTGCATGGGTGGAGGGTAGTTCCCCTGATTCTGACCTTGAGTTTGTAGCCAATACTAAGGCAAGGGTCAAAGAGCTTCAGCAAGAGGCCGAACGCTTGGAAAAGGCTTTCAGAAGTTACCATCGGAGAGTCATTAAAAACTCTGCCAAAAGCCCACTAGCAGCAAAGAGCCCACCATCTCTGCACTTGCTGGAAGCCTTCAAAAACATTACTTCCAGTTCCCCGGAAAGACATATTTTTGGAGAGGACAGAGTTGTCTCTGAGCAGCCTCAAGTGGGCACACTTGAAGAAAGGAATGACGTCGTGGAAGCACTGACAGGCAGTGCAGCCTCGAGGCTCCGCGGGGGCACTTCCTCCAGACGCCTCTCTTCCACACCCCTTCCAAAAGCAAAAAGAAGCCTCGAAAGTGAAATGTATCTGGAAGGTAAGCCACCCGCACAAAGGGTTGCGGGGTGCTCTGGAGTTGGGTAGCCACCCTGCCCACGACACAGGGTTGCCGTGAGGGTCAGCGGGCCAGAGTGGCAAGGTCTAGTGTTTGGCACACAGAGCTGTTTAGAGAGTGATAGTTGCCTTGCCTTTGCTGCCTGTTGGTTTCCTGCATTTTATTATTGCCACTGCAATTTAATTTAGGTGCTTGAATCATTAGTTTTCTGGATCTTATGCATCATAATTGGCTATTTGTGAGGATAACAGTTTATTTTCAAACTAGTAGAGCTCTTTAGAAACCACGTTGGTATCTTCTCCGTGCAATTGGTAATATTCTTGCCTTGGTTCTTTCTGCACCTTAGGTCTGGGCAGATCACACATTGCTTCCCCCAGTCCTTGTCCTGACAGAATGCCCCTACCATCACCCACTGAGTCTAGGCACAGCCTCTCCATCCCTCCTGTCTCCAGCCCTCCGGAGCAGAAAGTGGGGTAAGTATAACGTTCTGATTGATTAGCTTCAGCTGAATAATGTTACTTGCTCTGTCAGCCTTCACTTGTTTTACTGGGATTTTTTTTTTTTGAGATAATTATTATAGATCATGTGGCAGTATAGAATTTGCAATCAGATTGCAAAATGATATGTCATCTTTGAGAATCATCTAAATTACCTGGAGGGAAAAAGATTGCTTTTAGCAAATAAGTGGATAATGCTTATTTGCTAAACTTGATATATGGACCATGCAATCTGGTATTAATAAGCATCTTCCTAGTTCTGTGAATAGATTTGGTTTATTAAGATAAAAAACAAATGTACAAAATCTGAAAGCAAACAAATGGAGGTTATTTATAAAGTTGGAACAATTTTACACATCATTAAAAAGTCATTTTTAAAATATTTTGGCATTGAAATATAAACAGATAAGGTTCTGACCTGCATATCATTGAAATAAATTCAAACGTGGTAGCAGGCTCTGGTGTATGATTGTTGAAACAGGAAGGAGTGGATGTTTTTAGAAACTAGTCCACTGGGTCAGCCAGGCTATGATTTGAGTCATGAGCAGACTCCTACCCATACCTGGGCCCCACAGCAGAGGGAACTGACTCCTTAGCTCCAGGCTCGATCTCGGGCATCTGCATGTTAATGTAGTTCTCTGCCACATGGGCCTGTCGTAGTCCTAAAGCTTTTTTTTTTTTTTTTTTTTTTTGTGATAAGCCAAAAGGAAGGATAAGACACACACATATGCTGAGTTAGGGCGCTTTGCTCACTCAAGGTTGTGGTGTTGCATCTTCATCTGGTTCATGCTGATAGTGTGCAGAATTTTTTTTCAGAAATGTTTTATGGTTATTTCCTAGGAATAGCATTCAGAGTACAACATTATTCTTTATTAACAACTGTAGTACCTACTTCACAGCATGAAATAGTTACAAGGAGTAACTGATTAAACAGGTATTAATTGCTGAGAACAATGCCTAGTGGTGGTGGTGAGGTGGAGCTATTTACAAGACAAAGAGAAAGGGAATTTTGTAGAGCCTTTTCTTGAGTCACAAAAGGCTTTTTGTCACCTTGTACTCTTTGGTTTTCCATTATTGAAACTTCACGAGTTTTATCCTTCCAATCTAGTCTTTATCGAAGACAAACTGAACTTCAAGACAAAAGTGAATTTTCAGATGTGGACAAGCTAGCTTTTAAGGATAATGAGGAGTTTGAATCATCTTTTGAATGTAAGTTCAAATATAAATACCAGTTTTTATATGTTGAAAATCTAGAAAGCTTAGTTTTGGTGAAACGTATCCATTGGTTTAAAAAGAAAAGCAGTTACAAATTGGGTCATTATTATTTTGTGATACAACCACAAGTACAGATGTATCACCTCATTTTTCTACCATGATGATTTTCATGTGTGTGTTTACTTTTTAAAAATTTCAGTATGACTAATAATTTCAGAGTTTGAGCTAAGCTTATAAATGAATTATTAACTTATCAGATTTTAAATAAGTGATTTTTATTTATTTTTTCCTTTGATGGAATACAAGAATGTTTATTTTTATTTTTTTGAGATGGAGTCTCTCTCTGTTGCCCAGGCTGGAGTACAGTGGTCCGATCTTGGCTCACTGCAATCTCCCTCCTCCTCCCAGGTCCAAGTGATTCATCTGCCTCAGCCTCCCGAGTAGCTGGGACCAACCACAGGTGCATGCCATCACACCCAGCTAGTTTTTTTGTATTTTTAGTAGAGATGGGGTTTCACCATATTGGCCAGGCTGGTCTTGAGCTCCTGACCTCAAGTGATCCGCCTGCATCGGCCTCCCAAAATGCTGGGATAACAGGCATGAGCCACTGCGCCCGGCCTAAGGATGTTATTTTTTAAATATACTGATTCAGTTGATTGCCTCAGATTTAGAAAACCTCATTTTTAGTAAAAGAATAGAGATAAAAGAATATTAAGAGTCCAGAAACTGGTGTCCTGGCTATGGCCCTGCCTTAGACTGTCTTACTTTGTAGCCACTTTGTAAGTGTAAAATAAGCATGTAGAGCCTATCATCTCTAAGGTTCTTTCCAGCTTGAGAAATCTTTATATTTGCATATAAGCTATTGGTTAGCCTTGTAAACTTCATCTTCAAATCTGAAAGTGTTAATATTTTGAACAGTTAAATGAGAGGGCTTGGTAAATTTTGTAAATATTTGTTAAAGTCTTTGTGTTAAATCATTGATATTTTAATAGAATTCAAATGATGATCAGCAAGCCAATTGAATTCTTCACTGTCACTGGGTTGATTTTCCTGTTGGGTAACGAATCTCATTTTGTAAACAAAGTTAATTCTTTCAACTACGAGAACACTCTGACAAGCAAATACGTTGCCAAGTGGTTATGTTGGGAACTTCATAGAATCCTGTTAGGAAAGGGCGCACCCAGTTACTTTGGCTTCAGTTCCCGTGCTCCAGTCAGTTGCCCCCACACTGCACTGCCCTTCTTTGTCTTGGTGTTATTATTAAGGACTCATGGGACAATTGTGCCTCATGCAGCTGCAGGGAACATGCCAAGGCAGTTGGAAATGGGCGGGCTTTCTCCTGCCGGGGATATGTCTCATGTGGACGCTGCTGCAGCTGCTGTGCCCCTCTCATATCAGCACCCAAGTAAGTTCTTTTTTTGAACTAACAGTCAGCAGGGTCGCATACTAAATACCAGTCCGTGTGCTCTGTGAATTATTTCATGTATCACTGAAGTCATCTTGTAGGTGTAAATTAGTCAAAATCTTGGGTTGGGGGTTATAGGTGTCATTATATTGTTAATGACATTTCTGAAGTAATTCCCATGTGAACATGTAAAGACAGTGCTGAGAAAGGACACGTTGGAAGGAAAGGCTTCTCATTTAGGCTTCCCAGGCCAGTTGCTTAAAAAGTGTTTTCATTTACTCTTCAGTGCCTGGCATAGTAGTTGGACTTTTCCCCAAGACTCTTCTGCAAAAACTGTTCCTTGGGAACCTTAAAGTTTGGGAAATCACAGTGAAAAATTGAAATAATAATTAACTCCCAGCATATATCTTTAATATGATTGTAACATTTAAATATTATTTATTTTTCTATCTACTTGTTTCCTTTGTGTCTTAAGAAATTAGGACAGAAAAACTTCGTATTTCAATCTTTGGAAAAGCTGTGACACCGAGTTAGCGTAGCACTGGAGGAAAACTGGCCATCAGACTTCTCTTCTCTGGCCCACTTCCTCTTTTTCCTCTTCTCCTCCAGATTACCCACTTCCCTCCCTGCGGGTGGAGGGAGACGGGAAGAGAGCCGTGGGAGCTTTGTGCTTTGTTCCAGGGCTCAGCCAACAGCCAGGTCCTTTTCTTCTTGGACCAAGTGTTTAATCCTCAAATCTGAAAGGAATTTTCTCAAGTAAAGCCACCTCTTAGTCCCTCCCAAACGTTGGAAAAACATCATACCCAAAACCCCTGTTAGCAGTTTCTTGGTTTTAGTCATGGTACCCAGGAACATATAAAATAACTGAAAGAGGCAAGAGATTTTGAGAGGGTTGATGTTGCTGATTCCAGAGTAAATCTGCTTTGGAAAGCATTCAGTGAGACATGATCTAGAGCCTTGTCTCTGCTGGGCACTTTGCTCAGCGCTGAGCATATAGCTCAAGCCCTCGCCTTCCTGGATTTCTAGCAGGGGAGGCAGATGGTCAGCAGGCCATCACCCAGGACCGCAGCAGGGAGGGGCTGCAGCAGCTGAGTAGGGGCCGTGGCCACAAGAGGGAGTGTCTACAGGCACTCATTTGGCACAGACCTGAGCGAGGGAATACAAATAATGTGATAGGATAAGGGAAATCAACTGAGTAACTAGGTGTTCTGCTGCTGAGATGGAACATAGATTATAATATTTGCTTTAAAAATTATTAAGCAGCATGGCGAGTGACATTTTAGTTATTGAGAAATTGTTATATTTGTCATTTCATCTCTTCATCTGGGCACAAAGGGAATTCAAAAAGGTTGAAATTTGGTGTCTCGGAGGTGCCCCGTGGACATGCTTCCTTCCTTTCCCCTTGTGTCCAAGAGATTTCTGTATACCACCCTGCAGCTACAAAATATACACCAGAGTAGAGAAGCAGCTCACTCTTCCTCTTTATTTTGTAATTGGTGCTTAAACAACATTCCTATTTTGAGATTACTATTCCATATAAGAAAGCAATCTTGTTTAGGAGTAACTATTTTTTCTTCTCTAGCAAGGAGGAAGTTGCATTTCTGCCTGTGGAAATGATCAGCTGTCTCCTCTGGTATTTTAATTTCATGAGAAGGATTCAGAAGAGATGGGGGAGAGAGAGAAGAAACTGTGTTGCTTCTCTCCTATTAGTAAAACTCAGTTCCTGCTGATCACTTTAGAACAAGGCACAGCAAAAAGGTTCAAAGTCCTCTGCTGAACCTATGAATTTTTCTACTTATTAGCATTGCTTGGGTTGAAAAAAAAAATGTAGGTTATGGGTCAGAGCCAGAAGAGAAAGGTCAGCATAATTGTCTCTGGGATTGGGGTCTAATTAAAACTTTTGAGATATAGGGACCTGTGCCAAGATGCAGAGGGAACAGACAAGTAATTAAAGTATGGACCTTGCCTGGAAGGAATAGAAGTGGAAGAAACAAGTACATGTAGTTTTTGACAGATCAGGTACAAGATATCCTGCAAGTGAGATGCTGGAGTGGTTAGTTGTCACTTCAGGAATAAGGAGGAGGTGGCATTTCAGTTGGGTCTTGAATAGCATTTCAGACTTTGTGAGAGCAAGGGAGTGCTACAGGCTGAGGAGACAGTGAAGGTGAATGTCAAGCAAGGAAGATAGAGCCACGGCCAGGCCCCAGTGAGTGGGTTGGTACAGATGAAATATTTCTCGTACAAAGTTGGTGGTGATGTAGGAAATCAATCTGGGAAGAAAAGGGCAGGTTGTCAGAGCCCAGACTACCATGGCGTAGGACTCTTATCAGAGCGGAGATGCTGCACAGCAGATCCACATCTTCCCCTCAGGAAATGCCTGGTGCAGATGACCACAGGTTGTTGGAAGGCAGAGACTGGCTTCAGGAAGAGCCTTGACTGGGCTGTTTCAGTAGTCCAGGGAGATGGTGAGAAGGGCCCCTGTTGCAGCCACAGGACAGGGAGTGTGAACCTGCAAACACTGGTGGCTGAGTGGATAGAGGGTAGAAAGAGCATGATCGAAGGACCGGGATGATCATGCCTGGGACGAAGCTAGTGCTGTGGGGTTTCCACATGCGGATGGCAAGGAACTATCAGAAATGTGGACGCGAGGCTAGGGAGAGAGACCAGGAGTAGAGGAAAAGATAGGGAAAGGATCCATATACAAGTGATGGCTAAAACCCCAGGAAGGGCTGCCGTCAGTTTGGAGGAAGTGGGGAATGAACAGTGAGATGGCTGGAATGGCGGGGGGAGGGCAGTGGTGTGATTTCTGTTCTGTTTTGTTGGGGTAGGACAGACTTGAGCATCTTTATGGGAGTAAGACTTCTAAAACTACTGTGTACAGAAATAGGGATTAATGGCTCAGTCTGGGTCCTAAAGATAGGGGAGGGATTATAATCAAAGGCAGAGGCAGAAATGCAGGGTTTGCCTTGGAAAGGAGGGAGGAGATCTGTGAAGAGGATGAGAACATGTGACATGGAAGGAGGACAGTTGGAGTTGGTTATGGTGAGGGTGACGTATTTGTCTCAGTCAAGTGAAGTAGGGTACAGTTCAAGGAGTGGGGTCGGGAGCTTGAAGTCGGTGAAAATGAAATAGTGACTTGAAGCAGGTCACAGAGTCAACTAAAAGCCAAGCAGAGTCTCCGTGGGTCTTGGCAAGGGCTCCTGCAGACTGGTCCTGCATTCATTTGAATAATCTGATACTGGAAGCTACTCTTTATTTTCTGTCCTATTAGGTGTAGATCAGAAACAAATTGAAGAACAAAAGGAAGAAGAAAAAATACGGGAACAGCAAGTGAAAGAACGAAGGCAGAGAGAAGAAAGAAGGCAGAGTAACCTACAAGAAGTTTTAGAAAGGGAACGAAGAGAACTAGAAAAACTGTATCAGGAAAGGGTAATAAGTATGACTTGATTCTCTGAACTGGTTGCTCCATTGTACACCTTTCGTAAGTACATTGAGCTCAGGGAGGGGAGTCAATTGGTGTACAAAGTCAGAGGTGCGGCAGATGCCTTAAAAGGCATCCCTGTCCTCTCCTTGTCTTAAAAGCAGTGGGAAAGGCTGCACAGAATGTGAAGCTTAGGAGTTTTGTAGTAAAGGATAGTTTTTGAAGGTAATTTTTGTACATTCTCATCTGATCCTTAAAACAAGCCTGTAAAAAAGGTAGACTGTGCTTTGCTGCAGAACTTTGCTTTGAAAACAGGGTTTAAAGAAGAGACTGTCAGTGCCAGCTAGCTGGGACTAGAACCCAAGGGAGGAGTGGCTGCCAGTTCACAGTTGCTTCCAGGGGCACACACTCCCTCCCTCCTTCCTCTATTTCTCTTCTTGCCTTCTGTGTCCCAATTCTAGTCCTAGCAGATGGATTACTCTGTCCACTTAACACACCTGCTAAGTCTTGCTTGAATTACTCTAACATATGAATGTTCCTTGGACTCTTGGTTAATTCAAGTCCAAAGCACAGGACACTTGCCAATTAATACCTTCCTTCATTGAGATGACATATTTGTCTTCCTTTGATGATAGCAATGACTTCAATTTTAAAAATTAGTCCTCTGGCATACAGGCTGTACTTGAAGGATCGGGATTAATATTAGTGCATTTTTAAAACACTTAAAAGTTTTACAAATGTATTTGTGTATTTTCTGTTTTGGTGCCTGTTTTATAGAAGATGATTGAAGAATCACTGAAGATTAAAATAAAAAAGGAATTAGAAATGGAAAATGAATTAGAAATGAGTAATCAAGAAATAAAAGACAAATCTGCTCACAGTGAAAATCCTTTAGAGAAATACATGAAAATCATCCAGCAGGAGCAAGACCAGGAGTCGGCAGATAAGGTGCCAGTGCCATGGGCAGGGCAATCTGTGGGTGGGGGACATCCAGGGCTTCCGTGGCTTAACTTCTTGGGACGGGAATCCGTCTTCTCCATTGAAGACAAAAAGGTGAAAAGTATAGAAAATCCAAAGTTCAAATGGAACCTTGAGTCTTTTAAATATACTATTCTTTTGACAAAAATTCATAGCTTTTTTGCTTAAGGTAAAAGATTTAAGAGATTTTAATTTGTAAAAGTTGGGGTGGCTCATTAAGAAAGAAAAGATCTATCAAATGCATTAATACTGACATTAATATTTTATGTAAGTCTGAAGTATTATGGGTGTTAAATGCATACCCTATAGTTTATTTTGATGTGCTTGCTAAATTTCATGTTTAAAAGTCACCTCTTTTTTAGACTTTTAAATTACATATATATTTCAAAAATGGTTCTTAAAGTATTTCATGAAATTAATGCATATCTAATTTCAAAATTTTCCACCCTCTCCATGTAATCAGAGCTCAAAAAAGATGGTCCAAGAAGGCTCCCTAGTGGACACGCTGCAATCTAGTGACAAAGTCGAAAGGTACCTGTTTTCCCTACACACTTTCATACACAAACTGTTAATTGCTTATTTTGTCAGCCAAGAGAAACAGATGTTTGAGATTGCCTGTAAGAAGTTATTGAATCAGTCAAAATTAGTGACTATAAAAACAATTGAGTTTTTTGACTTGTGAAATTGATCCTGATATAAATTGTAAACTAGGGCAGAAACCCCCCAGGGAAGGAATTGAGAACATT
Source organism: Homo sapiens (assembly GCF_000001405.40). Taxonomy (NCBI): domain Eukaryota; kingdom Metazoa; phylum Chordata; class Mammalia; order Primates; family Hominidae; genus Homo; species Homo sapiens. Next base: position 13,769,001 of record NC_000023.11, read on the forward strand.
ATGAAGATAGCAAATAAACTTGACACAAATTTTTACATTTTAATTTTTATCTTTCCCTAATTTAGTTTAACAGGCTTTTCTCATGAAGAACTAGACGACTCTTGGTAACCATGTTTGCTGCCCAGCTTCTAACTTACATACCGTGAGAAGTTACGTAACATTTACTCCTTTGTAAATGTTTCCCTATCATCAGACAAAACTCAATAAAAATGTGTGTAATCCAATGTGGGTTTTTTTTTCCATAATTAATTTTGATACCATAGTGTGTGAACCAAGAATAATCTAGTCACGTGAAACCTCTTCTCCAGTCATAGTATTTCTCATTCATTATAATAAAAGTAACTGGCTTTTAACCTCCTTATTTTTGTCTTAAATTTATAAATGAGTATAACCTATCTTACTGCTCAACTGCAGGCCTACATTTTGGAAGTATAAGCTGTGTTCTTTCCTCTCCAAAGTTGGGCTGCCACCTGTAAAACAGGAGGTCATTTTTCCTAGCACACTCCTGTTTTGTCCCTGAACATAAAAACAGATTTTTCTAGGCATTAGAAATAGTAAGAAAGATACTGCCTCTGGTCTTTACTTCTGATGTCTGTGGTTTGTATGTATGTGTCCCTCCAAAATTCATATGTTGGAATTTAAACCCCCCCGTGTGATAGAATTAAGAGGTGGCACCTTTTGCAGGTGACTAAGAGTGGGATTAGTGACCTTATAAAAGGGCTCAATGGAACTAGCTAGGCCCTTTTGCCCTTGCACCATTTGAAGACACTGCATTGATCCCCTCTGGAGAACACAGCAACAAGGCACCATCTTGGAAGCCGAGACCGGGCCTTCACCAGACATCGAACCTGCCAGTGCCTTCCTTGATCTTCGACTTCCCAGCCTCTAAAACTGTAAGAAATACATTTCTGGTCTTTGTAAGTTACCCAGTCTAAGGTATTTTGCTATAGCAGCAGGAACAGACTGAGATAGCATCTTTATTATGGAACCTTTGGTCCTCATACTTAATGAATGGGCGTATTTCCTTTGTTTTTAAATGAATGGGCTCCTTCCCTATAATTGACTTCATCTCTTAAAAAATCAAGTTTTACAAGGCAGAACTGGAAAAAAATCTCTACTGAACCCTCTAAAGGGTCCTAGGTTTCGTGGCAGGATCACTATGGGTAATTAAGAGGCTGCTTGTGATTTTATCTAACCATTATTTACAGTTTTCCTCTGGTGACTCATGTGACTTAAATAATTGCACAAAATGCTACTTAAACAGAAGATACTAAGTAGTGTGACAAATAGCACACTAATTGAGCCTCCTGATTGTTCTGCCATGCATGAAGGAAGGGTGATGATCTAGAGTCAGCACCTCATTTAGGAATGGCCATGTGTCAATAGTGACAAAGGCTGGGCCTCACTAAGAAAGGTCAGACGCAGAGAATCCAAATGCATAATCATGTTGAGAGGTAAGAGTTTAAACAGATTATAAAATAAAATCCTAAGTAACATATTTAGCTTGGCTACTCTAGAGAGTCAACTGTTAGAACTAGGTTTTTTTGTATTCCAGAGTAAATCTTTCAATAGACTTTTGTACCTTTGGTTTGAAAAATAACTACACACATGCCCTTATTTTGTTTCTGCTTTGCCCACGTTTAAGCTTTGTTGATCCTATAGGTAGATGGCATTTATTTGTTGAAAAACTAGTCAGAAAAATTCTTACTTTATAGAGAACTACAGACGTGCTAGTGGCACTTTTATGCCCAATACAGCCCAGTGGATTATTTAATATTTTCTTTAATTGCTGAAGAGATTTTTGCCAGAAATAAAACAATTAGCACTCACAGATTTGATTTCCATACCAATGTGAAATCTTGACTCTGCACATTATTCAAAAGTGAAACCATACTGAGAACAAAGAAAGATAGGATTTATGTATGGTAAAAAGGCAAGTGAATGAAGCTATAATTTTATTTCATTACTCTTAGTACATCCACAACTATTTCCACCTAAATAGATCTTTAAAATAAGCATACACAAGTATTGACTATTATCTACAAATATTTATTGTAACACTTGAATAGAACTACAGGAAGCCCTTGGCACTGATAGAAAATATTGATTCACTGTTAGGTTACAAAAATTTATACATAGCAAAATTTAATGCTCTTTACATAAAAAATATTAGACTACTTAAACAAAACTTTCAAAAATTCCTGGTAATAGCTACCAGAATTAGAAAAGTAAAATTAGGCTTTAGACACTGCCTCTTCTAGAACACTGGACTCTGACAGCACCTCCACTGCTGGAAAGAATAGTTAAATCTGTCATGCAACAGGAAAACAAAACACTAAGCTATTTTGGAACAACTGTTCTACACAGAAGAGAGCTTCTCTTAATTTAAAAAAAAAAAAAAATCCCAAATAGGCATTTTTAGGCATTAACCAAAAAAGAGAATCCAAATGAAATATTATACTTGATGTTCAATTTTAATAGCATCTTGATAAAGGTATGCTTCCTTTCATTTGAATACATTTCTGCACATGTATGTTATAAAATCCAGGAAACAGCCAAACCACAAGTTAACTCTTAACAATGAATATACATAGTTAACCCTATAGTAAGCAGCCCCTTTGAAAAGCACTGATGCACCCAACAGTTATATGGATCATTTCATAAAGAGCAACACAAAGTTTACCATCACTAATACCCAGTACCTACAGTCACTTAATGTTCTGGAACACAATAATGTAAAAGGCAAGTTTCTTTTGAAAATGGCTTAAACTCAAGCAGTTCTCTTGCTGAACATCAAACTTTATTATTCCAGGAAACTAAGATTTAGATAAGAAAAAAATGAAATACCAACCCTAATTTAAATTACTTAAGTATTCAAGTCTATAAAAGTAGGAGGTTAGAGGTCTGTGGTCAATTTGCAATTAGGTTTTAGATAGTTGGTATGAAACTGTAAACTTCGTATCCAGACCACTGAAAAATGGTTTAGAATGGTGGTCATTTTAATAAGGTAACACTTCTTAATAATTAAGAAAAACATTTATGGAACAAAATTCTGTGAAAGATATTTGGGTCTCTAGTTATGATATAAATTCTTAGAAATTTAAAGCAAATACTCATTAAGGCAAAGCTGACATTTCTCAAGAATAATGAAAATTGGATCAGTATTTTGTTAAAATGAAATCTGTTATAAAATTGCTTCTGGAAAGCTTGTCAGTGAGTCCAGCATCCAGATTCTTTAATAGTAGGGTCAGCAGAATTGTAGCTAATTTTAGCATTATTGAAAAATATATTTCTGATTGGCTCAGGAAATTAATGGGTCCTGGACTTGGGAGGGAAAAGCTAGTTTGAGAAATCAATCATAAGAATCACATTATCTTTGATCCAAAGTTTAATAAATGTCAGCTGTCAGAAATGGAACTTTACATCAATTCCATTTTATTTCCTATGTAGATAACACTTGAGGACAGATGGCATATATGTGAATTTACGGTCTTATCCCTTGATGCTGGGCATGTCACAGGTCCTTATTAAGGAGTCACAGGTCCCTATTAAGGAGTGTGACATATTCCATTGAGTGTCTTGGTAGAATTGCCCTAGCAATAAATGTGAACATGCCACAAATTCCCAAAGTATGAACGATCATTTTGTCAAAGTGTTGCCTTTTAAAATGGCTAACATGAAACCTCCAATATTTGTTCTAAAGAAAAAGATTTACCCACTGGAAGGTTTTCCTAGAGATACATCCCAGCAGCTTGAGACAGACAGTGAAGTGTTTGTACATCTACATTAGTTTGGTGGGATACACATCTGTACTGCAGAGCAGCTGTCTGATGATTTGTCAGAGCTGTAAATACGTCGGCCGAAACACTCTGGCAAACATTTATGTGTAAGAATTGAGTTGTTCTTTTGACCGAGACTGGATATCTTGCAGTTCCTGTTCTTCCTTTGCTTTGATATCCTGGTAAGCCTGCATTTTGCTCGCATCCTTTAAGTAAGCCCAGTTAGAAGACAGTATCATGAGGAAGTGGATCTGGAAGAGAAGGGTGAGCATGATGGCTAGTGAGCATTGTGAGAAGGCAAAGCGAGGCGCTAGTTAGATTAGACAGACTTGACTTTAAAGGGGCGAAGGTTAATTCTGTATTAATAAATACTCGCTCTACTAGCAGAGCTGTCAGATCCTGAAAGCATGCTCTACTAGTTGGCTTCGCATTAAAAGGCTGAAGAAAAGTTAGTATACAAACATAGTGAACTGGAAAAAAATGGCCAAAGGTATTGTTAAGAAAAAGCAAAAATGAAATACGAGAGGGTGCTTTTTTTTTTTTTTTTAATACCATTTTGAGAGTAATTTTAAAGACTAATGCGAAAGTTCGGGAGCACATTGTATATTTGAAATAAGTGTAGTGTGTGCAAAGACCATTTTCTACCTGTGGATAAAAATCAATTCCCCCAAAGGCCTAAAAGCATGAACAATGTTTATTTTGAGTAAATAATTAAACTACATATTTAACATGGAAAAAATTAAATGAATGTCAAAACCAAAATTAAGAACTATAAGCAAAGCATGCAGTCTCTGTTAACAAAACTTAGTTGTGAAACTACATTTTTCATTTTGTAAATGCCATTATTTCATTTCATAAAATGTAAAAATCCTCAGTATCATTCTTTACACTTGATGCGGCAAACACTTCTTTCCTATTTTCCTCGTATTTCCTGCAAAATAAATCTACATCTCAAGTTCCTTATAGTTCATACTTTCTTCTCAACATATTTGAGACCTTCAGGTCCAGGCCTATTTTCTCTTCCCGTTAAAATCTTACATGCAGCTTGAGAACTAGCTATGAGGAAACAGTTAGTTATTACTTACCAAAACACACAATTTAAGGTTACCAATTTTGTGGGCTCTAACAGAATGATTGTGTTGTACCAAAAAAAAAACTACCCACATATAAATCCTTTTTTTTTTTTTTTTTTTTTTTTTTCCAGAGAACTGGGTGACCTTTTTCTTCAAATTTTCATCTGGCTTATTTGAGGGTCATTTGGTAGTGAACCATGTGATCATAAAAAAATTGTTTTCAATTTAGAACATATTTGCAAAGTATTTTCCAGGTGTGACAAAACAAAATCCAGATTAAAACGGTTCTCTTCCATTTCATCTTCAGCACTTGTTTTCATTTTCATCATTGAAACTGGTTATCAGGCAATCAAAAATAACAGAAAATGTAAGTATTCCAAAGTGTTAATAATTCATTTAAAGATACTGCTCTCTAATGTTTAAGTATGAGAACATTATTTTAAAAAGGATGCTCACCACTGTCAGTAAATAACTGAATCCTTTTCAAAATGTGGAAATAGCCACCAGATCTCATTATTGTGTAATTCATGTACAGTAAGTCATCTTATTAATCTACCATGCAAGGTGAGTTTACTAAAGCTATTTACAAATTACTGTAACAAAATTGCAGAAACCTAGACTCTGCTTTAGTCTGGAGTGTCAGTGATATTTCATGCTACAGAGCATAGCTCTCTAAAACTCCTTATGCAATTTAGAATTTAGTGCAGCAATCTTCCCGACTCTTAAACTTCAAAACCGCATAGTTATATGTAGTAGCCATCATGTAGATCAGCTGGTGGAAGAGAACAAAACAGGACAGTAAGATACAGGCAGTGAGGGCCGATGCCATGACACTTCTAAACTTGGGTGGGGACGGGTGCCTGCTCATAGTCTAAGGTGTTTTTTTCCCACTTAAAATCACAACAGACAATTTTCCTATCTAGCACACACAAACTTTTTCTCATCACACATGTACAATGTAAGTCATTGGTTCTGCCCTCAGTGAGTTTACTAAAAGGACTTGGATGCGTTTCAAGAATAACAAGACAGAGAGCTGGGTCAACAGCATGAGAAGGATGAAGCTAAATGCCTTAATCCTCTCATCTTTCCAAAACCACCTGCTCAGCAGCAGGCAGTTATCTTTCCTCCCTGTTGCTCAACCAAAAGAACAGGTCACCCCATGATTTTAAAGGTGGTTTTTTTCATAGATTCTAAGGGGATTTAATGGTCAGAAAAACTGGGAATGAATAATTTACAAGCAGCTGAGATTTTTCCCTTGCTCTACCAATCTTAGTTGGTTTTCCTGAAATCACAAACCAAGCCCTCCAAAATTACATGTATACAAACATACATACATAAGAGCGTGTATTTATACAGTTGATTTTCATTACTTGTAGATTCCACATTTGTGACTGCCTACTTGCTAAGATTCATTTGTAATCCTTAATACTTGAGGCACTTCTTTCGCAGTTATTAGCAGACATGTGCAGAGCGGTGAAAGTTGAGTTGCCCGGTATGCACATTCCCAGCTGAGGCTGAACAAGGCAATACTCTGCCTTCTTGTTTCAGCTCTCAGACTGTAAATAAGTATACTCGAAGTATATTTAGTGCCACGTTTTTCACATTTTTGTGCATTTTGTGGGTGATTTTGCTGCTTAAAATGGCTCCCAAGCATAGTGCTGCAGTGCTGTCTAGAGTCCCTAAGTGCAAGAAGGTTGCAAACTGCCTGACCAGAGAAAATGTTCATTAGAGAAGCTTCATTCAGGCATAGGGATAGAGCTATTGGCCATGAATTCAATATTAAGGAATCAACAATATATATTAAATACGGTGTATTTACACAGAAACACACGAAACAAGCTTATGTGTTGATAGGTTGCTGAAAATGATGTGACCAGAGGCTCACAGAAACCTAGCCATGTATTTCCCCTAGGAGCAGTGGTCCAGCATTCGCTAATTCATTGCTTGAGGTGACTTTATGGAACACAGCTACCCTGTATGAGTGACTATATAAATGTATGTATATGTGCATATCTCCACTTGTAAATTAATATCCCTTGGCAAAGAAATGGGTAATGCCTCACGTGAGCATTGCATCTGTCTGCGACTGAAGTCATGAAGCTAAGTGCTCAGTGCAACAAGGTAATATGCTAGGCCTAGTTGATAGGTGTTGATACCCTCTTTTCTTTCCAGAGTCCAAATTACATCACCTACAATCAGTGCCAAGGCAACCAACTAATACTTTCTGTAAACTACATGTGGTAAGTTAACACAGGCGCCAGTTAACCAAGGTTGAGTGCCAGAATCATTGGCTTCAATAGGCTGGTAAAAGCTGGAAGGGAAATCTGTCATTTAGAAGCTGGAGGGAGGAGGCTAGACTAGGGTGGTCTTGGGGCCATTACTCACCAGGGCAATGACGGTGGCACCAGCTCCTGCACAGGCCACAATGAACAGGTGATAGGACATGTAGAACTACAAAAGAACAGGGCATCAACATAAGCATTTGATGTTAAATGAAATGGCCTACACTCATTGTGGGGTGCTGCTTCATCTGTCTCCTTTGCAGCTCTTCTCTGCAAGACTGGGCACAGGCCTGCCTTCTCTTCATGCTCTGGCCTCATGGTGGAATCACCCGAGGAGCTTTAAAAACTTTCTGATGCCCAGACTGCCCCCCAAATCGATTAAATCTGAATACCTAAGGGCTGGGCCTCAGCCATCAGTATAACATAGTGCTGCCTTGATGGCTGTAACATGCAGCCACGGTGGGGAGCCCTGCTTCAAGCCACTGCATATTATGGATATACAAATTGACAAGTCAGATAGGGTAGGAGCTGATTATTTCTGTAACTCACTGCTTCTTAAAAGCTTGCCAGGATTTTCTTAAATATACAAGCACCTACGAATGCATTTAAGAATTTTCCTTTATAAACAGTTACAAGCCAATGACTGAAGAATGTTCTAGGGCTGAGACAATTTAAACCAAATTGTTAGGACACACTCCCTAGTAAGGACGAATGAGAATTAGAGAAGTAGCAAGTCATTCCAGAAATATAAATGATTAACTGTGGCCTCATTTATTAAAAGTTGGGTATATACACAAATTCCTCTATGAAATAGAGGGACTCCTCTATGAAAATTAACTTACATCCGTTCTGTGACAGGTGTTCTACTTTGAAAATCTTTCAAAGTAGAAAGAGTAGAAGTAGAAGAGGTGAGAGAAGAATCTAGATATATTATTAGATTTCTAGGTTTGGGATCACCTCTAAATTATTGCCCAAAGGAAAAGCCCTCCACTTCTTAAGGATTCTCACCAAATGTGTTGGACCATATGAAGTGACCATTTTTGTAGGTCAAAAATGGCTGAATAGTGATGGTTACATATAGCTCTATCTTAAAGATTCTAAACAAGGAGCTTTCCTTAATGGCATTTTAACCATCTCTCTCGCTCTTTCTACAGCTGGGAGAACCCTTTTTTCTCAGCCTAATACTCAAGGGTTATTCTGAACTGTGATGAGTTTACCTCGTTTGTGTTGCAGATGTTCTCCAGGGCAGAGCCACATATTTTTCCGGGGAAAGCATTCCAAGGAATGATACCTGTAAAATGAACCCCAATAGGATGTTAGTACAAACTATAGCGCCTCATGTTCTTAACAGACCCCACCACTTCGGATGCCAGTTACAGTGTAATTGTAGGCTATGTTCTTCATTAAGAATTGATGGATCTGCTGTCTGCAGAACAAGCATTTTGGAATAAATAGCCCCATTTGAACAATAGGCCAAAAGCAAAGCCAACTAGTCCATAAGAGATTTAAACAGCCTGATATTTTTTTCCCCTACAAATTGTGCTTTATTCAGTGAGGGTTCACATTTGGAAGTTCATATTTGTAAACATTAATTTTCAAAGCCAGGCTTTCCCTATAGTTACTGCAGGACAACCCCCTCATAAAGCATTTTATCACATTGAGGTCAAAATACATTTCCTCATGAATGCTGTGGTCTGTGGCCTTGCTGTCCAAGCTCTGTTACTGGTCTGCCAGGAGTTAAGTTCCAAAATTGCAAGTATACACTCAAACTTTCATGGCAATTTGACGGAGTAATTTATGTTTGTGGGAATCCAATAAAAAACTCTGGATTTGTACTTTGTCTTTGTTTTTATATTCATTTTTATTATGTCTTATAAACGTATTAGAAAATATTTTTGGACTGAAAATCAAATTGGTTTGTTTTTTTTTTTTTTTGAGACAGTCTTGCTCTGTCGCCCAGGCTGGAGTGGAGTGCTGCAATATTGGCTCACTGCAGCCTCCACCTCCCGGGTTCAAGCAGTTCTCTGCCTCAGCCTCCCAACTAGCTGGGATTACAGGTGCCTGCCGCCATGCCCAGCTAAGTTTTGTATTTTTAGTAGAGACGGGGTTTCACCATCTTAGCCAGGCTGGTCTTTGAACTCCCGACCTCGTGATCCACCCGCCTCAGCCTCCCAAAGTGCTGGGATTACAGGCATGAGCCATCGTGCGTGGCCGGAAATTTTTTAAAAAGAAAAAACACTACTGTCCTTTACCCCAGAGGGTGGGACAAGCAGAGTCTATGATTTCTCTCTCACTTAAACCCTGAGGCTCCTCTGCAATGACAGTTGTCCAGTGGGCTGCTGCTTTTTTTCCCCTTTAATGCATAAGTTTGTGCTTAAATATTAAACACTCCTAGGAGGTTAAGGAAAGGAGTATTAGAAGAAAAAAAATCCTTATTCCTTTCATCCTTGACACGGGCCAAGAGTACATCTTTATACTTCAGAAGCATGGGAAATTACCCCAAATTATCAGTGAAACCAGTAACTATAACAATAAATAGGCAAATATAGAGGATTTAAAAAGATGATTGCTGATTACCAAAAATTTGTGGCAAAACACTTACTTTTAAGGAATAGGAGAATGATATACATTTAGATATTCATTTACAAATAACTTTAACAGCCAACTTTAGGCTCCGTTTTTAGCTCTATCATAAAGAACAGTGTTGTTCAGCCTTGGTCTTTGTGAGAAGAGGTTAGTCTGATAGGTAGTTTCAAGCAAATTTAGTATTATGTTGTAAGGTAAGATGTTGAGACTAAGCCACATGAGAAAAACAGCAAAAATGAAATAGTCATCTCTCTTCAGAAAAGCTCTGGAAGGACAGTTATTTCCTCTTCAATTCTGATGAAAGCTATTCCCCCCCACCCCCGGTTGTTTCTGCCAAGAAAAGATTTCCTACCATGGTGGCTGGAAGCAGTAATTAGACTCCTCCCTCAGGATGCTGCCCTCTTACTCAGCTGCCCTCTCTTACTCAGCAGCGAAGTCAAGTCCCAAATTAACTGACAGGAGGAGCCAGTGGTCTCTTCTGGGGTTTGTCACAATGAACCAACCTTAGATCCCCATTGTAAGGATCTCACTCATTAGAAAATGTTTGAACTGGTTTCTAACAGCTGATAATGATTTATAGAGTATGTTCTGATGACTTTAAAATATGGCTGGATCTAATGTTGTATTTTTCAATACAGATGAAGTTTAAGCAGTTGGTCATTTTAAAAAGACCAGATTTGAGGAGTTGGATGTGCAAATTAATTGAATTATACAATGTGTGCAATATTATTTTGAATGGAAAGTTGGATGTTATAAAACTGAAAATAAAGAAAAAATACAATCTTTTTGTAGCGGAGATCCAGAAGTCTTTTTTGATTGAACTGCATTATAAAGTAGTTTCATATTAAGAAAAGCTTCTTTCACTACACACTTAACATGAAAATATAACGAAATTTTGATACCTAGCAAGCTAAAAGCCTCCCTGAAGTTTCCACCCAGAAAATAGCATATTGAAGGGAAAAGTATAAAATTACTCTAATAGAAGGGATGAAACAGATCATGACAATTAAAAGGATGCGCATGTAATAATTAGGTCCAGACATATGCACGAGAGGATAATGAAATAACTGGGGGAGGGGTGAATTAGAAGGAAGTACCGTATTGTCGGATATCCACACAGATCTGCTCCACACCCGTGGTCCCGTTGGTCTGCGGTGACTTGATGACTTCACAAGTTGACCATATGTTGTAGAACATAAACACGGGCACCGCTGAGAAACCAAACACACCCAGCCAGGCCACTCCAAGCACATAGGTGAGGAAAACGAACTAGGCCAAAACAAGAGGAAGGACAATCATCACTGAAACAGGTAGATGTGTGTCCCCTAAGTGGAAGGATTGTGCATTTTCAGGCCCAATACTGACCTGTGGAACACATTGTGGGGACCCTCGCCCCGGCATTGGTAGCAAGAAGGAAAAGCCAGCACGGGAGCAGGGGAAGTAAGAGCCAGCCACATTCCCCAGAGCTAGAGGATCTAGAATTGGAGTGCCCGAAGCAATGTCAGGGCCTTTCGGGTCACTCTTAACTAACAAGGACAGGAGACCCCAAGAGGTGATCTCACTCATCCAAGGTCACAGAGCTAATCAGTGGCAGCCTCTCAAGAGGTGCTCTTTCTAAATAGCCGTTCTGAAAATGCAGAACATGCTACTTAACATGGGATAGATTCTGGATGTATTCCATATACCACTGAATTATAACTTCATATTAATTTCTCAAAAGTTACCTTTATTTTTCGTAACAGGTTGGCTCACAGAGAATAGCAATTGCCACAAGAAGCCCTCTCAAAAAGAACTTTGCTAGTTTCCTGATTCTGCAAAATTACCAAAAGTTTCAAATAATCACGAATACAAGCTTAATGCTCGATCTATAAAATTCTCATTTTCCTCTACTTTTCTTTTGTCTCTAAGATTCACAGCAGCTTTGCAAGCAAAGCAACGGCTTAGGGAAAAAGCTTCAGGTGTTCACCCACACACTGTCATGGGCAATCCAGGAAGAATAGAATCCCGTTGCTTGGCTTTCCTCTGCCTTGACCACTTTTCAGAGAGCTTTGTGAGGCGGCCTCAAAAACGTGGTATTTGTGTTCTCAGAAGGCGCGCCCACAGAGGGTGTGGAGTGCTAGTTTGGCTTTTCTATTTTGAAGCTGATGGTGGAGACCTGATGGTCACCCCTAACTTTCTGTGCTGCAGGAGATACCTGGGCGGTTGGAGGCCACCTCCTGATGGTCACAATGCCAGGAAACTGCAGAAACGAGACACTTTCCCTTGCACTGCAAGGAAGCATTTGCATCTCCAAAAATATTCAGAGAAGCAGATTTCAGCAGTTCCACCTCCCACTTCCTCCCACTGCTGCTCCAGACTAGGTTTCTTTCCCTTCAAAAGAAAACAGGACCTGAGCAGGAGGGAGCTGGTGGTTCTTGGCTTCAGTGAGCCTTCCCTTCTGTCAGAGGCCAGGACTCCAGAGGGAAGGCCACTGTCCCCCTCCCAGAGGTCCCCGCTGCGAGCTGGCCCTGTCATGGAGGCCTCTAGCGTCCAGAGCTGCTTCCTCAGTGAGTTCCTGGGCACAAACCTCCCACACAGGACTACGAAAGAAAAATCTCCAGACCCCCAAATCACTAAGCCAAAGGGAAAAGTCAAGCTGGGAACTGCGACAGGCAAATCCCCCATTCTATTCCTAAACAAGATAGCACAAAGATAAAGCTACATACCTCCCTCACAATTTGCCCACAAGGAAATTCCTCGTGGACAAAGGACAGAGCTCAAAGTCATCCCTCTGAGGCTCATGTGAGACAAATGCATATCTGATTGCTTCCTCTGCCCTGTCTTTTCACCAAGCCAGACCAGGCATAAGTGACTATTCCTCTACCCTCCTCTCCCATGTGAATTGTATATTCAATGAAAGGCTAATCAGAGACCCAAAAGAATGCAACCAGTTGTCTCTCACCTACTTGTGACCTGGAAGCCCCCTCCCTGCTTCGAGTTGTCCCCACCTTTCTGGACGGAACCAATGTACATCTTACATTCATTGATAAATGTCTCACGTCTCCCTAAAATGTATAAAACCAAGCTGTGCCCTGACCACCTTGGGCCCATGTTGTCCGGACCTCCTGAGGCTGTGTCATGGGTGCATCCTTAACTTTGGCAAAATAAACTTTCTAAATTGGCTGATACCTGTTTCAGATACTTTTGGGTTCACAGGACTGAGGAGACAAAGGCCTTTGGTGATGGAGTGGCAGCTTTGCTTCCCTAGCGGGCAGATCTCATCCACCTTCTCCACCTCACATGACTTTCTGTCCTGTTTCTGTCCCCAGCATCCTCAGCCCTGCCCCGTCACCTGCATCTTCCTCACACCCTCCAAGGCAGGTCAGCATTGTGATCTGTTAAGCGTATGGATGAAACGGAAGCACATGAGGTGCCAGTGGCCAGAGATGCAGACAGCGCATGAATGACTGGCAATGAAATCAAGCAAGATGGTCAAGCTCCTCTCCAGTCTAAGGGGGCTTTCGACTTTCTCCAACAAAATCTGACATAAGAGCTAAAAGCGGGCCATGCTAGGTGGGCTGTGGATCCCTCACAGTGTCCCCATCTCTAGGTGAAGTGCCACTAGCTCAAGTACAAACAAGCTCCTCTCCTCTCCACCATGTACTGTGTCCTGACCAATGCTCAAAGGATCCAAATATGTTAAACATCAGGCAGTGGATGACTTAATGCTGTGCCCTGGTGGAAACTAGACCTCTATTTTTGAAACTTGATGGGTAGAAGTGAGGGGGAAAGCTGTCATTTTAAAGCTGTGAGGAGATGTTTTTGGTTTTTTTTTCCTTTGGAGGAGGATTCCCACTATTTGTGGCTATTTTCCCTCTGCTTTCCACAGGCATTTTATTTAACAGCTGCCTCCTTCCCCTACAAAAGTAACCATTCCCCTGACTTGTACAGGAGGCTGAGGCAGGAGAATCGCTTGAACCCGGGAGGCAGAGGTTGCAGTTAGTGGAGATCGCGACACTGCCCTCCCCAGCCTTGGAGACAGAGTGATGCTCCGTCTCAAAAAAAAAAAAAAAAGAAAAAAAAAAAAATTCTTGGCTCTTGAGCTGTACAAAAACAGGTAGTAGGTCAAATTTGGCCCACAGCCCCTAGTTTGCTAACCCCTGTCTTAGACTATAAGCTGCTTGAGAAAGCAGCCTGTGTTTTAATCTTTGCACCTCTAGTGGCTAGCAAAGCCCAGCTAGGCGCTCTGTACAGCAGGTACTGGTAAGTATTTACAGAAGGATCAGGACGATTTTCCATGGTTCATGTATGTCTTTATGGCTATGATCCATATTTAAAGACAACCAAAGGGGAGCACTGAGACCACATGAAAGTTACCTCCTTCTATAGTGGGAACTTGGCATTTGAAAAATCTTCAGCACCCTTTTCACCTTTACACTGATGAAAACATTTGATTTATTTCTGCCAGCCATAGACTTTAGTTTACTATCAATAGCATGTTGAAGGTTTTTATAGTCCTAACTCTAAATTGGTAAAGCCAATATTTGTGTCATGGACCCTCCATTCACGCTCGATACCTGGTAGCTTTTGCCAAATACAAGGAAATACATCAAGGCATGGCTCTGGTTGTATATCAAACAATCAGTTATCAGAGGTTCAACTCACCATTCCACTGATGCATCGGCCACAAGCGGTTGTTTTAAACTCACCGTGCAGTTCTTTCACTGCACTTGTGGTGTAAAAGCCTTCTGCCAACAGAATGATCCCATACAAGAAGAAAAAGGACGCAATTCCATAGATGACATACTGCATCAGTTGTATCCTACAAAGAGAAGAAGAGATCCTGAACCATTAAATTCACTGCCTGGTAGTGACTACGTTTCTGGACGCTGGAGAGAGGACATGAGGGGGATGTTCCTGTGAGTGCGTCACTCGCCCCACTGATGGCTTTGATGGACTTGTGGGGCATCCTGGGCGGCATCCCTGCCCATGTCCCAGCAACCTGGGCCTTCCTTCCAAGGTGGGAATGATGTTTCCTTTGCTCAGGGCAGCATCCAGTTGTAATCTTTTAATCCTTACCTGAGTCCTGGGCGGCAAGGGTTAGAATCCTCATTTTGCACATAAGTAAAACACAGGCATTGAGGAGTTAAGCTCCTCATCGGAGGATACACAGTTAGTGGCAAAGCCAGCATCTGAACCCTGGCCCAATGGACAACATGTTCTTTCTGCCCTTTCAAAATGCCTCCCAACCAGGCCTAGTGGTTAATGTCACTCTGATAAAACCCCTAAGTAGGCACTCAGGGCTTCTTTAGGGGGTAATCTGGGGAGATGTCTTTTGCACTGTGACTCCCACCACACAAATAGTAGTAGGTCGAGTAGGTTTAAGATACAGAAAGTTAATTCACAATGCAGTTTGTCCCACAAAAGCTAACAAAGACAAATGACATGTCCTCAGCCTTCGGCTGCCCACTGGAATCACCTGGGGAGCTTGGAAAATACTGGTACCTGGATCCCGCCCCCAGAGATTATGTCCTAATTGGTCTGGGGTAAGGCATGGGGATTTTCTTAAAGCTTCTCAGAAGTTTGAGAGCCACAGACTGAGATCACTACCTAATTAAATCAACACACCTTTCCCAGGTTCAGTCTTGGTAAACATTTCTTCTTTGCACATAGTTGGAACTCAGTGAGTCCCCTGTCCTGCTTGAGCCCTCCTTATAATCTCCCCAACCTGTGTTCATTTCTTTGGAGGTCATTTGTGAACAGATAAGAAAGAATAAAATTCCCTAAGGACTGAAGAGTCTCCAACATGACTCCATGACCATTCCATAAAAATTCATTCATGTCTTTTTCAGTCTGGTGAAGAAGTTTCTTATAATCATAAGACACACTAACACTGGAACTTTGGGATTCAAGGGAAGAAAAAGAAACGGTAGAAGGAAATGGAGAAAGGGGAAGACATGTGAAGGAAATAAGTAGATTGCTGCTGAGCTTGCACAGCTACAAGAATCTATGTGTGGGAGTCACTGCGACTCCATTGAGAATGTTTCCAGAAAGAAAGGCAGAGATCTGCTGCTAAACCCCTGGACCTTCCTCTCTTCTGCAATGGAGGATGCCCTGGGATCTGCTCTTCTGCAATGGAGGATGCCCTGGGATCTGCTCTTCTGCTGGAAGAGTTAATGTTAAAATACTGCTCCTGTAGGCTTAGAGTTGGGGTCAGTCCTCAACAGGGCTCCTACCATTCCAGGGATGGTCACTTCCTGGGAGAAAGCTGGAGGCATCTGTTACTTGGGAACAACACAATTCTGTTGAGACAATCGGCAGCATCACCTATCACCATGTCACAGCTCCCCATGTCCACAGCTACCATGTGTGGAGTGTCCTATGTGTGCACCTTACCATTCCCAAGTAACATTCCACCCTGGGGCCTAAACAGCTACCATATTCTAGGCCCTTTCTTTTTCCTTCTCTCATGAACCTTTTTCTAACTACATAAAGTGAGCTTTAAGTAAAAGCATTCATCTTCTGCTAGGAAAGCACACTGTAGTCTTTCTGAAAAACATCATGAGGTGGTTGCATCTCAGATACTTTTTTTTTAAACAAAGTATCACTCTGTCACCCAGGCTGGAGTGCAGTGTTGCCATCTCGGCTCACCAGCTCACCGCAACATCCACCTCCTGGGTTCAACTGGTTCTCCTGCCTCAGCCTCCCAAGTAGCTAGGATTACAGGCACGCACCACCACGCCCAGCTAAATTTTTTTTTGTATTTTTAGTAGAGGTGGCGTTTCACCATGTTGGCCAGGCTGGTCTTGAACTCCTGACTTCAGGTGATCTGCCTGCCTCAGCCTCCCAAATTGCTGGGATGACAGGCATGAGCCACCACGCCAGGCCTTAGATGCATTTTTAAAGGGAACCGGATACTTACACCTCGCTCAGCAAGGCATGGTCACTGGCGTTGGTGGAGAAGTGTTGCTCAAGAATCGCCACGGTGCCTGCGAGAGCCACATGCCCACAGCCGCAGAATAAGGCCACCCCGGAGAAGCAGAGGATGGTGGCCACCAGGGAGGCGTAGGGGACTCCTCCCAGACACTTGATGCAGCATTCAAAGCAGCCTGAACCCAAAGGAGAGAAAATATAGCCGTTACGGGCAAGAACACCTCTGGTCTTCAAGAATACCCCATATTCACAGAGAAGGCTTACAATTTTCCATCTCCCCTCTCAGGCTCTATGGTTAATATTAATACTTCGACATCCCAAGGGCCAGTGTGGTAGTTACCGTGATCTCACATTCTGCGGTGAGGACCCTGAGGCTCCAAAAGGGAATGTAACTTAATTTGCTCAGAATCTGGAAGGGTAGTGAATGGCAGAGCAGTCAATTGACAAAGAGTTATAAGGTAGTTACAGTTCTAGAGCTTCCTGATCGACTGAGTGGTGGGGGGAGCCCCGCTCAAGTGCCA
Source organism: Homo sapiens (assembly GCF_000001405.40). NCBI lineage: Eukaryota > Metazoa > Chordata > Mammalia > Primates > Hominidae > Homo > Homo sapiens. Next base: position 13,786,154 of record NC_000023.11, read on the forward strand.
ACAAGAAGCACTCATTCCACTAACACAGTCAAAAGAGAGGACAGCAGTGAAGCTGCAGCTCTGTGAAGAAAAGCAACAGTCAGGTCGTCTCCAGCCTCACAGTTCTGGGGTTTCAATACGTCTGCTGCTGTGGCAACCAACGGCTTTCCCCAAGCCCTGGACCTCCGGGGCAACTGGGAGAATCTGATACAGCAATTATGCCGTCGCCAGGTTCAAACAAATAGCAAGGTGATTGTTTTGGAAAGGTCACAGGTATTTTGGTCCATAATTCAGTGAAGAACAAAGTCACCAAGAGCCACTCAAGTGGGTCTACTCAAGTTTCATTCAAGTTGACATCAGAAATTATCTCAAATTTTTAATAAAAATGCTTCCCCCCAGCCCAGTCAGCCCAAGCAATTCATTCACAGTCCTCCTCCTCCCCGGCTTCCACCTGCCCCCTTCCCCGACACACACGTTCAGAGTCAGAACCCAGAACTGGTGGGTGATATTTAAGTACTTGAAGGAGAAAAAAGAACAGAAGAAAAAAACAAAACCAAAATGAACATCCATGAAGTGGAATGAAGGAGAGACAGCCGTAAGTCACTCTTAATCTTGAAAAGACGAGACTTGTATTCATTTTTAAAATAAACTTTTACTTGAGATGTCCATAAAGACCTGCCTCAGGGGCAGAGCCAGGTGACGTTTTCAGTTTGGAGACATTTACGTTTCAGTAAAGGCAGCACTGGCCTCAGGATAATGTCAGTACCTCTCCTAACCTCCTGTCTCTGTTTATATTATCCAGACCCTTAAGTAAATGGCTTGTCGGGGAAATTGAACTTTAAACGCATTATGGTGTTTAGCAGCAATCAAGGGCACTTCATTACTTTAGGGCAAGCACATTAAGCCAGCAAAAAAAAAAAAAAAAAAAAAAAAAAAATCCCCCAAATGGTCTTCATAGTTGTCATGGAATGACAACCCAGCATAAAACACCATAGATGAATGTTTTCATTTTAGTGAGCATTCCTTTTAAACTAGCATTCGCTTAAACCTATGGAAAGTGACTATGAAAACTCATTACTAGATTTCTCTTTAGTTCATTAGAAAATAAAAAATATCAGGGCTTCATAAGAAAGCTGTGCTTCCTTTAATTTCAAAAGATGAGCAGCTGTTTTTAGGAAGACCAACTTCCCTGAAGTGGATTGGGGAAACTATATAAAATGGGAACCATCCTGGCTAACACAGTAAAACCCCGTCTCTACTAAAAATACAAAAAATTAGCCGGGTGTGGTGGTGGGCACCTGTAGTCCCAGCTACTTGGGAGGCTGAGGCAAGGGAATCGCTTGAACCCAGGAGGAAGAGGTTGCGGTGAGCCGAGATTGCGCCACTGAACTTCCAGCCTGGGCGACAGAGCAAGACTCCGTCTCAAAAAAAGAAAAAGGGAACCAGTGCACAATATGGTTCAAGTTCACTAGCAAGTCAGTATCTTAAAGAGCTTCAGACACTTGGGATTTGTGAGCAGAGATGTTAGAGCTCAATCTTATTTTGTCACATGACTTTCTGGGGACTGAGGTGAGAGGAATGCAACTCAAAGTCCAAATTCTCTCCAGGTTCCCAAACTAAGAGAAACTAGAATCCTTGGCCTTGACGTATCTCATTATAAAGAGAAAACAGACATGGGTATTGTATCATCCACAACCTCCCCACATTCTCAGCCTCTATGATCATGTTAAGAAAAAGATGAATGCCTGCTTTCCTGGCTAACAAAGTTGTATCTGGTTCTTAAAGGATAAAGATGTGAGGCCTTGGGGCTGTGTGGTCCAAAATGGTAGCCACTAAGACATGTAGCTATTTACGTTTATTTAAAATTAAATAAAATGAAAATTTCAGGTCCTCTGTTGCACAAACCACATTTCATATGCTCAAAAGCCACATGGACTAGTGGCTACCGTATTGGACAACACAGATATAGGACATTTCATCATCACAGAACACACTGCTTTGGAAGATACATTTTGAATTGTCACATATTTGATTTTCTATAACCCAGGAGCTGGGTTCTAACTGGGTTTTCTGTTGGATTTCATTAATTCAGTATTTTGTGAAGACCTACTGGGTGCCAAGTACACAAAACTGAAATAAGATACCTTTCTGGCTTCAAGATAAATCCAATACTGCAGGCAGACAAGTAACACAATTATTATAGTCCAGCATGATGGGGGCAAAGATACAGACCCCTGCAGAGCCAGTGGAAAGAGAGTGGAGAGAAGGGGGACAGGGAAGATCAGAAGGGCAAATAATTCATACTGGATGGGTCCTTCTACAGAAAGATCTAGTATCCAGAATACTTAAACAGCTGATGTGGTGACACTGATATATAACCAGATAAAATTGTTCATTAATTCTCTGTGTGTATATATAGATGTATACATCTATATATATTTTTAAACTAAACCCACACCCTTTTTCATCATTTGGAGTTAGGGTTAGGTGTTATGGTGCAGCACACTCGCCCTTTAACGATAGAACTCATCCTTCCAAATCCACAGTTGCCACTTCAAACGGTCTTTCATCCAAATGGTTAGAGCATTCCAAAGAAATATCACAGCTCTCCCAGGCTCAAAAAGCCAAGTGGGGTTAGAAGAATGATGCTGTTCAATCCCAAATTCAATACTAGATCAAAGCTAAAGTTTCCCTCCAATTTATATCTCTCAAGGACTCTGTATATACCTCATGCTGTGGATCTAGTTTTATAACAGCAGGGAAAACCAGGAACTCAAGAATTTGGGGGATCACTTCAATGAATCATGCTCTCTCAGCAGATGCCAATGCTCTTAGGTTTTCAGCAGATGATTTTATTTGTGGCTGTAGGAACCCTGGCTCCTATAGAACAGAAATCACCATCTTTGCTCCACTGGCACAGATAAAACTCTTACGGACTGTGCCAGCCAACATGACTAGAAGCTAGTGACATAAAATATGGGAAAAATTTATAGGACATAATACAGCTGGATGTAGAGCTTATTCTAGCTTGGTTGACCAGTTATCTTCAGGGTTAAGATTGCATGTGTGGTAGATATCCAACAATCTATAAATGGATCACTCTCCACTGTATCTTCTATGTCAGTATAGAAGCCACCTCTGGTCACAGTGTGCATGATATCTTTGAACACTGGGCAATTTAGTCACATATCACACACTCATCCTAGAGGAACCAAAACTGCTGCAAAAAGTTAGTAAGAAAAAGCTAAATGTGTTTATTTAGGAGCTAGAGGATATAGGTAATATAGGAGCTAGACCACCTAGGGCTTTCCAGGCCACCTTAAGAATTCTGGACTTTATCTTCAAAATCATGGGAAGCCTTGACCAGGCGCCGTGGCTCACGCCTGTAATCCCAGCACTTTGGGAGGCCAAGACGGGCGGATCACGAGGTCAGGAGATCGAGACCATCCTGGCTAACACGGTGAAACCCCGTCTCTACTAAAAATACAAAAAATTAGCTGGGCGTGGTGGTGGGCGCCTGTAGTCCCAGCTACTCGGGAGGCTGAGGCAGGAGAATGGCGTGAACCCGGAAGGCGGAGGGTGCAGTGAGCCGAGATTGCACCACTGCACTCCAGCCTGGGTGACAGAGCAAGACTCCATCTCAAAACAAAAACAAAAACAAAAACAAAAAGACAAAAAAAACAAAATCATGGGAAGCCACTGCGTTTTTTTTTTGTTTTGTTTTGTTTTTTGAAACAGGGTCTTGCTCTGTTGCCTAGGTTGGAGTGCAGTGGCACAATCACTGCTCACTGCGGTGTTGAACTCTCTGGCTCAAGCGATCCTCCCACCTCAGCCTCCCAAGTAGCTGGGACCACAGGCCCATGCCACTGCACCCAGCTCATTTTTTATTTTTTAATTTTTTTGTAGTGACAGGGTCTCCTTATGTTACCCAGGCTGTTCTCAAACTCTTGGGCTCAAGTGATCCTCCCGCCTCGGCCTCCCAAAGTGCTGCAATTACAGGTGTGAGCCACCATGCCTGGTCTGCCAGGGAGCATTTTTAAGCATGGGAAACAGATTGGGGTTGTGAAAGATCACTCTGGATGATGTGAAGGGATATATGGATCTGTAGCTGAGAAGAGCTGAACTTGGATGCTGGCAGCTTCTACTGGGCAACAAGGAAAACTATCAGAGGTCAAGAAAAGATATGAGTGGACCATTTGTCATTTGTCAATTCCATGTGCTTTGCAAAGTGTGTTCATTGGACCAGCAGTGTCAGCTTCAGCAGGGAGGAACTTGTGAGAAATAAAGAATGTTGGAAGTGACCCCAGACTGAGTCAGAATCTGCATTTTAACAAGGCCTCTGGGGTGATTTGTGTGCACATGAAAATTTGAGAAGCCCATTTCTAGTCAACAGTGGCATCTTCCCGGTCTCAGGTGTGGCATCCTGAGTCTGTTTGAAGTGCCTGCTTTCATATTCGATGGTGTGTGATGTTTTTTCTCTAAGACGTGGCCCACTGGGTTTGGCCATAACCCTCCAGTCACTTGTGAATCAAATGGCAAGTTCCAAGGACTACAGTTAAGAAAAACAAAATGTTCCAAGTTGTCCAGCCATCTTGAAAAGAGTGCAGCTAGAGTGCATTTTTGTGAGCCAAACAAGTACTGTTAACCTTGGAATTTTTCATGCTTTAGTGTCATGCCATAGACAGGGTCTGAGAAGACGGGAATTGAGTCACCTGAGAAAGCAGATTTCTAAACACACACACTCCAACCACCCCCTAAAGTGCTGGGAGTGCCTGTGCACAAAAAGGAAGTAGATCTGGGATTCAGGCTGTCCTTAGTAGTCATAGGCAAGCTGATGTTTTTAAATATAGGGGTGGTGCCAAGTACCAGCAGAACACCATGCTGTTAAAAGTTTACGATAGCTAAGGAAGATCAGTGCTTTTCTTGGATGCTCCTATAAATCCACAGACTGAATTTTCCCAAGCTTCAAACCAGCAATGACAACATTGGGTAACGTGAACGAGAAAAAATAAGGAAAGCATTTTTTTGATGACTGTGATGTATTCATGTAAAAAAATAATAATCAATGCCAGGTTTTTTTTTTTTCTTTCTTTCCTGAGAAAGAGTCTCACTCTATTGCCCAGGCTGGAGTGAGTGGTGTGATCTCCGCTCACTGCAGCCTCAACCTCCTGGGTTCAAGTGAGTCTTATGCCTCAGCCTCCCTAGTAGCTGGCATTACAGGCACATGCCACCACATCCAGCTAATTTTTTGTATTTTTAGTACAGACGGGGTCTTGCCATGTTGGCCAGGCTAGAATGCCAGGCTTTCTAGCACATTTTACTAGTAATTCTCAATACCTCTCACCAAACCCTAAAAGCCTCTGTTGGGCTGTCTTATGCCTTCATTTAGCTGGCCTCTGGATAAAAAGAATTTTAGGTTTTGATTCACACAAAAATTACAGTGTACATTAGCCTAAGACAGTTTAAATATAAGCCATGTAGTAGGGAAAAAAAAAATACACATCAATGCCTTTAAGTCTCAAAGGCTATTTTGTCTCCAGTATCCCTAGAACCTTTTGTGCAGAACAACAGAATAAAACACCTTTTGTCCTCAGGCTTGTGGATGGCCGTTGCCATGGCTGTGAGTTCATAATGGCCAAGTGATTTGCCCAAGTTGTCTGTGATCTTGGCTGCAGATTTAATGCTGGCTCAGACGTAGGGCTGGCAGGAACAAGGGCTCAGATTCTTCCCCAGGGAATGAATGTCACACATACATACACACACACACACACCCTCCCAAACACCCCCCAACAAACACCACACAAAAAAACCACCCCCTTACCTCTCTACATGGGGCCTTCCTTGCTATATTACTGATTCCTAATGAGCCACAAAATTAAAAAGAAAAGATGCAGGAACCAAGCTTTACAACTTTCAAGCAACAAGCAATGGGAAAATGGAGAGGGCGAAAATCCTAAGAGAAGCAGCAGTGAATGTCAGTGGACAGAAGCTTCCCTGATTCTGAGCTGGCCAAGCAATTCTCAACAGGGGGTGACTGTGCCCCTCAGGGGACATTTGGCAATATCTGGAGATATTTTTCGTTGCCAAAGCTGGGGGAGAGGGTGCTTCTGGCATCTAGTGAGTAGAGACCAGGGATGCTGCTCAACACCCACAGTGTACAGAATATGCTCTTATAACAAAGAATTACCCAGCCCCAGATGTCAATAGCTCCAATGTGGAGATTCTCTGAAGTAGCACAAAAAACATCTACATCGTTTAGACCACTGGTTCCTAATCCAGGCAATTTTGCCACCCAGGGACATTTAGCGGTGTCTGGAGACAGTTTTGGTTGTTACAACTGAGGGTGGGGGACACTACTGGCATCTAGTGGGTAGAGGCCAGGGATGCTCCTAAACCTCCTAGAATACACAGGACAGCCCCCATCCCCAAATAAAGAATGGTCACACCCAAAATGCCAATAGTGCTATAAACCAAAAATAAAACTCTGGGCCGGGCGGGGTGGCTCACGCCTGTAATCCCAGCACTTTGGGAGACCAGGGCAGGCAGATCACGAGGTCAGGAGATCGACACCATCCCAGCCAACATGGTGAAACCCCGTCTCTACTAAAAACACAAAAATTAGCTGGGTGTGGTGGCGCATGCCTGTAATCCCAGCTACTTGGGAGGCTGAGGCAGGAGAATCGCTTGAACCAGGGAGTTGGAGGTGGCAGTGAGCTGAGATTGTGCCACTGCACTCCAGCCTGGCGACAGAGCGAGACTCCGTTTAAAAAAAAAAAAAAAAAAAAATTCTAAGCACCCCCCACCCCACCCCCAACCATCTGAATAGATTCCTGGTCTCTGCCAGGGGGATTCCAAAGTTAGCCTGAAAAAACTAGTTCAGGCCATGATTGGAAGGGAGAGTCAAACATACCTCATTATACCCTCCTCCCTTCTGGAATTCAGGAAAAGCCAACCAGCATTAACATCAACAGACCTTAAATCTGCTAAGAGACATTTACAATCTATTCTCTCTGAAGCCTGCTACCTGGAGGCTTCACCTACAGGATAAAACTTTGCTCTCCACAACCCCTTATCATCATAACCCAGACATTCCTTTCTATGGATTCCAGGTCTTTACATAATTTTTAAATCTTCCTATAACCTGCAAGCCACCCTCTGACCCCCTTTGAGTTGTCCTGCCTTTCCAGATTGAACCAATGTACATCTCACAGGTATTGATTGATGTCTCATGTCTCCCTAAAAGGTATAAAAGTAAGCTGTGCCCCGTCCACCTTAGGCACATGTTATTAGGATCTCCCGAGGCTGTGTCACAGGTTCTTAAGCTTGCTAAAATTAACTTTCTAAATTGATTGAGACCTATCTCAGATAGCTTTGGGTTCACAGTGCCAAGAGTGAGAAACCCTGCTCTAAGGTTACAATACATAATTCTGGTCTCAGACATTTGGTGACACTGCCAAATTCTAAAATCTTAAAAAGAAATGCTTAAAAGAAAACTAACTTTCTTGGAAAACATTATAGAGCAGAGGTTCTCCATTTTTCCTACACATTGGAATAATCTGGGGAGCATCTGAAAATCCTGATGCCCTGGCTTCACCCCAGACCAATTTTATCAGAATTTATTGGGGACGGGACTCAGGAATTAGAGGGTTGGGGTTTGTTTTTTTGAAGCTCCCCCGGTAACTTCAATGAGCACTCAGTGTTATATAGCACAGGTCAGCAAACTGTGGCCCACCAGCTAAATCTGGCTCTCCTCATGGCCTGCAAACTCAGAATGATTTTGACATGATTCCAAGTGGTTACTTTTTTAACCGCTTAGAATATATTAAAAAACCTATTTTGTGACACATGAAAGGTACACAAAATTCAAATTTCTGTGTCTATAAATAAAGTTGTATTGGCACACAGCCACGCTCATTCATTTACATATGGTCTATGGCTACTTTCAAGCTACAAAGGCAGGGTTGAGTTGTTGCCACAGGTATTTACTATGTGGCCCTTTAAAGGAAAGTTTTGCAGACCTCTGTTAAAGAGCAGTGGTTCTCTCTCTCTCTCTCTTTTTTTTTTTTTTCCCAGATACAATCTCACTCTGTTACCCAGGTTCAAGTGCAGCAGTGCAATCTCAGCTCTCTGCAACTTCTGCCTCCTGGGCTCAAGCCATCCTCCTGCCTCAGCCTCCCAAATAGCTGGGACTACAGGAAAACTTTAACCTGCGTATAAATCTCCTCGGGACTTCATTAAAACGCAGATTCTGTTCAGGCAGGTCTGGAAAGGACATTGAGCTCCCAAGAGATTCTATCCTGCCTGCCCACCAGTCTCACTCTGAGCCAGGAGTGGGCCCTCAAAGACGGTCTGTGCAGCCCCGGCAGACCTCAAGATCCTTGCAGGAGGACTGTGAAGCCAAAACTTTTTATAATAGCACCAAGATGTTATTTACTTTTTTCACTGCTTGACATTTGCACAGTAAAACTGCTGATGCCTGAGCGTGAATCGGGCAGTGGCTCCATAGTGTACTTAGCAGGAACACATTCCTCACTACCACGCGCTCGCAAGAAAATAAATTAAAAAGCCAGTTTCACTTCCAAATGTCCTCGATGCAATAAAAAATTATTAATTTGATTAAATCTCAACCCCCGAGTATGTGCCTTTCGAACAGTTTGTGTAATGAAATGAGTGAGAGGATGCAGAGAGCCCTTCTACCACAAACCAGCGTGTGACAGTGGGCTGCAGGAAACATTCTTATGTAACTGAGTTATGAGCCAAACTTGTACCTTTCTGGGGGCAAACACCCCCTTTCTTGAAAGAATGCCTGACAAGATATAGTTTTTTAGACTTAAGTATTTGGCAGAAACTTTCCCAAAAATGAACAGCTTGTCACTTCAAAGAAAACAACTGATAGTATCTGTTGCCAATCAATTTTGGAAAACTTGTACCTGCCATAGTGAGACTGACAGCTTCCAAATACTTACCAGACTTCTTGATGAAATTGGTGGTGACATTAACCAATGAAATTTTTTTGACATGGTTTAATTAAATGTGTCAACGTCTGGAAGATCTGCACAACTCAGAGAACCAATATTTTCCAAATAGCCAAGGGAAAATAATTCTTGAATATAAGAGTCAATCAAAGTGCAAGATCAAGCAATGAATTTTAGTGGAAAAGAGTACAAAAATATCATCAATATGGTTTCAGATTCCACATTACAAGTAGTCTTTAAGAAACCACTAGCTGCTGAATTTTGGTGTAGTATCAAGGAAGAATTTCATAATTATCTGCAAAGGCCATTAAAACACTCCTCCATTCTCCAAGCACATACCTGTGAGAAATTTGAGTTTTCTTCATATACTTCAACCAAAGCAAGATACCCCAAGATGCCTCTGAATGAATGCAGAGGCAGATGTAAGAGTCCAGCTGTCTACTGTTAAGCCAGATATTAAAGAGATTTGCAAAAATGTAAAACAGTCCTATTCCTCACACTAAAATATTATTTTCTTTTTGAAAATCGTTATCTTTCCTAAACATTACTTAGGTTGACATATAATGGATTTGCTATTATTTTAAATGACTAAGTTTATTATTAAGTAATAAACTTCTCAGTTCTAATTTCTTTTCTTTTTTTTTTTTTTTTTTTAAGATGGAGTCTCGCTCCATCTTAAAAAACTCAAAGGCTGGAGTGCAGTGGCACGATCTCAGTTCAGTGCAACCTCTGCCTCCCGGGTTCAAGTGATTCTCCTGCCTCAGCCTCCCAAATAGCTGGAATTAAGGCACATGCTGCCATGCCTGGCTTATTTATTTATTATTTTATTTTATTTTGAGATGGAGTTTCACTCTTGTTGCCCAGGCTGGAGTGCAATGGTGCCAGCTCGGCTCACTGCAACCTCAGCCTCCCAGGTTCAAGCGATTCTCCTGCCTCAGCCTCCCAAGTAGCTGGCATTACAGGCACGCACCACCATGCTGGCTAATTTTGTATTTTTAGTAGAGACGGGGTTTCTCCATGTTGGTCAGGCTGGTCTCGAACTCCTGACCTCAGGTGATCCGCCCACCTCGGCCTCCCAAAGTGCTGAGATTACAGGTGTGAGCCACTGTGCCTGGCTGGCCTGGCTAATTTTTGTATTTTCAGTAGAGATGGGGTTTCGCCATGTTGACCAGGCTGGTTTTGAACTCCCGACCTCAGGTGATCTGCCCACGTTGGCCTCCCAAAGTGCTGGGATTACAGGCATGAGCCACCATGCCCAGCCCTCAGTTCTAGCTTCTAATATAGAAAATATTTATAGGCACAACTCAGAAGAGCAAAGGCGTTTTGGGGTCAACTGTTTCTAAGCACATAAAGGGACCTAACACCCAGAAAGTTCTGTGAACCACTAATATAGTGCATTAAAAAGATGTGAAGTCAGTTGACAGGGGCTTCCTGTCCAAGAACAAAGTGCGAAATCAAATATAGGTTGCTTCTCAGTTCTCACGTCTTTCATGCAGTCCTGGACATAAAAGTTCAACTACATAACGATAAGAATGTGGAAACTATTTCTAATGATAGAAAGGAAATCACTTTTTGGCAGGTCCTTTTAGAAGCTTGTCCTAAAATCTGTTTAATAAGGGATTTTCATTTTTGTGAAAACACTATGGAAGTCTTAAAATAGATGAGCCTCTAACATTTGCAATATGGTACTAGCAGAAGATAAGCAAGTCAATAAAAGCAATGATACGCTTCCATGACTGGGAATAAACAAATCCAACAACCAGATACTTGTTAGTCTCTTCCTTTGCCTTTTGTGGGAACTGGCTTTGGTTTTCCCAAAGGCTTTTAGCCTGGTAAAGTGGGACAGCAAGGAATCATGGAGATCAATGGAGAGTAGGGGAAGCCAGCTCTAAGTCCAGATGACACAGATTTTAAGAGCACAGCAATCTGGAGGCTACTCCAGACATTTGAGAAGTATTTAATATCTGCAATTTTGAGCTTTAGCAGCAATCAGTTTCCTTGACCATCTGGGCGACAGTGTCTCTACTTTCCTGGATTCCATTCCATTCAATGAGTGTCTGTCCAATACCTGCCATGTGCAAGCCACTGTGGTGGGGTCTGCAAGTGTGCCCTCCTGGCTTTGATCCTTGTGGGTGGGGTGAGGGGGGCGGTAAGACACACAGACACATAAGGTATCACTAAAGTAGAATAAAGAGAGTGCTGACACAGGGATATGGGGGAGTGAGGTAGGGACAGATCTCTTTGGTTGGTGTGGGTTGCTAAGGCAAAGGTTTATGGATGGCAGGAGGTGAAGAGGCCTTGAAGAACAGAAGGATTCCATGAAAAGCACAAAGGAAGGACAGCAGGACCCATGTGATGTGGGAGACGTGGGGAGCGTTCAGGGTGTAGCCGAGTTCATCAAGGACACCAGGGTAATGGTGGGGAGAAGTCAGGAAGGTAGGTCCCCCCATTGCCTGGTCCATGGAAGATGTCCAAGCCAGCCTCAAGCCTCTGTGCTTCACTTTGCAGCAAGGGGAAGAGAGGGAAGGTTTGTGAGCAGGCGAGGCGTGACTCAGGATGTGCTTTTAAGAGATGAATCTGGCACTGGTGTGTGGGCTGGACTGGAGTGGGTGCAAGCTCAACTCTTCAGTGGTAGGCGGTGGCAGAATGGGTCTTCTGAGGTTTATTCATGGGGGCAGGACATCTTCAGTAAAAGCAGGAAGGATAAAAATTGGACAAAGCTGTGGAGCTATTAAGCAATCAACATCATGCAACATTTTCTATTCGGGTGAGAAAGGGTGAGAGAATTTATGTGAACACATCTTCACAAGGGCCATTCTAGAAAATGCAAACTAATCCACAGAGAAGGAGAGCAGATCAGTGGTTGCTTGGGGAGAGTGGGAGCATAGGAAGGATGGAAAGAGTTGGGAGTGGCAGCCACATTGCCATGCTGCTCATGGTGCTGCTTTCATGAGCACACACGTATGTCAAGGCTTGTCAGACACTTTAAAGAGATGCACCATATGCATATCAATTACACCACAAGAAAGCGTTTTCAGAAGACCTGTTTGTGAAGTTCAATTTCTACAAGACACACTAGTAATTTAAAAAGGTTGTGAACCCCTTTGAGAAACTAAGGATTGGTGGTGAAAGCCAAGAGCCACATTAACCTGGGTGATGGGAACCCTCCAGGCAGCAAGGCACAGCAGAGGCATCCTCTGGACTGAGGGTAAGGACAGCAAGGGTCAGGGAGGCCTTAGGGCTTTTACTAGACAAGCAGAGGGCAGGAGGCTACAGTGAGGGGGAAGGAAAATAAAGGGCGCTGAGGAAGACATACCTGTTCCTCTAACCACAATAACACACTCATATGCCCTGCATACATCTCTGTATGCATAGGGTGTTTATAGCACGTGCTATATGCAAACACACGTGTATGGTATTATGTTGCATAAATAAATATATGTAGGTTTAAATGTATTGGTTTATGCACTGCGTGCCTTTTAAAAGAGTGAGTTTCTCTTCAGGAAACACCGATACATAGATTGTATATAATATTCCAGACTTATCAAGCTATCCATGCCTGCAATAAGCTTAACATCTGGGACAAAGCTACCCCATGGACTTCTACTGCTTCACTTAGAACCAATTTCCTGACTCAAAGCGTAGGACCTAGCCCAGGGGTTCTCAACTCTTGGTACTATTGGCATGGGCCATCCTTTGTTGGGGAGGGGCCGTCCTGTGCACTGTAGGATGTTTAGCAGCATCCCTGACCTCTACACCACTAGATGCCTAAAAGGCATCTCCTGAAAGGCAGAAACTCCCCCGGATTGGGAAACACTGGTCTACCACAGTGGTTCTCAACCTTGGCTGCACAGAGGATCACCTGGTGGGGGAGCTTTCAAGAACGCTGATGCCTGGGTCCCACCCTCAAGATTCTGAATGACTTGGTCTGGATGTGGCTTCGGAATTTTAAAAGACCTCCCCTTCCTTCCAGGGTTCTACTGTGAAGCTCAGGCTGAGAACTTCTTATTCAAGAAAATCATCCCACAAAGTTAACCCTATTTACATGCAGATGATTCTAGAAACCTCGATTAGCCAACCTAATTTTTTTTTTTTTTTTTTTTTTTTTTTTTTTTTTTTTTTTGACACAGAGCCTTGCTCTGTTGTCCAGGCTGGAGTGCAGTGGCACAATCTCTGCTCACTGCAACCTCTGCCTCCTGGGTTCAAGTGATTCTCCTGTCTCAGCCTCCCAAGTAGCTGGGACTACAGGCACCCACCAATACTCCCGGCTGATTTTTGTATTATTATTATTATTATTTTTTTTTTAGTAGAGATGGGGTTTCACCATGTTGGCCAGACTGGTCTCAAACTCCTGACAACGAGTAGCCAATCTGAACTTACTTAACAAACACCTGCTGAGCTCCTATGCAACTCTCAGAGTGCAAGGTCTTGACCAGCCTGGCCCAGGAAATGAGCCATGTACACAATGGACACTAAAATTAGACAATTTCATATAGAGTCACACATCATGAGTGCTAAAAATAAAGTGATCATCATTCAACACTATGAACGACTGCTTTCTTGGTCCTAGGTCCCGAGCCAGGCCAAAGCAGGGAGCAAGGCATGAAGACCTCTGCTCACAGAGAGCTTAGAGTCTAGTACCTCAGGAAGGCCGTCAAACACCTGCCAGGTACTCATTTAACCCAGTGATACATTCTCTGAGAGGTGAGGCTTTGAGAAAGTGAAGAGGTTATGATCATTAAGGAGATGGAGGATGCATTTGCACTGTGAAATGTTTATACAGACTGTGGCAGGCAGCTAAGACACCACCCCCAATGATCCCCACAAACCTACATTCATGGCCTTGTGTAATTCCTTCCCCTGAATGTGGGCTGGACCTAGTAGCTTACTTCTTAGGACTAGAATATGGCAAAAGTGATGAGATGTCACTTCCCTGATTAGGTTTCAAAAAATTGACTTCTGTCCTGTTAGCATTGTCTCTCTGGCTGGCACATTCTCTTACCTGCTCACTTGCTCTCTCTATCTGATGAAGTCATCTGCTATGCCATGAAGTAGCTATGGAGAGCCCACACATGGAAAAAAATCAAGGGAGGTTTTAGGCCAGCAGCTTGTGAGGAACTGAGGCCCTCAGTCCCAAAGTAACCAAGTCCTGCCAGTAGCCACATGAATGAGCTTGGAAGTGGATCCTTCCCCAGTTAGGCCTTCAGATGAGACTGAAATCTCATTAGAGTTTCTGAGACAGCTAAGCTGAGTCCAGACTCCTGACCTAAGGAAGCCGAGATAATATACATTTTTGTTTCTAGCCACTATGTTTTGGAGGAATTTGTTATGCAACAATTGATAACTAACACACAGCCTGAGCTCTGATGTTTGCCTACAGCTTTACAATCTAATGTTTTTGCATTGGCTCTTATACACAAAGATATAGTGGCAATAGCGAAACATTACTTCAAGAGGAATTTACTTCAAATTCAATAGTACTGTCTGCTAAGGATGTGGAGGTTTGACTTTGAGCATCTTAACTGTAAATACATATACAGGTTGAACATATACATACACAGGCTGAACTGAAACGATACTTTACCAAAGATGTTATAATGAGGGGTTATGGCCTTCTATGTATATAGCAGTGGTGGTCAAACTTTACTGTGCATTAGAATTGCCTGGGGGAGCTTCTTAAAATGGGCCAAATTTCTGGGACCCATCGCAGAGAGGGTAGGTGGGGACTGGGAATCTGATTTTTCTTTTTAAGAGATCGGGTCTTGCTATGTTGCCCAGGCTGAACTTGAACTTCTGGGCTCAAGTGATCCTCCTGCCTTAGCCTCCCAAGTAGCTGGGACTACAGATGTGTGCCACCATGCCCATATGAAATCTGAATTTTTAACCAGCATTCTTAGCGATTCCGATTCAGGGCATTGGAACCTCATACTTAAAAAAAAAAAAAAAGAAAGAAATGATCCCCAGCACTACATTTAGTAAACCACAAATATCTTTTCTATACACAGGAAATAAAACTTGCTAAAGTGCACTGAATAGAACACTAGATGAAAGTAGCTCACAGTATCCACTTAACGGGACTTGGTTTATTATGGGAAAACTCAGAGAAGGACCTGAAAGAGGCCAGAGGGGCTGAGCTTCTAGAAAGTACCAAGAAATTCTCTGAAGAAGGGCTGAGCCTTAGTTGACAGCCTGTGAGCAGGGAGTCCCTATTCCCCACAGAGAACAAGGATTCTGGGGCCTGGAGGGCAGAGGATGAGGGATGTTTGATGGAGAAGATTTTAGGAAACTGAGTGCCGAGCAAAGTTTTTAGGTGTTGCCTAACATCAGTAGATAGAGTATTGCATTTTGACACACTTTGCAAATTCTAATTCAAGGATTGGCAATTGTTTTCTGTAAAGGACCAGATGGCAAATATTTTTGGCTTTGCAGGGTGTATAGTTGCAGCTTCTCAACTCTGCTAGTGGAGTACGAAAGCAGCCACAGACAATCAAATGGGCCTGGCTGGTTCCGATAACATTTTCTTTACAAAAACAGTGGGTGGCATCACCAGCCTCGTCTGTCAAATCCTCACAGGAATCTCGATTTATTGCCACTGGGAAACAGCACATGAATATAAACAAGGTTTTCTCAAGACACAGGAAGTCTTGTTTCGATCCCATTACCTCTCCTACCAGCCTGACATTTCACCCCTAGAGCTGGTCCTTGGGGGTGAAAGCATTGTTCATGGAAGTCTCCAGAAAATACAAGCATGATGATCTTCAGAGGAAGATTTGTCCCACCTAAATGACTCTGACACCCAGAGCATTCCGTTTAGTACAAAAGCCAATTCATATAAGCTTTTCATAGACGTGGACGCACTCAGGGGGTGAGGGTATATGTGGCTTATTTGGGAGTGAACTTCGGCACCCAAAAGGACACAGCCTGAGGAGGTGGGAAGACCTAAGTGGCTGATTTCAGCTACTCCCCAGCTACTTCAGAGTAATTCCAGTTACCTCTAAGGGTGGCAAAAGATTTCAAAGCAAAATTAATTTTAATGGACTCTAGTTAGATTTATATGAAAACATATAACATAAGGGACATTTCAAAGGCAGCAAAGACCAGATGACACTACTTCTCAAAGACCGAGAAGTACTCAGTCTTGAATAATCCAAGTCAGTGTCCCTACAATCAGACATGTCTGACAGAAAGCCCGAGATCAACACTCAATACTCATCGATCTGCTTTTTATCTCTGCTTTCTCTGTCTGCCTACTCTAAGGTGAGAAGCAAAGGTAAGACCAAAAGACAAAGGGAGCTGATATGTCACACACACAGTAAGCCATTGTTACATAATTAGGTGCTAATCACAGACTAACAATATAGCGCATAAACAATGGAACGTTCAAAAACAATCAAGAAATTACTTATATCGATAAGTATTTGTTTACAGCTATATATAAATTATTTTATATATATATATATAAAGACTGCCATAGCAGTCAGTAAATAAACTATAAAATCGTTAACTGCTGTATATGGCACTTTTTTGGTGAAAACTGCAGGTGCTTTGAAAATGAAAGAATTGATACATTTCAGAAAACAAAAGGCAAAGTACTCTAAAAATCTCAGGGACTTTACGGCATGAGCCTGAGCTACAACGTGCTTCCACTGTGTTCACCATTTACCTCTATGTAATCAGAAATATCTTGAGTAACTGGAAGGCATCAGACAGACTGAGAGCATCCACTGGCTTAGGCTGGATAAGCTACAAAAGCTTCTGCAACCAGCCTCTGGGGACAGAATGATACCACCAGCAGAACCCACACGGCACGACCAGACTGTCAGTTATGGTCGACACCCAACTATGGCCAGAGGTGGAATGGTACACGCAGAAGGATTAAGGGTTTTTCTTCCCCCTTAAAATACATTTCAAGTGGTTTGGGAGAAGACCTCGAACTTAGTGGCCTTACAACCTTAGGTTAGGAAAGAGTGACACTAAAGAACAATGACAAAAATCCAGTAGCATTTCCCAGGACTTATAGCTACAGGTGTCCCTCTACAAAGCAGATCAGTGAGAGAGAAGTCCCAGGCTCAGCCTAGAAGGGGGCCAAGGGATAAAGTCTGCAGTTCCCAGGAGCCAGCCTGTGGTTACATCTGGGCAGACAAGGTGCAACATGAGTTAACAGCAGTGCTGGGCCCTCCGTCAGTCTGCTACCCGCCCCCACCCCACAACCCCGTGGCGACTCAGGAATCCATTCTCTGTGGTGCAAATCACAACACTTGGGCTTCTTGCTAAATACCAACACTCCAGAGGGCCCTCCTCTCCCGACATCCTCTGTGACAGTCCCTATGTAGAGGGTGTGCTCTTTGTCCCGACTTCTGGAATTATCTGTGGCCATTTTAACTGAAACATCAGAGCATTTTGGATTTGAGAGGCGGAAATTGGTGATATGTGAAGTGGGTGGTTATTCTACTCCTTCCTTGTGAGACTGAATTCTGAATTACAGATTTAACTGTATATAAAGAACCATTCTTAGTCCACTAAAAATGGCAGCCTATATTTAGTCACGGCATCTTGCATGTCATTGGATTATATTAAAGAGGGAGATGAGAGACATTTGAGAATTTCTCCCAAGCTTCCATCAACTACTTTCTCCTCTGGCCCTCACTTTGCCACAAAGAAACAAACCTTTCTCACCTTCACTGCCCCTTCCCCAAACCCCCTCATGAGACAAGCAGGTAAGAGAAGCAAGGTCACTGTTTTTCAAACCAGCCAGGACTCAACAGATTAATGACTGCCTTGGCATTGCTTAGACATGCCTCTTCCTAAATAGAAACGGAAAGAAGAAAGGATGAATACCTTGAGCAATTCTTTATCTTTTCCAAAGATAAAGATTTCTAGATCTCTTGAGGGTAAATTCACATAATCAATTCCTTCCTGTCTTCTCCCTTCTTGCTCTTGGACCTTGCTCTTAATTACTGCTTCTCAAGCTTTAATGTGCATAGGAACTACCTGGAAGTCTTATGAAAATGCAGATTCTGATTCAGTGGGGCTGGGTGGGACCTGGGACTCTGCATTTCTAACGAGCTCCTGGAGGTGTTGATTCTGCTGGTCCACAGCCCGCACTTGGAATAGAGAATCTAGATTGTCTTAGGCTATCCTCTGGAGCCTGTGTAACACAATCTACAACAGTCTGGAAGTGCTCCCTCCAATGTTAAGCACAATATGCCACTGACTGGAGACTTAGCATGAACTACTCCCTGCTTCATCGCTTGCCTGCATCTCAGACCACCACCTCAGGCCAGGCCCCTAGGGCAGCATCATGGACGGCGGGGGGGGCGGGGGGCGGGGGTAGCCCATGTGGTCATACATCATTTCATCTCCTGAAGGCAGAAAAGATGTGGACACTACATGTCCAACGCAGCTAAAAATTGAAAAGGAAAAAGAGATAAGGAAAGAATAACTATCTAACCCCTAAAGATGGAATTCTACTGGGAAGTAGTAGCAAGAAAAAGAAAACCATGAAAAGGACCCTGGAACCGCCATGACCTTTCCAATGGGGAATAAGGAAGTTCCTGGAGAAGGGCAGTCTCTGCTACAGTAACTGCATGAGTGGGAGAGGCATTTTCCTTTGGCAAAAATTTCCTGGTCAGCCTGTATCAAAACCTCTTTTTCCCCCATGGAAAAAGGCTGACAACTCTGCAAAAAAATTAATAAAAAAAAAAAGAAAAAAAAAAGAGCCATACAGAATTCCCTATTTTTTGCCTCATACCATCTGGTTGGGGTTGGAGATCTAAGTATAGAATGGCAACGGCATTGATTTAGGACCCAACAAAATCTGTAAGTGTCTGGAAAGGCGATGGCATGGCTAGAGTGGGTCCCTTCACTCTGTGGCCTGCGCTGTAGGCTTTACACTATCACACATAAGGTCTCTGCAGACAGCTCCAGACATTAACAGTCCCCGTGGAGGCATCTTTTTTCCAATTATTTCCATCAATGCACACAAAAAGTTAAAACTATGTGTAGGTGGAGATTGTTTCAGGATCTGGGAAGATAATTCTTTAAATCAAATTCAGTGATTTTGTTTCTCCCCCTCAGGCAAGAACCTGTTAGTTCATGGAATTCTCGCTTGCAGTAGTATCACCAGCAACCTGATACTATTAGACTTCCACAATCTTTCATCATATCATTATGGAATTCCAAAAAACTTGAAAAGTAATTTTTTTTTCTCCCCTAACTCATCTGGCAGCAAAACCTGTTCTGATCTCCTCTTCCTTGGTGCCAAAATCTCACCTGAATGGACAAGGAGTTGTTTATAGTCTTGGGCTCTCCAGAAAGATTAATGAGTTAGATCTGCAGAGACACTCAGTGGTGGTATCATGCAGTACATGATGTATGCACTATGTTATCTTTTGGAAACCCAAATTCTTTGGAATTCTGAAAGAAATCAGTTTCAGAAAAACAGAAAATGGAGCCTCGTATTTTTCTTCTCAGCTGCCACTGCTGCTATGAATGCCCAGATTCTGGTGTTTCACCGTAGGATCAAAAGCACACAAATATTATTGCAATGCTTTTACAGGGAACTGCTCAACAAGTGGAGAAAACTCTTCAAGAGCAATTGATAGAGGTTTCTTTTATTCCCCCCCAATAAGATATTGTGTTTATTCTTTACCAGTTTAGTGAACTAAAATACAGAAAAGAATAAGTATTTTTCTGGGTTTCCAGCTGGCCTGATGTCATTCAACACTCTTAAAATGAAGACTCTTAAAGACTCTTAAGATGAAGAGGGACTCCTCCCTCAAGCAGTTGTTTCTGATAACTTGGGGGCTTCTTGTTATGTTAAAAAATACCCCTTTCCCCGCTCCCCACCCTTGAATTATGCACATCTCATGGTTTTTTTTGCTGCTTTTTTTTTCAAAAGCAGCTTTACTGAGATATAATTTATATTCTATAAAATTCACCTGTTTCAAGTATACAATTCAATGACTTTGAGTAAATGTACAGCGTTGTGTGACCATCGCCACAATCTAATTTTAGAACATTTTCATCACAGCAAAAATGATCCCTTGTACCCATCTGTAGTTGCTCCCCAATCCTCCCTTCTCTCAGCCTCTGGCAACCATTAACCTACTTCTTATCTCACCAATTCTGTAAATTTAACATAAACAGAGTGGTAGAACATTTGGTCTCTTGTGTCTGGCTTCTTTCACTTAGCATGATGTTTTTGAGGTTCATCCATGTTGTAGCATGCACAAATATTTCATTCCTTTTTATTGCTGAATAGTAGCTATTGTATGGATATATCACGTCTAATGACTTTTTTTAAATCAAGATTCCAGAACCCTCCATATTCTTTATAGGATCCATGAGAATGGATGGCTGATGTCACCTCATGCTCACCCTATTTAGCCAGCGCTGCACAGGCACACACAGAACCAACACCTGATAGCCATAGGACAGATGAAGGAATGCATAACCCAAGACAGAACTAAATCCAACGTCAGATTTCATTTTAATTAACCTGACAACACAATTTAGATTTTAAAGGAAAAGGTTTTATTAATCATGGATTTTATGACTTTGTAATTCAATGGGTAACTTACATTGTACCTTGGGATTGCCCTTTCTGGAGCTGTACCATGCTACATTTACTCCTGAAAAAGTTAGCAAGCATTTGGGAGAAATGTTATGGATTGATGCAAAATCACAGAAATACTTTAAGCCTCTTACTGTGTTTATCCGACCTACCACCAGCCCTTTATGTCTGCATTTTATGTAGTTTGAACTATGGTTGTACACTGGCAAAATCACTGAGTTTTAGCTAACTGAGCTGGGCATTACAACTTGTGTTGGTTTTGGGAACGTGGGAGGTTGGATGTTCATACTGCTTCACCTTTTGCCCCTTCTAGGTCCCCAAATCAGCTGTCGCACACCTCACCCAGATCCAGCACCTAGCGGTTCTGAATGGCCAATGTTCCTCACGAGCAAGGAAAATGGAAACCGGACCCACTGAACCTACCTGATGGGAATCGGGTACATGGTTATCCAATCCTACTTTCACAGCTTTGATTTCTCTTTCTCAAAGGCAATGACTGAGGTGAGAGGGTGGTGCAGAGCAGCAGGGCTGGGAAGACATTTGGGGACACTCACAGTACTCTCAGGGCCAAGGCTCCTTGAAGGCCCTGGCCCAGTTCTTGGCCACATGGGGGATGTGGGTGGCCCCCCTCCCCCATTATTGGTTCAGGCATTGGAAATTTCATGGTTAACCAAAGGCATATCTCACTGTACATTGTTCCCTTTGAGAAGACGAAGTGATTGAAGGTGAAAGAGGGAAGAGGGAAGAAGGAGAAGAAAGTGGAGAAAGATGGGGTGGAATGGAGAGGGAGAGAGAAAAAGAAAGATGATTAAAAAATGTTTATAGGGCGAATTCCACCCATGCCCGTGTGAACAAATTAATGCACCAAGCAAAACATAAAATATCACCAAGCTGCAAGAGCCATTACAAATAATATTAAAGATAACAGTTGACTTGCTATTAGAATTCACCCCAAGGCTGTATTTACCTGGACTGCTCAAGGGGCTAGCCCTGTCCCCCAGGGTTGGCACGGGATGGTACTGGTGGTTCTTTGAGCCTGGGTACATCCAGTGGTACCTGCCAATTTCCATTTCAGCTCTGCTGTTCACTGCCAATTTCAGGTGGCAAAGAGTCAGTGTCTCTATCTCCAGCAAAGATTCTATATCAGCATTTTTATTTATTCTTTACCATAGAAAGGAAATGGGGAGTTTAAAAAATATGCTATTGAAATGCAACCCTTCAGTACCAGCATGATCCATTGAGAATGTCCTCCGTTTCTAAATTGAAGTTTATGTAAATCACCAAAATGATCTTTATTTTCTACATCTTTCCCCCAACACACACCATATCCTGCTTCTTAAAATGCTCATTTGGGGAAGATACTATTTATAGTGAAAATTTGGCTCCTCACAATAATATTTTTCTTTCTGTTTCCTTTTCAGACCAACAGAGCACTAACAGAGCACTATAATTATTGCCAGCTGCACTAGCAAAGGTGAACGCAGGCTCCCTCTCTGTAAGGGTACCCAGCTCTAGTCCAGAAAACCTGGCAAACAACCTAATGGTCTGCTGTTTCTTGGATGAAATGCTTGTCCTCCCATTGACGTCTGCAGTATTGTCTGTCACCTTATCTTAAACTCAGAACGTCAGAGTCTAGAATGTTCTGGATTAAATCCTGTTCCAATTTTCTCCCATGTGCTATACAGAAAGGGCTACTGGTCTTGGGCTCGAACCACTGCTTAATTACACACATGGTGACAGCTGGCACTCCCTGAGGACTCAGGTCTCTATCTGGTAATATGATACAATATTTCCCACTTCTTAGGGGATTGCAAAGAAAAATACCTACCAATTTGCCTGGCACAGAGTAGGCTTCTCATAAAAGTTAGTTGAATTACAATCTTGAAATCTCAAAGAGATCATAAGGTCGCTATGGCCAGTTTATCTCCGAGAATCCCATAAAACCTAATAAGGGGTTATATCCTCTGGGGCACCACAAATATTTAAGGATTAAAAAAAAATTGTGCCATTGATGTGGGTAATGATTCCATCAGAAGATCAGGTCATAATGCACCATCTGGCAGCTCAGGTCTCTGAGGAGAAGAACCTACTAAAGCCACAGTGTGAGGCAAGTAAAACCTCACAAAGCCTTTATAAAATCCCAACTCCACTCTCCACAATCTCTGAAAACTTGTAAGGTATTTCAAGTTTGGAAGCAGAAACCTGCTTTTCTAGAATGTTTTAGAAAAAATCTTTTTGACTTCAAGGTAAGGTATACATAACTCATTTAAAACCAGGGTAGGGAGGTACAGAAAAGATGCTGGGATAAGATCAGAACTGCACAATGAAACTATTTTTGTGGTCAATGATGATGACAGCAAAAATTTATGGAGTGCTTATGATGTACTATGCACTGCACTCAGCATGTGGTACTTATTACATTTGTCACAACCACCCTCTGAAATAGGTACTATTATTATTCCATTTTTACAAGGGAACAACCCAAGGGCAAGGAGAAGGTAATGATCACTTGCCCAAGATCTTTCAGCCAGGAGGTAGAGAAGCCTGAATGTGAACCTTAGCAATTTCACTCAAGAGGGCACACTTTGGAAACCACCATACATCCTACTGTGACCTCTGCATGTATTGCAATTTTCTACTCTTCTGCTGAGGCAACAGTTAACCCAATGAGAGTTTTTCTGAGGTGCATTTGCAGTTGAGTTGTGCTTCTGTGTCTCCTAAAGAAACGGTCCAGGTCCTAAGCTACTGATGTTATCTCAGGCTTCTTAAAATTTCTTAACTTTCAGTCTTCCTTAGATTGAGATTTTTGTGGGCTGGGTGCGGTGGCTCACACCTGTAATCCCAGCACTTTGGGAGGCCAAGGCGGGCGGATCACTTGAGGTCAGGAGTTCAAAACCAGCCTGGCCAACATGGTGAAACTCTGTCTGTACTAAAAATAAAAAAAATATATAAAAAATAAAAATTAAAAAATTGGCCAGGTGTGGTGGCTCATGCCTGTAATTCCAACACTCTGGGAGGCCGAGGCAGCCAGATCACCTGAGGTGAGGAGTTTGATACCAGCCTGGCCAACATGGTGAAACCCTGTCTCTACTAAAAATACAAAAATTAGCTGGGCATAGTGGCGCACACTTGTAGTCCCAGCTACCCAGGAGGCTGAGGCAGAAGAATTGCTTGAACCCAGGAGATGGAGGTTGCAGTGAGTTGAGATCGCGCCACTGCATTCCAGCCTGGGCAAAAAAAAAAAAAAAAAGAGTAAAACTCCATCTCAGGAAAAAAAAAAAAAAAATTAGCCGGGCATGGTGGCATACGCCTATAGTCCCAGCTACTCTGGAGGCTGAGGCAGGAGAATCACTTTAACCTGGGAGGTGGAGGTTGCAGTGAGCTGAGATCATGCCACTGCACTCCAGCCTGGGTGACAGGGTGAGACTCTGTCTCAAAAAAAGAAAGAAAAAAAACCCCCAAAAAACAGATTTAGATTTTTGCTTTACTGTTCAGGAGATTCTCTCTCAGAAATAGATGTTGCTACATTCTCCAAAGGCAAGAAAACCCAGTGGGGCTGACAGAAAAAAAACAGAAGGTCAAGGCACTTCATGGTATGATCTGATTTCCTCTTGGTAAAGGGGGCTATGAGCCCTCCACATAGACCCCTAAGCAAGAGGATTCTAAGTAGTTCTATCACTTTTGATCTGGAAATTTTTATCCTTTTAAAAAATTTGTCTCTACATACTCAGCACACAGGTGCCCAATAAACGCTGGCTGAATAAATATTTGGTTGAAAGGAAGGGAGCACCCTGGGACCCTGTGGACCAGAAATGGACCTCTAGATCCCCCACCATGCTGACTTTTACCCAAGCCAGGCCATGCAATTCAGGGTATCTCTGCAGAAGATTCATCCATGCTCTGTGCTCATCTCCTCATATGGATGGGGTAAGTCTCCAGATGTTCAGGCAAGCAAGCATAGGCTGCTAGGCAATGACAATGAAAAACCATGGACTGCTCAATGTTAACGTGTTTTCTGAGAAAAACATGGCAGCCATGCCTAAGACCCTTAATTCAGGATTTAAAAAAAAAAAAAAAAAAAAAGAATAGATCCAGAAGACACACCGATGGGATCGGCAACTGGATGGATGTGTTCCAAATCCCCTGGACTTACACTTCTGGAGGGGCCTTTTTACAACAGTAAATCTTTAGATATGAAAGAAAAGAAAAATCACTTCTATTTTATATTTTTGAGCCAAATTTAAATAAAGGCATTAAATATAAAGTTATTTATAAAATTTCAAAAAACACAGTATACATTTTAATCCCAAGGACAGGATCCCAACACCTAAAAGGCAGTCACAGGATTCCAAGAGGATGCCTTGGCTCAAAAGGTCTTTTAAAATGTCTTGATTCTGGGCACCTGGCAAGAAATGGGAAAATGGTTTATGCCCTGCAGAGGGAAAACTGCAAAATGTTCCCCCTAAGAGAGTGAAGATAGAGATGAGGTGACCAGTGGTGGCTTATGAAGAC
Organism: Homo sapiens; assembly: GCF_000001405.40. Classification (NCBI taxonomy): domain Eukaryota; kingdom Metazoa; phylum Chordata; class Mammalia; order Primates; family Hominidae; genus Homo; species Homo sapiens. The sequence goes on from NC_000023.11 coordinate 13,811,195, forward strand.
AGACACAGCTGTGAGTGGTCATTGCCAAAGGTGGGCATGAAACAAGGGGAAATTGCAAAAAGGAAAGCAAAACAATGCCTTGTTTATTTTTCCCCATTTACTTATTTAATGTAATTTAGCGAGAAGGCTGAACAAATGAACTTCAGACTGTCATGCTTCTTAGCACCTAGGAAATTATCACCGGAAGCAACTAAGTGACAAACACTGAGCTTCCAAGAAAGACCATATTCACTGAGCAAGGTCTTTCAAAGCTATATTTGTTATCTTTCATTTTTAGCTATTATTTAAAATATTAAGGAATGCCATAACAATGCTATAAATATAGTAAAGGTTGGTAAATTATAGCCATCTGTTTTTATTTATAAGGTTTTATTGGAACACAGTTGCACCCATTTGTTTACATACTATCTAGGGCTGCTTTCATGCTATAGTGGCAGATTTGAATAGTTACAACAGACACTGAGTGGTCTGCAGCACCTAAAATACTTACTATCTGACCTTTACGGAAAAAGTGTGTTGACCCTTGATTTTAAATACAGCATAATAAGGCTTGGCTACATAAAGCAGTTAATGCAATTGATAAAATCAGCTTATCAAATAGGAAATTATTACATTTTCTCTTATACACTCTTTGACGAGAAATATCACTCAGCTGGCTAAGGATCAAAATTCTCGTCTATGGCATTTTGTCTGCTATTTAATCTGCCACCAATCAGCAAAATTATTATTAAAACCAAGATTATACTACCCCTAATGGTCCCTACGATGACTTAGCACCCCTGTACTCCTGTAACGTGAGCTGAAGGGACAGAGGAAGAATGACATTTCAAAGGAGAACACTTTTCTTTTCTTTCTTTTTTTTTTTTTTTTTTTGAGACAGAGTCTCGCTCTGTCACCCAGGCTGGAGTGCAGCGGCACTATCTCGGCTCACTGCAACCTCCGCCTCTCGGGTTCACGCCATTCTCCTGCCTCAGCCTCCTGAGTAGCTGGGATTACAGGCACACACCACCACGCCCGGCTAATTTTGTTTTTGTATTTTTAGTAGAGACTGGGTTTCACCATGTTAGCCAGGATGGTCTCGATCTCTTGACCTCTTGATCCGCCCGCCTCGGCCTCCCAAAGTGGTGGGATTACAGGCGTGAGCCACCACACCCGGCAGAGAACACCATTAAACGAATAAATGAATGAACAACAAAGCACATTTGTGAAACTGGGATTGTAACCTTCCTCTCTTAAAAACAGTCGGTGTGGTCACTTTCTTCCTCCGTTCCATGGCCATCCCTACTCCTGGCCAACTATCTCCCATGTATGTACATTTGGTCCAAAGGAGAAAAAAGCGAGAGTGTCTTTGTAACAATCCAATCCAATCCATCACAGTCACAGAGAGGGGAAGTTTAAGTCATGGGGACACTGGTTATTTTGCATGTTCTCAGATACATCAAGACAAAGTCACTTTATTAAGATCATTTAGTCTAAATTGACCCTGTACTTCCAAATAACAGAGAAATGTGATCTTGAAAATCATAATAATCTTAATTCAGGGTTTACACTCAATTTCAGGGAAGGCAAATCTAAATTTCCAGAAATGGCCCAGAATTCTTTTTCTAACGAAATAGCAAGGCCAAGTCTTTAAAAAAATCCTAATGGAATTAATAATGTAAAAGTAGAAGATGTACCAAATGGCTCGTTGAGATCTTTTCCACATTTAAATGTTCTAAAAAAAAAAAAAAAAAATCAAAGGAAGCTGTATCATACCTACCACATATGTTCCGCACCATCTGGCCAGCCACTTTTCTCTACAGCCTATTCCCCAGACACCAACTCTTCAGATGTCCACCTTGGCAAATTCTTACAGATAATAACTGCATCTAAAACTTCCTCTGTACCATATTTATATAGCCAAGTTAGAAAATGTCAACACAAATTTCAAAATGCAATAATTCGCAGATCATCAGGAATAGTGTGACGTGTGTTATGTGTCCCTTTGGGTTTTTAATCACACAAGTCGTATATTCTAGAGGAGTGCTTTTCTTCCTAAACGAAAAATGAGAGCCAAAAGTGCATACATTTTGCTAAATTAAAAAAAAAAATAAGAAATTATATCTATTTGATCAAAAAGATTAAAATAGATGTATTAATTTTTTAAGGAAGTCAATAATTTAAATTCATTTCTTACTTTGACTATATCCTGTAATTTATTTTAAATTACACATTGTTTCCCATTCACTATATTTTTCTTCCTGTGTGGTTAGGAATTTAATTTGATGCCTGTAATTTATTTCAGCAACGATTCATAGGAAGTTAACTAACCTGACTATAATTGTTTCAGTAGAATTCAATTACCTACATATAATGAAAATAATTTTCATAACAGATAGATTTTTCCCCCATAATAGAGCATACAAAGTTGTTATGATTCAATTGTTTTTCTACTCAGTGATTATCCACTCTCAGCAATTTCAGATGCATTTATTTTCACAAATGAAATGACAACAAGTAATACTCCACTGAAATCAATGGAAACCGACTCTCCATCTTTTTATTATTGGGTTCCATGATCTATTTCTTTTGATTCTGTCTTATTCATTTCCTCTGCTTATTCCATGTCAGTGAATCTGCTTACTCAATCTTCACACTTTAATGCTTTTAATTTAAAAACTATCATTTGTAATAATTTGGCATTTCTTACATCCATCTAAGAAAATCTGCTTGTTTTCCTTAAAAATCCCTAAATATCTACTAAATACTCTTGTGAATTTTGGTATCTGGTAGCATGCTGTGATGAAAACTATCAGACTGAAAAAACACAAATGCTTTCCTTTTTTAAGGACATGGATTAATTTTGTCTAAAGTAGAAACAAAGTCATTGTGATTAAGTTTAAAGAAAGAGCTCTCTTTGTAGGAGTTAGTGAATCACAATAGCTGGGTTGTGTTGTCCCGCTGAAACTCCCAGGAAAGATCCCAACTAGAAAAGCAAGGTCAATTTATAAAGCTAAGTTTAATTTACATTCTTAGTTCTTAATAGACACTGCAATAATTATCCAAAGATATTAATTCACATGCTATTGGGTATTAGCCATTGGGCAATAATGCCCCAAATTAAGAGACAGGCATCACTCCATCACCAACCACTGAAAACAGATGGGAAAGGAGAAACACAGGAAAAAAAATATATATGTGCATAAAAAACTCTGCGTAAAGTGACAAAATTTACAGGATTAAATTTAATGAATAAAATCCTTTGCTGAAAGGCTTAAAAGAAAAACATAAAAAACGGATCCACCAGCTCAAGAATTATATAACACATTCTATAAATAATTATGTCAAGTTTTCAAATGTTAATTTCAATGGAAAAATAATTTTTTAATAAACTTAAAGTTAAATCTGAAGGAATACTGATGTGACAATCACGCAGAAACATTTGTGGCTATCATTTTATCCTATGTGTACCTTAATGATGATGGGTGAGCAAATTGGGAAACTACAAAGTGTCTTGTGTGGGCTTTGATTTTGTGTAGCCAGCATATGAACTTGTTCATCTAAATGCAGATTAGATAAGCCACCCTCCAGATCAACAATTATGGTGGGTCACACAACAATCACAACCCCTCTTGCTGTAGATCAGGAAAAACAAATCCCCTGGCTTGTATTCTTATTCAAGCATGTACCATACATGTCACACTAGCTTCTGGTAGTGTGATATTTTTGAATTATTTAACAAGCAGCTAGTGTTTATACATTTAGGTAATTTTTAAAGTTCCTTCACAAATTATCTTTTGCTTCTAATTTTGTCTCTAAAATCACAACTAATGACTTTTCATATACGGGTTGTCAGGGATGTACTAGCAACCTGTAGATCTGTTATTAAATAAGATTTAATTGACATAAAATAATAGCAGTCCATAAGACTAAGTGATAAGATACACAGTTGTGTAGTAATGATTTTATATTGGTTATATGACCTTTGCTTCCTTTCAGAGAGAAATTTAAAAAAGGGATTTTTTTGCAAAGACCAAAACGGTTTTATCTGCCATGGTTGAATACCACATTAATAAAAATTAAAAGTATGTACTAAGTAAAATCATCATTTTAGGATAAAATCGTGATAGGCTTCCTTGGGACAATGCTATTACATTATCATACCCCGACAACATGCAATCAACTTAGTCTCTAGTCATCATGGAAAAAACTTTGATCTCACTTCTTCATCTTGATAAATATTCCCAAGAGCTTCTCTTATAGCTATTTGGTCATTGATGAAGATTTTTTTTTTTTAAAGACACACAAGAAAATACAGGCTGGGTTTTTGGTGGGGAGGTGTAGATTTGGTAAGAGGATTGAACTAAACAAACGATTTTAAAATTAAGGTGCTATGTACTTAATGCCACTGAATCGTATACTTAAAATGGTAAATTTTATGTTATGTGTATTGTGTGATACCTAAAAAAATTAATTTAAAAAGTAAAATTGCTCTGTTTAGGATAAAATATTATTGTGTACCAAAGAAATTTTATATAAAAACAAGCAGTCTTTACCCCAGCATACTGTGAAGCTGAAGTACATGTAATTGCCGTTTTTGTAGGTTTAAAATGGTTGACTATCAGCAATTTCATATGGTTCAGCCTGTATCTTTATAAATAAAACGAAGTTTTGTCCCCGTACTGGCGAATTACTCTTTAGTGACTATCAGTGGACGCAAGGGCTGTGAGAAATAACCTTAGCATGATGGCTTTTTATATTAGAGCCACTGCGGTTACAGAATATGTTTTTGGGCATTTATGACAGTCTATGACTTTGAGTGAGGGAAAATTACAATGCAGTGAGATCCATTAACCTAACAGTGGCTGAGCCGATTCTATGGGACATCAAACTTGAAATCAGTCATTATTTAGAAAAAAGAGATTAATTTTAGTTCCTTTCTGCCATTTTCTTACTGCAAAAACACTTTATTCTCCAAAAAACCATTCTGTATATGAAAATTGTGGTACGTTCTAAGATTCTCTTTAAGAAATAGGACCTTTATCAATTTTCTTCCCCCCAGTCTCCAAGTCATAATTAGCAGAAGATCCCCCGCCCTGCCTTTCCATCAGCACTGGGTGACAGAGCTGATGTCCCCTCTCTGAAGCTCCAACTGTAAATGATTATTACATGTCGTAGTCAGGGCCTGATACAAGAAAGAGCAATCATATTAGAATAAGAAAATTAGAGAATGCCCAAATCACTACAGCATTAGCGGAACCAAAGCAGAATTAACATGCATGCCCCTCCAGTTCCTCCTCAGCATTAGCAGAAAACTACACATTCCACGTTCCTGGAATATAACATGCAGGACACAAGACCTAAGTTACGATTAATTATATTAATAAAAAAAGACAGTTTCCCCAATGCATCAGCCCAAGGTGACAAACTATAGACATCCCTCTATGAAATATCACGTCGGTAGAAAGATTTGGAACAGGAATGGATTGAAGAAAGGCTGCTCTATTAACTTAACATCAGCCCACAGGAAAAAAATCAACCCTGAAAGCAAGACCATGCCATAGGGATTGTCTCAGAGCCATTTTAAAAGAGAGACAAAACCCAGCTAACCCTTTTTAAGCACCCCCCAGTGAAAAGCTTTAAACAGGCTATTGTCAGAGCGCTGGGTACCTTTTCTCTCTTGGCTTTGTTCAGTATTTTCCTCGGCTGCAGTTTCCATGGCTGGCTTCATACCATCCACCAAAAATGCTTTTCCCCCTGTTCCCCCCAACACACACTTGTTTTTCCTCCTCTTCCTTTTCTTTTGGACTCCCCTCCGTCTCTTATTTACACCCGTCTGATTGAGAGGCTCTGTTCTTCACTACAGTAGATTACAGTCCCTTCCAAGATGCAAAAGTCTTGTCAGCGTCAATTTCGCTCTGCCTACTGGTCCATAAAGACAGCTGCCAAGGGGCAGGCAGCCATACGTCACCGAGGATCCCAGTTAGAAAACAGCCATTCGGCGCCCGGTGGTGCCTACAGTCTCAATGCGGCTCCAGTGGGAGTTGGGGGTAGGGGGGTGGGGGAGAAGGACCTGCTCCCCACCGGGCTCTTCCTCCTTGCTCTCTTTCTTAAGATCTCAATCTCGATCTCTCTCTCTCTCTCTCTTTCTCCCCACCTCATTTCTTCTAGCCAAGTACACCCAATGAATGCTAATTAATTCTCCCAGGAAAAAATAGATTTGTGACATCAGAGGAGGGGATGTGAAGGAGAAAGAAAAGAGCCCCCTCCCACCACGTGACTTTGTTGGTCGACAGCAATATATGTCGTCTCTAAGGAGAATGCATGTCTTTGCATAGGCATGACACTTTCTTTCCTGTGTGGTCCATTTATGATGTATCAGTTTATTTCATTTACCCCTCGACCCTGGCAAAACATATTCAAAGGACGTGCCCATAGTCTCTATTTACTTTCTTAAATATTTGTCTTTCATACAATTTCTAGATAAGTACATTGCTTTTTAAAAATATAAATTAAAGAGGGGGAGAAAATACATTAGAGGGAAGAAAACTCAAACACGGATTTAACGATAGCAATGTAGCAATTTGTTATTAGAACCCACTCCCTTGTCTATAGTTAATATATATGATAGTAAGAGAAACTCAAGCCTAATTTGTAAAAAGGCACCCTTCCTTATTTAAAAATAAGCATAACATGTTCACAAGTATATCGAGCTGACATTTTGGTAGTTTCTTGGAATGAAAATCAAAATAGTTTTTTAATCGGATATGGTTATTTCTACATGGAGTTTTACTCATTAGAATTCCTCACTCCAAATCGAAGGGGTGTTTTCAAGAGCTCTCTAAATATTCAACATAAAGGCTAGTATACCAATAATGATTTGCCTTCTTGCATACCCAGATACCATGAGGCCAACATTCTCAACCCATACCAACATATAAGCCTTTATCATGATTATGAGCCATGTTTCCAAGCATCACTAATTTCTGCACCATTTTTTATGCATTTGGCTGACCAACTGGCCTTCGCCGTCCCTATAAAAAATTAGAGAGACTCAAGTCAAATACAGGGATGACCACTGATAGGATTCCCAGATCATGAATAGTCTGCTAGTTGGTTGGGCTTAACACTTATCTTGGAAGCAAACATAAAGACAAGTTGGAGACCACCCTCTCCTAAAATCACTCTCCTAAGTTTTGATGGTTTCTTGCTCAACTCCTTGAAAAAAAAGTATAAGGTACTGAATCAAAATCTTCTAAAAACCTGATCTTTTAATACCTTGGTTTTAGATAATCCCTCAAACCTTCTTATATTTAGAACTTCTAGATGTGTTACAGTCGAGAAGATTTTGAAAACCAGTTTAGCTTGTTTCAACGTTTAATTTTACATCTTGCTTTTCCCTTTACCATTGTCTTAGAAGACCACGCCCACAATCAAATATGTATTCCCTCAAATTAAGGCCCCAGCCAATTTTATTGTCTCCTGGTCAGGGGATTGAGAAGTATGGCAGCCTAAAACCACAGACTTTAGAAAAAAGATTCGTTTGTGATATAATTATTTCCATGGGAAAACCCTATGGTGTGTCCGGATAGGACAGTCTTAGACATTTTTTGCAAAGACTACTTAGGTCCATTCAAATATAGAAAGGTGGCAAGTGTTGGTATGTAACAGGCTTGCTTTCCCAGCAGTTCAAATGAGAATTAAAACCAAAACAAAATTCAATTCAGCACAAAAGAGGACACTGTGATTAGCTGTTATTGGTTTTTAAAGTGTCCAGCAAAAACATCTGATTATAGAACCAGCAGATCCTAATAATTTTTTGGCTGTTGCTTAAGAATATTATTTTAATAGTGATGCTGGTGAAAAGGCAGAATATGAAAGACATTCTTAATTTAAGAACAACTCTAGTTCTATATCGAGATCAAAACCATTAGACAAAATATTCACACATCCTCCAGTTGATACCTGCATCTACTTTCCACCTGAAAAACTACATGGAAATGAGCAATTCATCACTTTTGCCTGATTCACAACTTCATCATTTTCTTTTCACTAGGATAATGTATTACAATTCTAGAAATTACCATTATATCACTTTATAACAGCCTCAAGATCTCACTGATGTTTATGATAAACCATTTGAAAAACAATTGTCAAGAGGAAGAGAGAAGAGTATTGCTTATTACATTTCTGAGATATGCATCCATTTTTGGCCAGAAAAGTTCTATATGTAGAAGTAGGATGGAAAATGTCTTCCAGAGCTGAAAATATTTCTTTGAGCCCCATGCTCTAAGGCAGTCTGGTTGAAGGTAAGAACACTTCTGAAAGCCAAAACAGGAATACAAAATACTGAACAAAACAGATTAGAATAAACATATGAAATTGCTGATATTGACCAAGAAGAACAGCAGTTTCACGTGGTTTGACTTATATGTTTGTAAGTCTTCTGTATAATTGCAGCCAGCTCAGTAAACATGCATGAAGTAACCTCCCTAGTGCCAACATCTACAAGCAGCACAGACATGCACAAGTGACGATGCCTGTCTCCAGGTAACCCACGGCTAATGGGACACAGAAAACTCTTCTAAAACAGGGTGCTCCTGCCTGCCACAAGCACTATGGCATCACAACAAAGAAAATGGATGGAGGGGGAAGAGAATTTGAAAAAAGCTTTGCAGAGTTGAGTTGGCTATTGCAGTAATGCTTAGAAACCTGCTGGGTAGGGTAGGGAAGGGAAAAGCAGGAAAGAGGAACGGAAAGAGTTCTAGGAAAAACTGAAGGGCATATGAGAGGAAAAAGAGGGTACTGTCAAAGGGTCAGGAAGTGATTTTTCTGACAGAGGGACTGAAGGGAGATGGCTGAGCCAGTAGGTTGGGAACCAGGTAGGTTGAACACCTTGCTAGCCCTAGAGGCAGTAGGTAGAGATAGAAGGCTCAAGAGCAGAGCTGATCGTGCTTTACAAAGGTCATTCTATTGGTAACGTGGAAGACAGGGTGGGTGGAGTATGAGACTAGAGGCTGGCAAACTAGTCAGGAGTCTCCTGCAACAGTACCAGTAAGAGATAGTGTGAACCTGAACTATGGCACGGGGAGGAAGTGAGGACCCAGATGTCATTGGATTGGATCTGTATGAGTAGGGGTGGAGGAGGATTTGAAGGGGAGGCTAGAGTTTCTAGCTTGGGTGAGTGAGGAGATGGTCATGCTGGGAACCAATATGGGGAACCAAAGAGAAGGAAGAAGTTTGGTAGGGGAGATTATCAAGCGTGGTTGAAGGTGCTCTTAGGACATCCTGCAGGGACTAAGAGGCATTCAGGAATATGGCTCCAGAAGAGAGGAGCTGGCCAGAGAGCAGCATCCGGGAGTCTTCAGTGTGGAGGCAGCCCTGGGAGTACAAGAAGCCCAGTTCTGCTCAAATGCCATCTTCTCAGGGGACTCTCCCTGACTCTTGTCTAAAATAGCAGCCCTGACATTCCTGGTCCCCTTAATCTGGATTTGAGTTTCATCATAGCTTTAACCACGACTCAACACTGTTATTCACTTATTTGTTCATCACTTCCCATCCTCCTAGAATACAGGCTCCTTAAAGGCAGAAATTGTTGTCTTATTCTCCACTGTATTCTAAGAGCTCTTGGAACACTTCTGGGCACATAGCGGGTTCTCAACAAAATCTATTTTAAATCAATGTTAAACAACCAGGGAGAGATACAGATTTCAAGTATGCCAAGATTAGAGCTTAGGGTACACTACCTTTTAAATGTAAAGGTAAAGGAAAAACTTTAAAAAGAGGGTAAAAGAAACAAAGAAGGACAAATTAGAAAACGAGGGAAATAAGACCAAAGTGGAATCATGAAATTCGAGAAAGGTTCTGTGAAGGGCATCAAGTTAACAGTGTAGAATAGTGTCAAATACCATAAAAGGAGGAAAAAGGATGAGGACTAGCAAGCAGAAAGGAGTTTTACCACCAAATAGCCTTTGGAACTTCTGTGAGAAGGCTGAATGATGGGGAAGGATATAACACTTCCCAGTCTCTTTCACGATCACCCTCAAAATAGGAGGCTCCCAAGGTCCAGTTGACATGTTAAACTCATACATAGGGCTTTGGCTGATGCCTGTACATCTTGGCCCTGTTTTTAACCTGGCAAGATCATATTGGATTTTTCTTCTGTGATCTATTACATTAATGATCTTCCCAGATTTGTTCTGTTTCCAAGTATAGTAAATATGCTTTGTGTGTCTGGGATTCAAATCATTGATAGAAATGTTGAACACAACAAGACCAAGGTGAGGGAATCCCATGTAGACCTCTATGGACATCGTCCTGGTCAGTTGGCTGGTTCATTCTTTCATTTCTTTGTTCATTCATTCGTTTATTCATCCAAGATTCATTAAGCACTTATTAAAGGCCAGAAATCAAATCACTTTTTTTTTCTTTTTCTTTTTTGAGACGGAGTTTTGCTCTTGTTGCCTAGGCTGGAGTGCAATGGCGTGATCTCGGCTCACTGCAACCTCCGCCTCCCGGGTTCAAGTGATTCTCCTGCCTCAGCCTCCCAAGTAGCTGGGATTACAGGCATGCACCACCACCCTGGCTAATTTTGTACTTTTAGTAGAGACGGCGTTTCTCCACGTTGGTCAGGCTGGTCTTGAGCTCCTGACCTCAGGTGATCTGCCTGCCTCAGCCTCCCAAAGTGCTGGGATTACAGGCATGAGCCATCGTGCCTGACCCGAATCACTATTCTATGCTAATATGACTATGACTGTTCAGCTGACCGAGAATTCATCAAGTTGCATAATGATATACTGACACATCCTTATCCTAGTCACATAGCTAGCAAAGACTTTGTCAAATGCCTCCTTCCAACTTTCTAGGATGATATTTTAGGTTTCTTCTGGCTTTTGAAGGACTCCTCAGGGGGCAGTCATTAATCAGAAGGAGGGATGTTTCCACATTCTTTCTAACTACTAATACCTCTGCAATTTTGGTGTTTCATGGAACATTTAAGCAACAAGAAACACCCTGGCATAATCCTTCCTTATTGCCCCTCAAAGGAAATCAATACCCAGAACAAGCTCTACACCTCCCTCAACAAATTTTATTTCTTTTTCTCTTCAAGCCCCATTACACAGCAATTTTTCTTTTTTCTAAATTATAAATAAATTGTGCTTAAAATAAGTTTGTGTTAAGTGACTCCTATTTTTTTTTTTTCTTTTTCTGAGACGGAGTCTCGCGCTGTTGCCCAGGCTGGAGTACAGTGGTGCAATCTCGGCTCACTGTAACCTCTGCCTCCCAGGTTCAAGCGATTCTCCTGCTTCAGCCTCCCCAGTCGCTGGGACTACAGGCGTGGGGCCACCACGCCCAGCTAATTTTTTTTTTTTTTTGTATTTTTAGTAGAGGTGGGGTTTCACCATATTGGCCAGACGTTCTCAAACTCCTGACCTCAGGTGATCTGCCCACCTTGGCTTCCCAAAGTGCTGGGATTACAGACATGAGTCACCACGCCTGGTCTTGTGACTCCTATTTTCACACTGCTCCCCATGACAAAATCAAAGATGTGTTCTGGTATCAAATACATCGGCCCTCTGTCTACTTGGAGAAAACAGAATGATAAATACAGCAAGAATTCTTAAATAGTAGACAGAAAAGATACTTTTTATATAAAGTAGCAACGATATTCAACATATTAATAATTCTGTGATGTTAAAAATGCTGCATACATTTAAAAACACAGAAACTGGACACATAGCATGGAGCCAGGAATTTAGAATGTGACTGTCTACATTTGGGTCCTTTCCATAATCAGAATTTCCCAAAGCTTTATCAATTTGGCAAAGACTTTGTCCTCCATTACCGGAATTAAATTTCTCATTTTTCATCCAATGTGGGTTTTTAAAAAAATATCTTTTGATCCCTTACTCTTTTTAGTTTTTTTCTTCTTGTATTTTCTGAGTACCTCTTGTATATTTGCTATACTTTCCTTTATAGGAAATGACACTGCATAAAGCTAAGACTTGAAAAGACAAATCAAACTGGTTGGTGTATAGGAAAATGCTTATAAATGGTAAAGCTACGTGAACTATAAGCCGTCATTGCTAGTGTTTCTCTTTAATGGTAGAGGTGGAGCCCAGGCAGGTCACTGTCATGAAACTGGCTAACATCGATGACAATGAGCACACATGGAACCTCTGTTAGCCAGTCTCTTCTCAACTTAATCACTTGTTTATTTAACGACTGTCAGTGTCCTCATTAGGAGCCTCAGGAGCCACCAAAACAGTGATTGCTGAGTTTGGCAAAAGCCAACTTGAGTTGTAATGACCCTTTCTCTCCTGACAAAAACATTCCACTGAACCTGGTTTTTTTTTTTTTTTTTTTGACAGAGTCCTGATCTGTTTCCCAGGCTGGAGTGCAGTGGCATGATCTCGGCTCCCTGCAACCTCTGCCTCTCGAGTTCAAGCGATTCTCCTGCCACAGCCTCCCAAATAGCTGGGACTATAGGCGTGTGCCACCATGCCCAGCTAACTTTTGTATTTTTAGTAGAGAAGGGTTTTTGCCATGTTGGCCAGGCTGGTCTCAAACTCCTGACCTCAAGTGATCCGCCTGCCTCAGCCTCCCAAAGTGCTGCGATTAGGCATGAGCCACCGCACCCAGCTTCCACTGAACCTCATTTTCAAAAGGAGAGCAAGAGAATAAGTTTGGCACCAGCAGGCTGAGGCTTCCTGTGATGGAAACTGGTGCTGCATGAAAAGTTTCAACATACTGGGCTGCCAAATGGGCACAGCACAGGCAGTACTGCGGCATGAGGGGGCATGTGCCTCCTCAGCACTGGTGTCTACTGCATCTGTCTGTCCCAAAGTCAAGGTCGGTATTGCTGCTCCTCTCCTCGCTCTTAAATCAGGATTGCTCCACCTTGGCACTAGTGATGTTTGGGGCTGGATCATTATTGTGAGGCTGTCCTGGGCATTGTGGATGTGTAACAGCATCCCTGGCCTCTACTCAGTAGATGCCCAGGAGCACCACCCCGGTTCTGATGACCTAAAATGTTTCTAAACACTGCCAAGTGTCTCCTGGAGGGTAATATCATCCCCAGTTGAGAACCATTGCCTTAGAGCTATCTTTTCTTCCGTAAGCTTTGTCTGGCTATTGTGATATTCTATCAGCAAATGGTTCTCAGGCCTAGCTGTGCACTGGAATCATAGGGGAAGTTTTTAAAATATTGATGCTGGGGCATCACCTCCAGAGATTCTGATTTGACAGATGGGGTTGTGTGGTGGGCATGAGAGCTTTCAAATCTCCCCAGGTAATTCCAATATGCAGCCAACTGCTGGAGGCAGGAGGGAAACAGACAAAGTGTGCTACGATGATGGTGACACAATCAGAGCTGTTTTAGGAAAATTGTCCAGAGGGCAGCTGGATGGACAGATAGGAGACTGAAGAGGGCAGAGTCAGGGCGACCATACTTGATTAGGGAAGAGGTGGGGACTGCATACTCACCTGAGGCAGAAATGAAAAGCTGGGTATTAAGGCAAGAGGGAGAGATTCAGGGTTGATCCTGAGACTTTCAGCTTGGATCCCTAAAAGGATAGTGAGTCCCATAGGGAACTGGAGAGATCGGGTGATGTATTGGTTTTCTGGGGCTGCCAGAACAAAGTACCACAAAGTGGGTGGCTTTAAACAACAGAAATTATTCTCTCACAGTTCTGGAGCTGAGAAGTCCAAAGTCAAGGTGTGGGCGGGGCCGTGTTTTCCATGTTTTCTCTGAATGCTCTAGGGGAAGATCCTTTTTTCAGCCTGCAATCCTGACGTTCCTTGGCTTGCAGATGCATCACTCCATCTCTGCCTCCGTCATCACATGGTGTCCTCTCTGTGTGTGTATGTCTGTGTCTCTTCTTATAAGGACACCAGTCACATTGGACTGGGGCCTACCCTCATTGAGTATGACCTCATCTTAACTCGATTATGCCTACAAAGACCCTACTTCCAAATAAGGCCACATTCATAGGTAGCAGGAGTTAGGACTTCAACATATTTTTTGAGGGGGGTGGGGGACACAATCCTACCCACACCAGATAAGGAGAGTGAGAAGGACTATCAAGTTTGGAAGCCATGTGGGTGGTGTCTGTGCAGCTGCTCAACCTAAGCAGAGTTTGGAAATGAAGACTTGAGCGTTACCACCAGCAGAGAGGAACCTATTATCATCACAGGAGTGGGTGGGATGCCAAGGCAGAAGGTACAGAGGAGAAAACCTTTCAGGTGCCTCCTAATTCAGGGGATCTCTAGTGGGAGAACCACCCTCGAAGGACGCACAAGATGTTGGCAAAGATCCAGGACAGGGCCCTGTCACAGAGGAGGAGGGAATTTTAAGAAGGAGGGGGTGTCCCCACAGTCAAGGCAACCAGAAGGCGAGGACTTGGCAAAGGCCACTGAAATGGAAAATTCCGATGTCCTTGCCAGCATCAGTGCAAAGCCTGGAATGGAAACCACTTTACAGGGGGGCTACAGAAGTTCGGTTGGGAGGTGAAGAAGAGGAAGCAGGGGCAGCCCACTTTCTAAAGAAATTTGGTGGTGAGGGGAAGGCCAGAGAAAGATGCAGGCAGCTTAAGGAGAAAAACACAGTCAGGAAGAGAGGCCCAAACATGTCTTATGCTGAAAAGGCAGTGACGGCCACTGAAAGACAGGTTTCAAAAGATGCCGGTGAAGATGGACAGATGATGAATGGAGATCACAGGAGAGGAAGAGGGCCAGCTGTGGGTGGCAGGATGTGATGCTTCTCCTTCTGAAATGGAAGTGAGGAAGAGGAAATAGAGGGAAAAGGAAAAGTCATCCAACTCCAAGATTTAAGGAATTTCATCTTAGAAGAGGTGGTAGGGATGGAGAGGTTAAAAGGGCAACCTGTCCAGCATTGAGAAGGGTACATTTGTGTCTTGATTTAGTTCACCTCATAGCCCTAAGAAGGAGAAAGCATCAGCTCTGTTTTATGGGTGACAAAACGGAAGGCACGATGATCTTGGGTCTTAGTGAGGTAGGTGGATTGCCCTGAGTCTAGACTGCCCGGGGACCTGAGTAGGGCTGAGTTTCCAGGGGCACAGAGACCCTAGGGAGGTAGAGTGAAGGAGACAAGGAATACCCTTACCTTACGTCTCAGCATCCTGAGGGGAATGGGCCCCAACATGACAGAGCCACACTGAAGAAACAAAGCCAAAATGGGAAATGAGGACCAAATGATCGGTTTTTAAACTAGCTTTAAGAAAGTTTCTGGCCGGGTACAGTGTGGCTCATGCCTGTAATCCCAGCACTTTGGGAGGTCAAGGCAGAGGATTGCTTGAGCCTAGGAGTTCAAGACCAGCCTGGGCAACATAGAAAGACCCTGCCTCTATTAAAATACATACATACATACACACATACATACATACATACATACAAGATAGCCAAGTGTAGCGGGGCACACCTATAGTTCCAGTTACTCAGAAGGCCGATGTGAGAAGATCGCATGAGCCCAGGAGTTGGAGGCTGCAGTGAGCTATGATCACACTACTGCACTCCAGCCTGGGTGACAGAGTGAGACCCTGTTTTTTGTTTTTTTGTTTTTTTTTTAAAGGAAAGCTTCTATTTCTTCCTGTGTACACAAGGCATACATCAGGAGACAGACAGCTGATCTACTGACAACATGCTTCCTAATTATTACATCCCATGGGGCACTTGGATTCTCTCATTAAGAGTGGCACAATGAGCATTCCCTGTGAGGGCCCCCAATTAACTCATCTACCCAGCATGTTCCAGCCAACATGAACAAGGGCCAGCCTTCCAGACTCCTCTTTGTTAGCTGTTTAACCGCCGTTATTGGAATCCCTGTCATGTTTCTGGAGCAGTTCCTTCTCGGTTCAGCAGAAACCACCGGGGCTGGGTTATTCTCTCACTCAAAGAGTCTGCAACTCAACCACAAAGCTGGTGGAACCCGGGGTGCTCTGCTGAGGATTTGCCTTATATCATCTGCCAAAATCCCAATCGCACTGTCTCCCCATCTCCCCAGCTCCAAGTCCCCTCCTGAAAGGCACGGGCTAAAGTCCATCTCCTTTAGAAAGCCTCCTTGGTGAACTACCGACTTCCTTTTTTTTTTTTTTTTTTTTTTTCTTTTAGAGTCCAGGTCTCACTTTATCACCCAGGCTGGGGTGCAGTGGTGCGATCATGGATCACTGCAGCCTCAAACTCCTGGGCTCAAGCCATCTGCCTGTCTCAGCCTCCCAAATAGCTGGCATTACAGGTGTGACCACGCCCAGCCCATTTCCCCCTTCTTAGCATTCTAACTCACCCCGCTGTCTCTCAGTTATAAATGCAAGCCTCCCTGGATGGCAGTTCCCTGCACTGAAAGGACACTCATCTGCCTTGACCTTCCTCCCACCCAGGTTGGAGACAAAGGCTTGTGCCAACTTGGATGAGGCCTAACCTTCAATACTGTGCCACCATGGAAAGCTTCCCAAGGTAGGCGGATCTCAACACCTTCAGCCTGCTTTGCTAAAGGAAGACAGACATTACCAAATTGAAGGTTAAATCACAGGACACTTGGGCTGTAAAAGTTCTCACAACAGAAGTTGGAAAATTATGGGATAAGTGCAGCAGAAGTAGCGATAAAGATGACGTGACTTCTTTAAGAACCCTTCTGAGAACTCAGGGTGGCTCAGGGAAGCCTTCACGCCTTGATGCTGTTTCAGCCACTCCCTGCCTTCAACATGCAGGAGTTGACGTCATCTTTCCCTGAAATAGAGTCAATGTGTGGATTAATGAGTTTCTACCTGTCGGGCTGCCAGGAAAGGTGCTTTCTCATGCAGGCACACAGATGCCCACATACCTCTTGGGGAACCAGACCCCTTCAAATCCACCCCTCCTACAGTGCTCATGTCACAATGAT
Organism: Homo sapiens; assembly: GCF_000001405.40. Lineage (NCBI taxonomy): Eukaryota > Metazoa > Chordata > Mammalia > Primates > Hominidae > Homo > Homo sapiens. The sequence continues at coordinate 13,828,071 of NC_000023.11, forward strand.
CTGAGCAACAGAAAGCATCCAACAAACCCAGGGGTTGGTTATATTTTTCTAATCTTTGTACATGCTCCTCTGCAACTATCACCAACTGTTATGGTTTGAACGTATCCCCAAATTTCATGTGTTGGAAACTTAATCCCCAATGTGGCAGTACTGAAAGGTGAGTCCTTTAAGAGGTGATTGGGTCATGATAATTAATCATTCATGATTAATAAATTAATGTGTTAATGGATGAATGGATTATCATGGGAGGGTACTGGTGGTTTCATAAGAAGAGGAAGAGAGACCTGAGTTAGCACACTCAGCCCCCTTGCCATGTGATGCTCTGTACCACCTTGGGACTGTCCCCATCAGCAAGAAGGCCCTCACCAGATGCAGCCCCCTGGACCTTGCACTTCTCAGCCTCCGTAACTGTAAGAAATAATTTTTTTTTCTTTGTAAGTTTCCCAATTTCAGGTATCTTGTTATAAGCAACAGGAAAATGACTAATACGCAAAGTCATCACACAAACAAACTGTGAGTGCCAGCTATCAGGGATACTTGGCGAGTTCCTTTCAAGTGGTTTGTTTTTATTTGCTACAGGCCAAGGTGCTGGCTATATGAGGAACCCATGGACTGGGCTCAACGCTGTGTCCAGAGGACCCACTGCACCCACATGAGATGTGACAGTAGCTCAGGAGGAATGGACAGAAGCCAACACTCAAAGCTGAGGGTCTCCTCAGCACCAGCACTACTACAATAACTTTAACCCAAGTTCTTTCATTTTTGCCTTCATGACAGTATCCATCCCCCTTGCATGGATGAAGAAACGAAGACCAAAGGGAGCTGTACACGGACTTGGCCAAGGTGGTCAAGAAGCTGGTCAGAAGCTGAGCTGAACCTTGACTCAGGCCACTGGATGCCAGAGTAGGGAAACCAAGAGTCAGGCAGCAATGATGGCAGGAACAAAAGCTCAATAAGGCCCCAGGTGACTAGGTGATCAGCAGCATCAACTGTTGAACTCAGAGATTCCAGGTCACCACCAAAGAAAGCTTCACTCAGAATGGCTATTCCATCACTTGCAACTATCTCCCCAAAACCTAGTAATCTGGAGTTCCCCTTCAAACTCTGATAAAACATGGGGCCACACACTTCCGCAACTCAGGAAGGCTCTCATGTCTGCAACCTTGTCCAGCATCCCTGCCAGCCCCACTCCAATGCTTACCAGCCTTATGATACCATGTGACCTTCCTGAGTTTCAGCTTCATTGTCTACCAAAAGGACTCATAAGAGAACTTCCCCCATAAGGCTATTGTTAGGAGTGTAACACTGCATGCAGCACCTCAGCATGATACCTCCTACATGACACTTACAAAATGCTATTTCTATTTTCAAAGTCCTTTATGCTCCCACCACCATCATACAGGTCCCAGGGAGAGGTAGAGAGAGGAAAGACTAGCTGGTGATTTCACGTCCTTCTAGATCTTTCCCTGACCCTGAAAAGTTCATTTCTGTGCCCTTGCCTGGCCTGGATTTCTAGGGGCACTCCCCACTCCACCCGGTCCCACCCCAGACCTGTGCTCTGTCCTCAAATTGTAGCATGGTCCTCCCTGAGGAGGTCCAATTTGGATGTGAGACCTGAGATTGACTAAGTTGCAAATAAATAAAAGGAACTGAGATGAATAAGATAATGGGATTAAAAAAAGACATGCCTTCAAGGGTACTCTTTCAACAATGGACTAAATTGTTTTCTGGAATCTGTAGGATATTGCTAACACCTGGGTACTCAAGTCCAAATTAAATCTGTCCTGAATTTTTTTTTTTTTTTTTTTTTTAAAGCACAGTGGAATTTCTTTCTTCATGTCAGAGAATCAGGCAAGCAGGGTCAGCTTCAGGGGCATGTGATGTGCATAGAGCCTTGCCCTCAGAAGGGCCTGAAGCTTGGTTTAATACTCTGATGGCACTGTCTTGAAATTCTTAATCATTTTATCTTCGAACCTGTGTTTTCAAGTGAAGTCCAACGGGACCATGATGCACGCATGTGAGCAAAGGAGCTACGTGCTCCTTGCCACCTCATTTGCATACCACATTCATGATGTCCCATGAGCTCAGAATTCTTGTGAATCCCTGGTGCATGGGGAGTTCAATAAGGACTCAAAGTCCGTAAAAGGTAAGCATGTTCCATCTATGACTAAGTAAGCACTGGTGTGAACAGTCCTAAAGGTCACACTTTCTGTTCTAAGCTCAACTTGCTTCAAATGCAGAAAGAAGGTACTGGAGTTCTAAGAGACATGAATGACCAAGGAACCTGACCATATCCTTCCTTACTCCTGTTACTTCCCTGTATTGGCCAAGCACTTAAACTGAAAATAATCCAGAAGGAAAGGGAAAGATAGGGCAACCGAGTTCCTTTTCCTTTCAGTTCTTCCTTACTTACTAGCAAGCCACAGGGAGGGAGTGTTGAGGATGTGCTAATATCAATAAGTAAAATCAAAACAATTGAGTTAACTTTGTGCAGCATTTCCACTGTTCTAGTTCGTATAAAATACACGTATGTACTAGCTACAAAATACAAATTGTGTGTCAGTGATCCCACATACATGGCAAATGGTCTTAAACTTGCATCTAAAATTTGCACTGTACAATTGAAGGATGGTTGGTAAGATTCACACTAATAATTTAAAATGACATTAAGTTGCAAACAAAAATGTCTTGACAAATCGAGAGAGAAACTGGAAGAAAGGGAAACGTTTTTATTTTAGTATCGTGAATGGCCCTTTTTTCCTGCCTTTTGAACAACTGGCCTGCATTTTCATTTTGTACCTGGCTCTGCAAGTTCAGAAGCTGGCCCCTCACTGCAAGGCCTGATCCAGTAAATTGTCACTGCAAGGGAAAGGGGGCAGGGGTCGCTGTGGCCATGTGGTGGCATGCTAATGCAATTTCAGTGGGATTAAGGGTGTATGTGATGATTCTATAGGAGTCTGTTCTTTTGCTGCTGTGGCAGGTCACTGGTACCTTCCCCTTACTGGCTCAATGACATTTCATAAATAAGCTATGGATACTATAGTACAAGGCAGGCACAGGCTTACGGTCCAATATATGGTGAGTAAAGGGATGTAGAAGAGCTCAGTACACACACACACACACACACACACACACACACACACACACACACACACAAATGGCTTGGGGGACCCACATGGAAACTGGTTTATTTACAATCAGGCCCTGTCTAAACATTTAGGGTCTCAAAAATCTATTGAGATGGTTGGCTCTGATGGTTGGGATGGGAATTGGGAGGTCTCGGTTCTAAGGTTCTAATCTTGGCTCTGTCACTTGCCAGTCACGAGGCCATGGACAAGATGCTTATAGAGCTTGTCCTGGCTCTAAGATACGCTAGGTCTTAAGTGACCAGTTCAGCAGGATGGTTATAAGGAAAAAAGAACATCAGGTAGGAAGCCCTACAACCCAGCAGGCATGGCCCCAGCTCCATCACCACTCCTATTGACCTAAGCCATCCTCTGACTGTACAGGTCAAGTGACTGTGCACCTGCTCTTACTGACCTCTAAACATCATCCAACCCTGGGATGGATTCCACTGGGCTCCTGGCGTTCTTTGGGGCAAGATGTCAAAACTGTTTCTTTGAAAGTATATGGTGCAATTAAGTTTTTCTCAGCCTTGATCTTACTAACCTGTGCCCTTCAACCTCTCAAAGCAGTTACACTGAAATTATTATCTTCAGATTGCTAAGAGCAAAAAATGAAAAGATAAACCAATAAAACCATTACAAAGATATTTTATAATAAAATTCAGGCTCTGTTATCTGCTTGGAGATGTATTTTAGAAACAAAATGGATAAAATTTAGTGCTATCAAATATATAAAAATTGAAAAACCAAACTTAACATTCGAATGTATTTCCCCACCCTCAACAGAAATCTGATAGAGAGTTTTAAGATTGGTTAAGATCTTTTCATGAACTGGGAATTACAATTTGTTAAATATAATTAAAACAATATATTTATGTACTTTTTACAATTAAAAAAACAGGCTATTGATAGACTAGGAGGAATATATTTGCCAGCCCTCTAACTGGCAGGGTGGATTCAGGTGATCTGAGTGAGCATGTAGTTGTCACCTTCCTTTGACTCTACTGCAAGTGTGACTTTCATGAAGCTACCTACTCAAATGAAGGGAGATGAACATCCTAGACCCAGCAGCCTCACACCAGGTGATTCTGAGATACACCAAAGACTGAAAACCATTAATTTACAGAAGAACGTGACTATCCAACACGCAGTTAGACAAAATATTTGAAATTTACCAACATGTGGCTTGTTGAAGTATCCGAAATTTACTTTCTGATGTTAGCATTCTTGCTTTTGCTAGTTCAGGAAAGTACCCAGGACTTATAGATATGTAAGTCAATGGCCCTCAGACTAAAGTCTACAGAAAACCAGTGCCTTGTTGGGTCAGCTGCTTGGGTGGTCCACGGTTGGTATAAAACACAAACTGCACAAAAATTGGAGCTATTTCATTTGGTCTATTGCTGATGATAATTCACACTAAGACAAGGCCACACATTTTAAAATATATTCACATTATTCAAATGCAATCTTCTGTTCAATTGTCTCATCTGTTTACCTTCTAGGATGGAAATTAGAAGTAGGATGAAGTCATTTAGGTCCTTTAATCCACTAAATAGTCAGTGGCCTTTGAAAATTGAAAAGCATTGGGACAACTTGAAATAATGATCCCTGCCAGGTCAAACATAAAATATCCTATTGGGTAGAAAGGGCAACCAATGAAGAGTAAATCTCAGTGATCTCATGGAATCTACCAATAATATTTTAAGTCATTAAAAAGCACACAATGTTTTCATAGCACAGAATCTGCAGATTTAGATCATCTCAGAGGAAAGGTCAAAATCTGAGGAACAGTTGGGCTTGGTGGCTCAGGCCTGTAGTCTTAGCTACTCAAGAGCTGAGCCAAGAGGATCACTTGAGCCCAGGAGTTTGAGGTTATAGTGAGTTATGATCTTTGCTTCTTTGTGAGCTGTCTGACATTCAGCATTCCCTAAAAATCTGTGTATGACGCTGACATTCATACAGCAGATGACAAATATCCACTCGCATTAACCCATAATAACTTAAGGGCTGGGCAGTTTTAATTTATCCTGTAATTGTACATTCATAATTTCTACATCAATGACATACTGTATTGCCGAAACAAATGTATTTTCTATTTTTAGATAGGATTACTAGATCAAGTGAATGCTATTGTCTATGCTGACCTCACAAGCTATTTGATAAAACCTCTTTCCATATATTTGAGAATAAGATAGTGCAATGTTAGCAACATAATGGTACACTTTAAAAATTGTGTCAGCCAGGCACTGTGGCTCACTCCTGTAATCCCAGCACTTTGGGAGGCTGAGGTGGGAGGATCTCTTGAGCCCAGGAGTTCGAGCCCAGCCTGGGCAACAGAGCAAGACTCTATCTCTTAAAAAAAAAAAAAAAAAAACTAGAAAAAAAATTAGCTAGGCTTGGTGGCATGCACCTGTAGTCCTATTCAGGAGGCTGAGGGGTGAGGATCTCTTGAACCCAGGAGTTTAAGGCTGCAGTTAGCCATGATCACACTATTGCACTCCAGCCTGGGTGACAAAGAGAGACCCTATTAAAAAACAAAAACAAAACTGTGTTCATCTGTGCTTTCAATGTACAAACAATTTGAGGTCAGTTAGTCATACACTCAAGTGGAATCAGAACGGGCTAACGTGCTTTCTAAGTGGTAACTAAGTGATGGCTTTCAATTCAGAGAGGAAGGTTTCTAGTGCTCTGCCATTGGGCTTTGTCTTTGGTTCATGCCATGAAGGTGACAATGTCACCCAGGGCCCTGAGAGGGCAGGCTATGTACCTTCATTTTACCACACAGACATTTAAGATGAAGGCACTGGAGTCAAACAACCTAGGATTTCTTCCCAGAAACTACAACGAGAAGAATTTTGTTCAATTCTTCTGATTATCCGGTCTTATTTGAAATAAACATTATGTGCCCAGAATTCTAAAACAGGAGGGAAATTTTAAAACCATCCAGCTCATCTTTCCTTTTCCAGTCTGTAATCAGGATGGATAGGACTAAAGAATTCAAGTCTCTTGATTCCCACCCAAACATGCTCTTTTTTCACCTGATGTATAGTTAGCAAAGCAAATATTCTGTTAGGATAAGGCTCAAATGCCAAATCTACAATATATTCACTAGGCAGAGATAATTCTTCCTAAAGATATACATCTTTGCCAAGCCACATTCCTGTATTTTTACAAAATGCCTTTTAAAAGTAAAATCTTACTGGGCCAAGAGAGAGCACAATAGAGAAGACAACATAAATCTTTGGAAATCAATGCTTGTTAATGTCAATTTATCTTTTTAATGAAAAGCCACTGACAAACCATGCCATACAATTAAGTAAGCGAATGCATGCCATGGGCTTTGCTCAAGACCAAGGAACAGTCAATAAAAAGTAGTTGTGATGATTGATAGGCGAGGCCAGAGTAGGGCTTAAAAATTTTTTTCATGAAGGCAATAAAACTCTGGGATGGAGCTTGTCAACCTGTCTCTGTCAGAGTATAGTAGATGGATAATGGTCACCTGCTCCACCCACTCACAGGGGAGAACCTTGGATTATAAGCAATTTCTAGCTCTCAACCTGAGATCCCACTCATTCTCAGGAAAGCTTCTCAGTGGAAGGCAGCAACAGTGGTACATAAGAATAAATGGATACTTGTCATCGTATTAAGACATACCAGTTCGAAACATCTTAGCTGTCAGTTAATAACTCATCTGTTTACTTAATGGATATTTATCAAGTACCAGCCATGTGCCAAGGATTGTGTCAGGTACTGTGGATATAAAAAGAGTGGAGACTGCTTCTCACTGGAGGAGCTAATGGGCTCATGTGAACAGAGGGACACAAACATTAATTTTTTTATTCAGCAAATATTTACCTGTTTCCCTGTGTGTGGGGGTGGTGCCACTGTCATGGCAGCTAGAACCACAGAGCATCTCAGCAGACTAAACCGTGCATGAGTACATGAATGTTGGGTCCATGTCTCATTCATTCACCAGTATAGACCCAGCATCTAGCCCGGGACAACTATTATTGGTGTTGCTAAATGGCCAACAAGAGCCATCTGGTCCTCAGCCTTCCCAAACTCATACAACCCATGGAAGGATGAGTGGAACCATGGGGGCAAGTATGTAGTCAAGCTTAACTCTGCCAGCAAGAATGGCCAATAAAAGCTGGAAGGGGCAGAGGATGTGTGGCAAGCACGGCTTCCTAGAAGAAATACTATCTGAATGGGTACTTGAGAAATAATCAGAAGTTCTCTATCTGATACACTTTTAGGAATTTCAGTTTTTTGGGGGGTGTCCTAGACCCCAGTGAAAAAGCTAGGAGTTTTTCTTCAACTCTACAATGGGAGCAAGTTTCTTAACTCCTTGGTGCCTCAGAGCCTCACCTGTACACTGTAATATTTAGTCATATCCACCTTCAAGTGACTGGGAAGATTAAATGAGGATGTAGTAAACAGATGAGAAGAGTTCCTGGCTAGATTAAGTATTAAATACAACATGTAGATAAAAGCTAGTCTTACGTGTACCTTTTAAAAAGCTGTCTATACAGGATTTTTTTCCAGTCATGGCACCATCATCAGGGTTTTGCCTGAAACATCAAGAACTAAGAGGGGCTAGTGCATCCCTGAGTTTCAAATCAGTGACAAGAAGTCTCACTTTCAGAGTCTGCTTAACTCCCAACTTCATTCAACTTTTACATTTTATAGTAAAACACAGAGGTACACCATCAGTGCTAGATGTGAAAAATGCTTGGCAAGACAATGTATTAGCTTCTAGTTTCTGAAGATATGAACAGAGTGACAGCTTAGCCGCATGCCAAAGCTGACTCAAACAAATGCAGGATGGTCTTCAGAACACGTGGCTCTCAAATGCTAATCTTACACCACCTGTTGAGGTTAATAAGCAAGATGTGTTAAACGTTTTGTGACCTGCCAGAGTTTGAATGAGACAAGTCTTGAGCTTACAACCAGTAGCAGTTTGCACTTTAAATCACTCATACAGGTGGCTGATCTGCTCCTTCACGATGATATCCTTGATCTGCTACAACTTCAATCAGAAAAAAATTAATGGTAACTTAAATGGGTTGTGTGATTCTAATGCTAAAGCATGCTTACCATACCAGTGAAAGACTCACCAAACAGAAGACTCCAGACCTTAATTTAAGGAAGAAAAAAATCTACAGAGGCTTAATCATTTAATACCTGCATGCATCTGGATAAGTGAGCTACCTATTTGTAGAGGTAAATGAATGAGCTCTAACCCTAGTTTCTATCCAATGAAGTTCTGTGGATATAAATAACGTCCCATTTTTACAGTGCAAAGATTTGTCATGCTTTAGCTGTTCAGAATTTAGAGTCAAGAGAAGCAAAGATGCTATGTTTATTTATTTATGTATTTATTTTTAAAAGCACCTTACTATTGCAGTAAAGACATCCTATATTTTTGTTTCACACCTAAAGCATACTACCATCAGTATCGACTAAGTACTCAACACAAACCTAGAATGCAATTAACATTCCTTTTCTAGCTTCAAACGATTCACTTTCATGAACTATACAGAACACACTACGTGTGTACCTGACATATACAAATTGCCTCCAATGACTCATGCGAAATTTCAATTTGGAAGCACTTTTGCAGGTCTTAATAGCTGTTTGCTAATGCATGCATTATTCTTCAGTTATAAAATTCATACATTTAAAAAACTGAGCTAAGGAGTGCTCACGAGGAACAAAATCAATGCGCTTTCCTGCAAAAAAAATCAACCACTCAGAGCAAGAAGGAAAACATGTTTTTCATATTGTTGAACACAGGAGTAAGCATCCAATACTGTTGTCTCATTGTTCAGAAATGCTAGCTAACTTTGCCCCATAAAAATCAATGTTTAATGCATAAAAATTTAACTACATATCCAGTTATCCGGCAAGAGAGCCAACTGAATAAGCTGAAGACTTGACAAAAATAAACGCAACCCAAATTGTATGAAACCACGACATGACAGCTTTGAAGGGATATGTATCTAGATATCCCTTCAATCACAACCTTGATATCTCATAAAGTTGTTACTGCCATGTCAAAACACTGATTTCTCTTTTTCTTTGTTACGACTTATCTAGGAGGTAGAAGTCCCCTTTCCTAGTCCCCTGTAGAAGTTCCCCACCCTGGCGTGTTTATTCATTTTACACACACGGCCTTCCCCCGAGGGGGCCGCTGAGTCACCAGTAGATTGTGGCAGTGCCTGGGGGAAGGGCAGAACAGACCCATGAGAACCCACTCAACTCCAGGCAGCCCGCAGACCCAGGGGGGCTTCACGGGTGACTGGAGGTGCCACCCTATTCATCCCCTTTCTCTCTGCACAATAACAAAACCCCGAACCCTCATAATGCCACCTTCTCCTCTCTTTATCATCATTCATATCTCAGCTATGACAGGCCAAAAAAAGAGTCTGATGGGAAATGTGCTGCAAATTAGCATATTCCCCCCCTCCACACAATAGAGGCTTTTAAGCTTTGCTTTTTCAAAGCAAGTTGGTGGGGGGGGGGGGGGGGGGAAGCAGAGGGGAAAGCAAAGCTGCGCTTAGCAACAGTGTCTGAAAATTCATGGATTTGCTTCCTTCAAAGCGGCTTGCCTGATTGTCAATTTTGTTGTAGCAAGCCTTCCCTCAAATGGCTTAAAAACTTATTAGAAAGTATTTATTGGACCACCGTGTAATAAACATCCTCTCTCTCGTCATTAAATTGCAATTAAATTCTTTGATTAAAAAAAAATTACAAACCCTAAACTCCTTCTCTCATCTTGCTATGGAGCATGACATCACCTTTCTTCCTGGAGAAACTGACAAAATAAAGAAATCCAGTTACTGTAAATACTTAGTAAGGGGCAATCTTCAGAGGGGACACCTCTGCCATGCTTATTTATAGGTTTCCTATCTCCACTAGTAAAAAGGAAAAAAAAGAAAAAAAAAAAAAGGCAATATGGATGCTTTATCCTGAGACTTGACTATGGGATGCCAGCAATCACTTCATGCGTACCTTTCTCAAAGGCTGTCCCTGTCACCTTTGATGTTGCTAAAGATGAGTTCTAAAACTTCAACAGGCTGGAGCTAGCAAAACAGACTGCGATGTTTTTGAAAGGTCATAAAAACAAAATCAATCTAGTACATCTTTAAGAGTCCAGCAAAAGAAATGATTTGTGTTCCATGCCACTAAATATTAATTCTCCAAAGGACTGCATCTCAATTTGAGGGTGAGAAATTAAGATTCATCTGGCTCAGACTGAATTCTTTGAAAGGGCTCTGAGCTCTTTAGTGGCAACTCAAAACCATCAGGGACACTTAAAGTGGCACCTTCTTCATACAAGCTCCAGTTCCTTAATTATCACTCATTGGTTTCTAAGGCCCCTAAGACAAGGCCAGTGACATTCAGAGTGTCAGAGCTCTCCTAAGGGCCAAGGTGGAACCAGGCACCAGCTGGGGGCTGAGCTAGGCTCTGGAAGGCCCATGCATTCCTGCCTTCCCCTGCCCAAAGGGAGGAAGGGGAGGCAGCTGAACCTGATGGCAAGGGACCATGTGCTTGGCATCCTACACATGGTCCCTGCAGAACTACTGTAGCCTATTGCCTTTATTAGAGGCCTAGACATTGTCCCTCTCCCTCAGGCCTAGGTGCTCAGCTCTGCCCATCCTCCTGTAAACCAAAAATAAAATTCTAAGCCCCCAACCTATTGACTGGACCCCTCCTGCCAAGGGGACTCCAAAGTAAATCTGAAAAACTAGTTCAGACCAAGATGCCTCATGATACCCTCCTCCCAATTTGGAAATAAGGCACAACTGACCAGCATTCACATTAAAACTGAGATCTCAGAACGGACCAAACAGAATATTTGTAGGTCCCATAATACTTTGAGATGTTTACCATCTAATCTCTCTGAAGCCTGCTACCTGGAAGCTTCATCTATATAAGAAGAACCTTGGCTTCCACAACCCCCCTTATCTTAACTACTATCATTTCTTTTTGCTGATTTCAACCCTTCAAGGCAGAGCTTAACCGTTTCAACCAACTGCCAATCAGGAAATCTTTAAATGCACCTATGGTCTGGACTCTGCCCCACCAACTTCAAGATGTCCCACCTTTCTGGACTGAACCAATCTTACATGTATTGATTGATGTCTGCCTATAACTTGTCTACCTAAAATGTTTAAAATCAAGCTATTACCCAATCACCTTAGACATATGTTCTCAGGACCTCTTGAGACTGTGCCTTGGGCCGTGGTCACTCATATTTGGCTCCGAATAAACTTCTTTAAATATTTTTACAGAGTTTGACTCTTTTCAGCGATACACCACACTGGGACCAACATCCATGCCTGTGGGACCGAGTCTCCAGTCATTGATCCTGGCTCAGCCTCTTTCTGGTTCTGATTTCCATCTCGCTTTCTCATGTACCGCACACACACACCCCTCTTTCCCTGTTAAGTGATGTTTCATTGGCCTGGATCATGTCTCAATTTGGGCCTCTCCTAATTCCAGGTCTTCTAGGAATTAAAGCCCAACTGGAAAACTGATGTTCAAAATGAGGGTTTCATTTTCAATTTCATTTATAGATTTAATGCAATCAGGTCAAAATCCTGACAAGCCTTATTGTAGATACTGACAAGCTGATTCTAAAGTTCTTATCGGAAAGGAAAAGAATCTAGGATAGCCAAGGTTATTCTGAAAAAGAACAAAGAGGACTCAGACTACTGGATTTCAAGACAACTATAAAGCTATGCAGATCAAGGCAGTGTGGTAGTGATAAATGGACGTACATGGATTAGTAGAACAGAATAGAACGCCCTGAAATAGACCCACAGAAATGTAGTCAACTGGCTTTTGACAAAGGTGTTTAGATACAACACCAAAAGTACAATCCACAAATGAAAACAATTGGCAATGTGGACCTTATTAAAATGATAGCTTGAGAAGGCATGTAATACTTGGACGAAAAGTTTTAAAGACATATTTCATTTAGCTAAGGAATTTACATGCAATACCTCATTCCTGTCCTCCAAGAGGAGTACCTGACTAAGCAGCATGCCACCAACCCTCCAGGCTCAGCTCTGATGCTCTCTTCTGTAACCCCTGCCTCCAGCCACCCACCTACAGCAATCTAAGCTGCTCTGTACTGGGAAGCCACAGCTCACCTCAGTGTGCTATGCTAGCAATTTTAGCACGACCTCCCTGCCTGCGGGCTCCGGGAAGGCTGACACCACGCGCCTGACATTTCCTGGTGTCCCCATCCCCTCACTTGTTGACTGGTGTATAGTAGAAGCGCAATAAATATATTTTTAAAAATACTGACAAACATCAGATGATACTTCTTGGGCTCCTACTTGGAAGCTAGCACTCCCTAGAGCAGTTGCCCAAGTAAGAAGGAATTCCTCCACCCCCAGCGAATCTTCCTTTGTTGTGGCTACATCTCCATTTCTCCCTGTGATCTATCTGTGAATGTTCAAAAGGCTCCTCTCTCTCCTCTCCCCGGACATTACCCTTTATAATAGATTCACATGATTCCTCCCGGCTCCAAACTCTCAATTCTAAATTTTAGGCCATGATTTCTTTTCTAAGCTCTAATGGCTCATTTACCACACAGACACACAAATGTGTGTGTGTGTGTATGTAGGTATATACACATTTACATATATGCACATATACACACGTATGAAGGGAAGCACAAAGGAGGTGTCGGATAGGGACAGAGAAGATGAATTCAGCTTAGAATATTTTGAATTTAGGAGGATGTAAAATATTTAAGTGAAAGTATGTGATTGCATATATGCATGCATGGGTGTATGTGCATGTCTCATATATACATGCATAAGGCATACCTGCATACTTTAGACGTTCATATATGAATAAACATATGTACATGCATGAACGCACATGTGCCCACACATACACATTTATATATACATAACATATACATATGTATCCATGCACATATACACATTTATACGTACACATACTTTCACTTAAATATTTCACATCCTCCTAAACTCAGTATGATAAGTTGAGTTCATCTTCCCACTCCCCAGCAGATGCCTCCGTCATCCTTCCCAAGGCTGTCCTTCCCATCAAAGGCATCACTACCCTTCCAACATCTTCATTTCAAGACTTCAGAACCTCAGCTCTGCCATTTGCCAGCTAGGTCGCTATGGGAAGTTATCTCACTTCCATCCCTCTGGATGTCTGTATGATGGTTGTCATAATATATTTTCACATCACCTTAGAGTCTGGAGCAGTCATCCAAGATCTACAGAATGCCTTTACATATCGTAGGCATGTTCTCTCTAAAATACATGAGTTAGCTAGGGTTTCCCCACATTTGATTAGTCACCAAATATACATGTGTGGGGGCGGTGGTGGGAGGTGTTTGTCAGTAGTTTAAATCCACCCTCACCCCTTTCTTCAGCCTCTCCTCCTGGCCTCAGACTTGGGTGGAGGTAATGGCAATCTACCTGGTTTTCTACTTCTATGTTCTCCCACTTCAAATCACAGGCCAAGGCTTATCTGTCCAGAACTAACACTTTCATGGAGTTGTTCAACCAATCTACAATGGAACCCCTGCTTAATAGATGGGCTGGCTATCACCGACCTTCATGGATTGCTGGACTCTCTGCCATGCTCACCCACCATGTTTCTCTTGGCTACCCCATGTACCTTCTCACCTCTGCTTCTTGGACCAGTTTCCTTCTCACTCTTCCTCCCTTTCGATTTGTTCTAATTCTATTCTATTCATCTTCAAGGTGCAACTCAAGGGCTACAGCTTGTGGGAAACCTCAATGAATCGATTCTCACCATGTCATAGGTCTATGTCCCCCCAATTTACTACAATATGACATTCTTTTTCTCCAAAATATTCATGTGTTTAAGTTTTACATTCCAAAACGACTTTGATCTCTCATGGAACAAGGGCCACATATGTTACTCCTCTGGTACCACGCCACAGCACCTATTCTAGGTTTAGAAAATTGTCATTGCATTCAGTGAGAACTGATTTCTCAAATAATAATTACTAGAATATCTGCAATGGCTATGACCTTTGGCTTTTAAAATAAAAGTGTAATTTTCCTATCATAAATAAAAATGGATCACAGAGTACCATCTCTTTTAAGAAACTGTTAAGTAAACATCACTTCATTGCCAGGGAGAGAAAATTTGGCGAAATATATCATAAAGTGCAAATTTAGACACCTAACACATTACGTCGGTAGGAGCTCAGTGCATAGAAACACTAAGTAGTTCTCAATTTCCCCCTGTGGTTTATGAAGCCCAGGGGCCCCTAATGACCTCCACATTGAACAGGAGGCACATCCCTCTGCCAGCAGTAATTATTTTATTGACCTGATCAAAGAACAACCATTTCCATTGTCAAAAAGATCTGTGGCCAGACCTGGTGGCTCATGCCTATAACTTAGTGCTCTGGGAGGCTGAGATGGGAGGATTGCTTGAGGCCAGGAGTTCAGGAGCAGCCTGGGCAACATAGTGAGGCCCCCATGTCTACAAAAAATTTTTTAAAAGAAAAAAAATTTTTTAAAAGCTACCCAAACACATCAGCCTTAAGCACACAATGGCAGTAATTAAAGATGCATATTTCCCAGATTAAAATATGAGTCAATGGACACAGCATAAAATAATGTATTAATATTTACTCAACATATTTCTTTCACTGATTACGATGAAGCCAAAACTCATTTTTTTAACAAACACCTTTATTATCATTGACATACCATACAATTCACCATTTTAAGTGTACAATTTTTAATATATTCCCCCCTTTCCACTTGTTCAAAATATATGATCGCAACTGTTAACACGATCTAATTTTGAACACTTCAGTCCCTACTAAAAGATCCCATTAGCAGTCAATCTGTATTCCTCCCTACCCTACCCTCACCCCTCAACTCTGGTTCAAAGCAACCATTAGGAGCTTTCTCCATAAACTTTCTACTTTCTCCATAAACTTGCCTTTTCTGGACACATGGATATGTAGTCCTTTGTGACTGGAGTCTTTTACTTAATGTTTTCAAGGGTCATTGATGCTGTAGCATGTGTTAGTATTTCCTTTCTTTTTATTGCTGAATCATACTGCATTGCAGGATATACCACATTTTGTTGATCCACTCATCAGTTGATGGACATTTGAGTTGTTTCCACCTGTTGGCTATTATGAACACTACTACTATGAACACTCATGTACAAGCTTTTGTGTGAACACAAGTTTTCATTTCTTTTGGGTATATACCTGAAAGTAGAATTGTTGGGTCATATGGTAATCCTATATTTAACCATTAGAGAAACTGCCATTATGTTTTCCAAAGCAGCTGTACCATTTTACGTTCCCACTAGTAGCATGTGAGGGTTTCAGTTTCTCCACATCCTCACCAACATGTATTTACTGTCTTTTGATTTCAGCCATGATAGTGGGTGTGAAGTGATATCTCATTGTGGTTTCAATTTGCATTTCCCAACTAATGATGTTGAACATCTTTCATAAGCTTATTGGATATTTGTAAATTTTTTAGAGAAATGCCTATCACATCCTTTATTTTTATTTTGGGTTGTCTTATTATTAATTTTAATATATTCTGGATGCAAGTCTCTTAGATATATGATTTTAAATATTTTCTCCCATTCTGTGAGTTCTCTTTTTACTTTCTTGATGGTGTCCTTTGCAGCTCAATAGTTTTTAATTCTGATAAAGTCCAATGTATCTATTCTTTTCCTTTGTTGCTATTGTTGCATCTAAGAAACCACTGTCTAAACCAAGGTCATGAAGATTTACTCCTGTGTTTTCTTCTAACAGTTTTATAATTTTAGTTTTTACATCTAGGTCTATGATCCATCGTGAGTTAATTTTTGTGTATATGAGGTAGGGGTGCAACTTCATTCTTTTACATGTGGATATCCAATTGTCCCAGCACCATTTATTGAAAAGAGTATTCTTTCCCCACTGAATTGTCTTAGTATCCTTGATGAAAATCAATTGACTATAAACATAAGGGTTATTTCTGGACTCTCAATGATATCCTATTGATCTATATGTCCATTCTTAGGCCAGTACCACACGGTAGCTTTGTAGTTTTGGCTATTTTGGCATTGCCAAATTCCATTTTGAAAGAACTCTAGTTTAGCACAAATGTTGATTATGTTATTAATAAAAGTGACTGGAAACACCTATTTTCATATCTGACTGATGCTTGTTAGATGGCAAAAACTTTTAGTGCCTTCATCTTCTGACAGTTAAAATTTGCTTTAATCAATCACACACACATCCTGTAACAGCCAAATGTCCCATTTAACAATGTCATCCATTTAGTACATTCAGAATTATTTGAACAAATAGCATCAAAATTATTATTCCACTGGATACAATAAGGTAATTGCCAAGCCCTGGACACAAAGACTTGGAGCCCAAGTATGTGGAGAATATCATTCTCCAGATCAATGCCGGGATCTGGAAGGATCTTCAAACTTCAGTAAGACAAAATATTTCATGGTATGGACCACAGCATTTTCTGGTTGTCTATAGCTACAAGTGGTTCCCCCTCAAAGTCAGCCAACATCTTTCCTAGTGTCTGAGCTATCTATGGCTTAGAGTTCTTGAACCACTGACTATGCTCTAAACAAAAATAAGAAAACAGAAAAGACAATTCATTGTTTTTGATATGCAGTATGACCAACAAAGCTGGGATTTATCTTGCCTCTCTTACTCTGGTACCTTCTAATATGTGCCAGAATGTTTCTTTTTATTTATTTTCAGAACGTTTTTTCTTTTTCTTTTTTTTTTTTTTTGAGACGGAGTCTCGCTCTGTTGCCCAGGCTGGAGTGCAGTGGTGTGATCTTGGCTCACGGCAACCTCCATCTCCTGGGTTCAAGCGATTCCCATGCCTCAGCCTCCCGAGTAGCTGGGACTACAGGCATACGTCACCATGCCCTGCTAATTTTTGTATTTTTAGTAGAGATGAGGTTTCACCAGGTTGGCCACGCTGGTCTCAAACTCCTGACCTCAGGTGATCCACCTACCTGGGCCTCCCAAAGTGCCGGGATTACAGGCATGAGCCACTGCACCTGGCCAGAATGTTTTCTTTTCTATAGTGGAAATCTGAGCACCTGAAAGGCTTCCAGGTTTTTCAGTATTTACTTGGGATAAATTTGCCAATTTCCATCTCACGTAATTTTTGTTCATTTGAATGAAATGGCCTTCCATATAACCTATTCCAACAACCTCTTCCAAAAACAAAATGCTTCTAATATACAGAGATGATAGATTTTATTTTTCTATGCAAGAATGAGTTGAGAGTGAAAATTCTCCTTCTTCTAATATTTTTGTATATATATTTAACTTAAAAAGTTATTTAGATTTCAGCTTACAACTAGTTATATATTTATAAATCAATTTTCAGTGGTTTGTTTCAATCTTTAGCATTCTACCACTTCTATGGGATGCTTTAGTCTTCAGCTTACAACTAGTTATATATTTATAAATCAATTTTCAGTGGTTTGTTTCAATCTTTAGCGTTCCACCACTTCTATGGGATGCTTTAGTCTCAAGACCAAGGACAGCCAGCAACGTTGCAAGAAAGCTTTTCAATAGTACACGCTGAACTTTCAGCTACATGTTCTGAAAGAGGTAAACACCCACACAGAACATGGTCAACCTCCAAATTAATTATCCTCACCATGTGTTTCCTCTGAATCACCACTCCCACGTAGGAGGTTGTGTCCTACTGAGGATTCTTGCCAGGCCATGAAGGGACACTGTGTCCAAACTGATGGGTTCTTTATCACAGGTAGAACAAGTAAGGACAGAAAAGAATGCCAAAACCCCGTTCTCCATTCTGCATTCCTTTCTCTCTTTCTCATTTTCCACCTTTCCCTTCCTCTCCCATTTGGCTGTCTCCCAGTGACAGCTAAACCTCTGAGTTTCCCACCTGAGTGCTGTCCCTTTTCCCTACTTCCATTTCCTCTACGAAATTCTGAATTCCCACCCACGCACCCACCTACTCATGCATCCATCCCATCTCCCACTCAACCCCAGCATTTCTAGGCTCAGTTGTCTACTTCTGATCTGTGTTCCCGGACATCATGCTGGATACTTCCCAGGCCCTCCTTGAACCAAAAACCAGACTTATTTCCAGTCCACTTCTTAGAAAAAGGTTGCTTTATACCCACTGTGGGCTCATATTTGTTTTCTTATCTATATAGAGAAGTGTAAGGAAATCTCTGAACACTCAGAGCAAATACGCATCTCTCCCTCGACCATCTTTTTTTTTATTTTTTATTTCATTTTTTTGAGATGGAGTCTTGCTCTGTCGCCCAGGCTGGAGTGCAGTGGCGTGATCTCAGCTCACTGCAAGCTCCGCCCTCTGGGTTCACGCCATTCCCCTGCCTCAGCCTCCCAAGTAGCTGGTACTACAGGCGCCCGCCACAATGCCAGACTAAATTTTTGTATTTTTTTTAGTAGAGACGGGGTTTCACCATGTTAGCCAGGATGGACTCGATCTCCTGACCTTATGATCCACCCGCCTCGGCCTCCCAAAGTGCTGGGATTACAGGCGTGAGCCACTGCGCCAGCTTTTTTTTTTTTTTTTTTTTAAACTTTTTCTTCTTTGCCTAATCATCTTTCCTATTACTGACACATGTTTTAGGCAAACATCATTACTGTCATGGCTGCCAATTTACACAGGAATCACTTCTTGGCCTCGTCTCATGCACGTATGAGGAGGGTGAGTGCTTTCTATCAACCATACCAGTGAAACTACTACTAATGGACTAAGACAAGCAGATAGTTTGATTGTTCAGTCAACAAGTCTATATTTAGCTTTAATTCCCAGCACTTGCCATGTGTCCATGTTAAATATATAAACATGGTATTATAAATTCAAAATCCAAATGTCATATAGAACTGAGACCTTATGAAATCATTAGAGATGAAGGAAAAAACACCATCTTATATGTGTGCAAACATCCCTTACACACCAACTGCTGCCCAAGTTCTGAGTGCTGAACAGGAAAATTTGGCAGAAAATCAGTTAAGAGGGAAACATGGCAATTTTTTAAAAAATCCAAACAACTTTTAATTATTTAGAGACCAAATTTCAAGATTTACCAATGAGTTTCTCTCCAAAGTCTACTTTAAACAAATACTCTTGTTCTTTATAGATTTCAGTGTATTATTTCTAAATGCAATGTATTAATACCTCCATCTAAACTCTAACATAACATTAATCCTACTTATATTTTTGCAGTTTGAATACAAGAAATATGATCCTATTGAGCCTCCTCCTCAGCATCACCCAGGCCTTTACAATATCCATTTCTTTATAGAAAATGGAAGTGCTTGCTAATCTGTTGGCCACTCAGCTATAAGTGGATTAATGCTGGTCCATTAGAAAATGGCTCCTATACATCATGTCAAATGAGCAATTCCCAATATTGGAATTTATAATAAAGCTAAAAAGGCCCTCCAAATGACAGCTTTAACACTAGCCTAATAGCCTAGTCCTTTTTCAAGCAACTTTACAAATACGATTTAAACACTGATTTTTAAAATGCTCTCACTTTCTAGATAAGATTGGAGGTGTTTAAATTGGTATGGCCATAAACCAATAGGAATAGTATGTGCAAAGATCCTAAGGTTGGAAGAAACTTGAGAACATAAAGAAATTTAAAGCAGTGTGGCTAGAGCCCAGACAGCAAGAAAGGAAGTATTAAGAGATAAGTCGAGAAGACCAGAATGTGATGGCTCTCAGCTCAGGTATAGTGGATGCTGTAATATATCACCCAGATTCCCCTCCTTCCGGACTGATATACTGATACCCCCAGCTGCTGGCAAAGTTGACAGATGACAGCTTGTGGCTGAGGACTTCCTCCTAGTGATTGTACTCTACTGAAGAAAGCCGTCTTGCCCATGGTCATGTCCCTGGCTCAGGGGCATCTGGCACTCAGTGACTGGTCAATATGGGTGCATAAAGACCCAGATCCTTTGTCCAGCCAACCTTGCAGAGCCTTCCCACCTCTGAAGGTTCCAATAGGATAAGCTGAGACCTTGGTTGGGATGATGCTGCAGCCCAACTTCTCCCTCTGCTCAGTCCTGCTTCTTTCATGCCCCTACAGGTGTTTACCCTGAAAGCAATCCTCAACAAACCTCTCCATCTCAGAGTGTACTTCCTAGGGAACCCGACCTGTGACAACAGGTCAAAGAATTTATTTAGACTTTATTTTACATGTGATGGAAGCCATTAAAGAGATTCAGTCAGGGTGTAAGATAGCAGATATGCATTTGTAAAAAAACAATAAAAAATTATTCTGCCGGTTGTTTAGAGACTGAAAGAGGGAATGAAATACAACTTTACACAAACTAGAATGGCTATAAGAAAAAAGACAATAACAAGTGTTAGTGAGGATGTGGAAAACCAGGAACCCTCATACACTGAATATAAAATGATGCAGCTACTTTGGGAAACAATACGGAAGTTTCTCAAAAAGTTAAAGAGTTATCATATGATAATTCTGCTCCTAGGTATATACTCAAGAGAAATAAAAACTTCTGTCCACACAAAAACTTGTACATGAATGTTCACAGAATCTAAGCATCCATCAACTGGTACATGGATAAACAAAATATGGTCAATCCACACTGTGGAACATTTTCTGGCAATAAAAACAAAGTACTAATACATGGTACAATATGGATGAACCTGAAAAATACCATGCTCAGAGAAAAAAGCCAGACACAAAAGAACATATGTAAGCCCATTTACATAAAATGTCCAAAACAGGCACACAGTAGAGATGAAAACTTGATGCATGGTTCCTCAAGGAACCTGGGACTAGAGATGGGAATAGGAACTAACTGTAAATAAGCTCATCGAATTTTACTGAGTGATGGAAATACTCTGGTAAATTTTATAATATGTAAATTATACCCAAATACAATTGTTTAAAAAAATAAATGTGGAAGAAATAGGGAGTAAGCATAGTAATCCACATCAGAGATGATGGTGACTTGGACCAGGTAGAAACAGAATTTGAGAAAGGTAGGCTGAATTCAAAAGTAGGCTGACGCCAAGAAGATAGAATCATCAGGGTTTCCACAAGGCATTTTCTTACCACTTTAGCTTTCTGTGAACTCTTACGGCACCAACACCCTGTCCCATCCATTTTGACATAATCACACACTGCCTTACATTACATTCACTTGATTCTTTCATACACACAGTCATTGCCATTGCCTGGAGGCCAGATGTGTACATGGGTGTATCATAAATACAGACAAATGATTGGTGAAACAATTGAACATAATCAGCTCCAGGCTGGATACCATTGATTACTCTGGATTACACTAACAGTTAGCATAATGTTAAGACAATAAAACTAGCAATTACCTTCACATAGGAGTTGCTAAAGTCATCAGCACAAGAAAGTAAAAATCAATTTGTTAGAACATAACTACCATAATTGATGGCAAAAAGGGAATAGAAACAGAATCAGGGAGTTGGCCAAAAGCAACATTTTTAATATATGTTATTTTGGGGGTGGGGGGGAGAGTAATAAAATATAGGCCCGGTGTGGTGGCTCATCCCTGTAATCTCAGCATTTTGGGAGGCTGAGGGGGCGGGTCACCTGAGGTCAGGAGTTCGATACCAGCCTGGCCAACATGGTGAAACCTCATCTTTACTAAAAATACAAAAATTAGCCAGGCATGGTGGCACGCACCTGTAGTCCCACCAACTCAGGAGGCTGAGGCAGGAGAATCGCTTGAACCTACAAAGGAGAGGCTGCAGTGAGCCGAGATGGCATCACTGCGCTCCAGCCTGGGTGACAGAGCAAGACTCTGTCTCAAAAAATAATAAAATATAGGAACACTACTATAGTTTGGATGTTTGTCCCCTCCAAATCTCATTTTGAAATCTGATGCCAATATTGGAGATGGGGCCCAATGAGAGGTGTTTGAGTCACGGAGGTGAATCCCTCATGAATACATTAATGTCCTCTCTGAGTGGAAGGGAGTGAGTGGGTTCTTCCTCTGTTAGCTCCTGAGAGAGCTGGTTGTTAAAAAGAGCCTGGCACCTCCTTCCCCTCTTTCTCTTGCTTCCTCTCTCACACTCTATGTGATAGCTCCTTTCCCTTCTGCCATGAGTGGAAGCTTCCTGAGGCCTTTACTGGATGCAGATGCTGGTGCCATGCTTCTTGTACAGTCTCCAGAACTGTGAGTCAAATAAACCTCTTTTCTTATAAATTACCCAGCCTCAGGCGTTCCTTTATAGCAATACAAATGGACTAGGACAAATACTTTGAACAGCATGTTTGTCTCTTGGACAGTCAGTCTGCCAAGTTACTAATTCAAGCCTTAAATCCATGTAGCACAGTAGACAGAACAGGTTCCAGGGGATGGGAGTCTGGACCTTGGTTGAACCATACATGTGAGTATGGGCAATATACTTAAGCTCTTTAATATCCAGCTTCTTTGAAAAAATGAGAATACTAAATATCTTTCACAAAGTCAATGGAAGACGTCAATGAAACTACATGTAGTCTTTAGGACATGCAATGAATAAAAGCATTGTTTTTATTGGTATCGTTATTTAAAATATTTGTAATGATTCATTTTACCAATAAATTAAAACTATATTGAACTCACTTCTTTGAAAAAAAGTTAATCTAGGCCAGGCATGGGGGCTCGTGCCTGTAATCCCAGCACTTTGGGAGGCCAAGGTGGGCAAATCACTTGAGGTCAGGAGTTCAAGACCAGCCTGGCCAACTGGTGAAACTCCATCTCTACTAAAAATACAAAAATTAGCTGGGCGCGGTGGTGCATGCCTGTAGTCCCAGCTACTCGGGAGGCTGAGGCAGGAGAATCGCTTGAACCCAGGAGGCAGAGGCTGCAGTGAGCTGAGATTGTGCCATTGCACTCCAACCTGGGCAACAGAGCGAGACTCCATCTCCAAAAAAAAAAAAAAAAAAAAAGTTAGTTAATCTGAATGGGGTTCTACCTCGTAACTAATTCCCATTCCAAGTCACTGAAGTATGGAACAGAATATAGATTCTGAGCCAGAGCTGGGTTCTAATTTCACCTCTGCCACTTACCAGCAACATCACCTCTTCAGTAACTTAAACTCTAAGCCTTGGTTTCCTTACCTGTAGAGTGAAAATGATCATATCAATCCCTGAAGGTTGAGGGGAAGATTAAATAGATGTAATACACATAAAACACCTTACACGCTGCCTGACACACAGTAGGCCCTCAGTGAACAGTAGCTATCATCATTACTCATATAAAATCATGATTATTCAAATGCCTTGCTTACGGTCCTATATCACAGAACCATATGATAATGGTTTATGATAATCACCAGACATCTCAAAGAATAATCCATTTTGTTCTGGAAGGATGGGTAAAGTCACCTCAGGCATGCAATGAAAAAAAAAAAACCAGCTGAAATCGAGGGACAATGATCCCATCTTGCACAGTGCAGACCTCAGTTTCTCCTGGAGAGGTCCAGTTTCCATGATTCTGATGATATAAATCTTCAAAGACAACATTTAGCTAGGGTATCATTGCCAGGAAGGTAGATTGTCTCAGAGGCACCACACTTTAGAGAAGAGATCATTCATTGCTTCTTAAAATTTCTCTTGGCAGGTTTTAGAAATAGACTAATGTGTCTTTGTAGAGTAAAATCCCCCTCCCCTGACCCCCCAGCAATCACGTAACATGAGTTTGCTCAGAGTTTATAAAAAATGGCATCTTTCAAATGACTACCATTGGCCTTACCTACTACAGATGAATCAAATTCCAATCCATCCTGATATCCTTAGGCAGGGCATCAACACTGATATAAGCCATAACTAAACACTACAGGTGCAGGGTCATCAAACTTTTTTGTAAACGGCCAGAATAGTCAATATTTTAGGTTTTGTGGGCCATCTGGTCTCTTTTGCAATGACTCAACTCTGCCACCGTAGCAAAAAAGCAGCCAAGGAGCATATGTAAAACAATGGACATGACTGTGTTCCAAGATTTTTTTATTTACAAAAACAGGTGGCTGACTCATGGGCCATACCTGATGTAAACAAAGAGAAAATTAAGTATGTAAAATTTTTATTTCACTTATAATACCTTGATTTTGATTCACCTCAAGCAGACTGCCTCCTCTCAGCTCTTTTCATTTTCAATTAAAAAAAACTTAATAGGTAATTGACACAAAAATGAAAGCAATATAAGGAAGTATACACAGAGTTCTCATTTCTGCCTTCATTCACTGTCTAACTTGCCCCCTACAGGTCACCACTTTTAATAGTTATTCAGAGCATCACACACCCTTCGCCCAGAAAAGGAGCACACAGTACTAGACTTAACTGTTCTGTACCCTGCTTTTGATTTAATTCACATGAGAAAACTTTCTATTAATCACATACAACTTCTTCGTTCTATTCTAGCTGCAGTCATTCCTAGTGTGAATGTACCCTCAGAGACTCAGCAGCCCCATACAGGACAATACTAGTTTCTGGTCTTTTGCTATTACAAATAAAGGCTGGGGGAAGAGTACAACAAAAACTTTTTTTTTTTTTTTTTAAAGACTGGGTTTCACTCTGTCACCCAGGTTGGAGTGCAGTGGCATGACCATGGCTCACTGCAGCCTTGACCTTCAAACTCCTGGGCTCAAGTGATCCTCCCGCCTCAGCCTCCCAAGTAGCTAAGACTACAGGTGCACGCCACCATGCCCAGCCAAAAACCTTTTATGTGTATCATTTTGTACAGGTATTGTTACAGCTACAGGATAAATTTCCAGAAGTGGGAATCCTGGATCAAAGGGTCAATGAATGTATGATCTGCTAGAAACTGACAACATGTCCTCGACAAGGGTTGTTCCATGTTCGTACTCCCACCAGAAGCACCCAGGAGTATCTTCTCACCTTATTTTCATCAGGAAAAAAGCTGAAAACTACTTTAAATATTCACTTAGGTACCTGCGTCCCAAAGACCACCCCATGTTCTGAGATTCGACAGAAGGATCCATGGGACTTAGTATATAGTTGTACTTAGAGCCAATATTTATTACAGCAACTTAACAAGGATACAAGGATCATAAAGGAAAAAGACACAAGCTGGGCACAGTGGCTCATGCCTGTAATCCCAACACTTTGGAAGGCTGAGGTGGGTGAATCACTTGAGGTCAGGAGTTCGGGACCAGCCTGGCCAACATGGTGAAACCCCATCTCTACTAAAAATACAAAAATTAGCCAGACGTAGTGGTGCATGCCTGTAATCCCAGCTACTCGGGAGGTTGAGGCATAAGAATCACTTGAACCTGGGAGGCAGAGGTTGCAGTGAGCTGAGGTTACTCCCTGGGCGACAGGGTGAGACACCACCTCAAAAAAAAAAAAAAAAAAAAAAAGGGAAAAAGACACACGTGGAGTCTGGAAGAATCCACATGCAGACTTCCTTATGCTCTCTCTTCCCAGGAGATATCGCATGGGCACACTTTGCCCCTACCAATGAAGTCACAATAATATGTGTGACAGTTCTGCCCAGAAAAGCTGGTTAGAAAGGCAGGCTGGTCATGGAGGCACCCTCTGCCTAAACATATTGAAATTCCAGACTCCAGGAAGGAAGGAAAGGTGTTCAGCATAAGCCATAGTGTTAGCACAGTCTAGCCATCCTGAACCAGCCTTATCACTTAGGGAAAGTTCTTATCACTGCAGGGAACTGCTTACCACCAAGTTCCCGATGCCAGCCAAGGGCCAACCTTGCAAGCTGGCCTTGTCCAAGATAGTCTCAGATTGGTCAAGTCAACCCTTTTCTGTACAACCTCACATGATGAAATTATCTCAGGTAGGCTAGCCAGCTGGTTTGAAACTATACCACCAGTGGCAGGAAGCAGATATGGCTTTGGGGGAATTCTGGCTTGGGGTGACAAGTTCTGTTTGGTCGGCTGCTTGTCTGGAACCGCTTCACACCATTTGAAACCAACTGTGGCACTCCAGGCACTGCTGCAGGGAAGTGTGCCTGGCATGACAACATTGTCTCCTAACAAAATTACTATTTATTTCAAGCTGCTTCTTTTAAAAAATGCCCCCATTCTGTAGAACTACAAAGGGCCAAAAAGGATCTGAGGATGGTGCTGGCTTCATAGATTTTCATGAAAGAAAGACTGTACTAGCTCAGAGAGAAAGCTGACAAGAGAAGAGATGGCTTTTGGCTTAGAACTGAGATTTAAATATACAGACTCCTTAACTGAAGGTTTCTCTCCACAGCAAGTTATCTTCCAGGGATTCTATGAAAGTACATGTTTTCTAATGCAATTACCTCCACCTGTGCTTTTAAAAAATAAGTAATGAAACCAAAATTACAGCTAGACAGGAGGAATAAGTTTTAGTGTTCTATACCACTCTGGGATGGCTAGAGTTAACAATATATCATTTCAAATAGCTAAGAAGATATTGAACATTCCTAACAAAAGGAAATAAATGTTTGAGATGAGGGATATGCTAATTACCCTGATCTGACTGCTAAACATTATATGCATTGAAACATCACTATGTACTCTATGGATATGAACAATTATTATTTGTCAATTTAAAAAGCTTTAAAAAACCTAAATTCTTCAAAGCTTAATAGTATACAGAGGTTTGTGAGAAGTTCTTCTCCCAACCTCTCTCAACCAATTTTAACTTTTAATTGAAATGTACATAAAGAAAATGTGCAAATGAATACATTGTGCTTCATTTTCACAAAGTGGATATAACCATGTAGCCAGGTAGAGCCCCCCTTGTGTCCCTAATACTTCCCTCATAGTTAGCCACTCCCCTTTTTTTTTTGACACAGAGTCTCGCTCTGTCACCCAGGCTGGAGTGCAGTGGTGCGATCTCGGTTCACTGCAACCTCCACCTCCCAGGTTCAAGCGATTCTCCTGCCTCAGCCTCCCAAGCAGCTGGCATTACAGGCACGTGCCACCATACCTGGCTAATTTTTGTATTTTTAGTAGAGATGAGGTTTCACAATGCTGGCCAGGCTGGTCTCAAACTCCTGGCTTCAAGTGATCTGCCCACCTTGGTCTCTCAAAGTGTTGCGATTATAGGCGTGAGCCACCGCGCCCGGCTCCCCTGACTTTTAAGGCCATGTTAAGTTTGCTCAGTTTCGACTTTTATATAGATAGAATCCTATGGAATGTTCTCTTTTGTGTCTGGCTTCTTTCAGTCACCAACATGCTTGTGAGACTCATCTATGTTGCTGTATGGTACAGTTCATTTACTCTCACTGCTATATAGAAATCCATTCTATAAATTTGCCACAGTTTATGTATCTAGTCTAATTTGAAGGACATTTGGATCATTTCCAGTGTTTGGCTACAACGAAGAGTTCAGCATTTTCATTTTCTAAATGCTAGCAAAAAATTTCAAAATTGCTGAATAATCAGTGTACGGTCAAGTATGCAAAGGTCAAGTTTACAACTTGATGAGTTTTACACACACACATGCATACACCTGTATAACTGAACCCAAGAGCAAGATACAGAACACTTCTGCCACCCTAGAAGGCTCCCTGGGACAGCCCCAATTTTAAATCACTTCAAAGTGATGAGCAACTACCAATTATCTAAACCCCATGGCACAGCCTCCACTGCGGTGGTGCAGTGAACATGGCCAAGCCACCAGTTCTAGTACAGATTCTGTCATTTGCTTGTGACCTTCCAAAGGTCACTCTCAGCTTCAGTTTCATCTACAAAATGAGTGGGTACAACTAGATGGATCCCAGGGCCCTTGCAGCTGTACAATTCTAACAGTCAAAGAGAACCACCACCTCCCTGCCAGTATGGAGTTCTTAAGCCCAAATTCTTCTTGCTATTTTATCCTGTAAAGTAAAGATGAGGGGCAGTTAATCACCATTTCCCACATATTAACTCTCTGGTTTCTTACATATCATTATTAAATCATCTTCTGTCTTTTCTTCAGGTTGAACAATTGCAGCTTTTTAAAATCCTCCCCATGTTGGCTCTACTCCAAGTCTTTGTGGCTTTCTAATTCTCTACATGCTCACAGAAACCAAAGAGTCCCAACAGGATACAATATTTTAGTAATGATGACCAAAGGCAATAAAGGAAAGAGAAGCCCAGACAATGAATACCTCCTCCAGAGCTTTCCCATTCAAAGTGTGGGCTACAACCAGCAGCAGCAGCAGCATCTGGGATCTCAAGACAATTGTAAATCTTCATGACCATCCTCAGACCCCCCTGAATCAGAATCTGCATTTTAACAAGATCCCCAGGTGGTCCTATGCACAGTGAAATTTGGAAAGCAAAGAATGCTATTTTTAAATCTTCAGAAGAGATGTTTTATTAGTTTCCTATGGCTGTTGTAACGAATGACCACGGATTTAATCGCTTAAAACAATGCAAATTTATTCTCTGAAAGTTCTTGAGGCCAGAAGTTCAAAATCAGTTCTGCTAGGCTGAAGTCAAGGTGTCTGCACCTTTATTTTTTTTTTTATTATTTTTTTTTTTTGACAGGTTCTCACTCTGTCACCCAGGCTGGAGTGCAGAGGTGCGATCATAGCTCACTGCAGCCTTGACCTCCTGGGCTCATGCAATCCCCCTGCCGCAGCCTCCCAAGTAGCTGGGATTACAGGCATGCGCCACCATGCCCAGCTACTTTTTGTATATTTTGTAGAGACAGGGATTTGCCATATTGCCCAAACTGGGGGACTGAGTTCTTACGGAAGCTCTAAAGGAGAATCCATTTCCTTGCTTTTTTCAGCTTCTACTCGCCTCTTATAATCTGTGGCTTGTGGCCCCTTTCTCCATCTTCAAAGTCAGCAACATAACATCTTTCCGATCTTTATCTTTCTAATCTCTGCTTCCATCCTCACATCTCCTTCTAACTCTCCTGCCTCCTTCTTATAAGGATGCTGTGATGACATTGGGCCCACTGAGATAATCCAGAGTAATCTCCCCATTTTGAGATCCTTAACTTAATCACATCTGCAAAGTCTCTTTTGCCACATAAGGGAACATATTCACAGGTTTCATGGCTTATGACCTGGACATCTAGGGGGGCCATTGTTCAGCCTACCACAGATAAGACAGAAGAGAAATTGAATAGAGTGAGGCAATAATTACTAGCCAACCTCACTTAATCACTTATCACTTATATAGATAGAATCCATATAAAGAAGCCAAAAGTACAGAAAATGTCTATGTCATATATAACTTTCCACCTTAACAGAAAGCAATAAAGGACCCCTGGTTTTAAGCCCACAAGGTCTGAATTTTCTTTCCTCTTAGAATCATAGCATCTTAGATCTGGAAGAAACTTTGATAGTAAGTTGCTTCAATTTCTGTACTGTTAAAAAGAAACTGAGATATTGGCAGACTAATGCCCTCCCACAATAGAGACTAGCATGTTTTACATAACTCAATAGCACCTCTTTTGAATGTTTTAAGAAAGGACATGGGTTTGTTTCATGGAACAGAATGCTATTTGATCTTTTGGTAATTGCATGTTATCTAAAACTGAAATTGCCTAATTTCATTATTTCAATAAGCATTTCTTGAGCACCAACTGTGCAGTGGCAAGTGCTAGGGTACAACAAGATACAAAATTCCTGGTTCTTCTGAAGTTTGCACTTCAATGAGGTAGATAAACAAGTAAGCAAGGTTTTGTATTGCAAGCATACAGTATGAGCAATACCGCAATAAGGATTAGTTCATGATTTCATTCATTCAGCCACTACGACTGCCTTCCATGTGCCAGAAACTGAAAGAATACCAGGAAGCACAGAGAAGGGAGGACCTAATTCTGCACTGCATGCATTGACCATCAAAGTGCTGTGTATATATCAGACAAGTTGAGGCAAGGAGGAGCACTGTTTACTGAAGGTCTGAAAAGACTTGTATGAGAGGTGCTTTTTACATGTGTGCTTGTGATAAGGCATCCTACTGCTTCAGTTCTCTTGGAAACAACAACAAAAATCCTACTTCTCTTTCAGCATTGAATATTTGTGCCTTGTCATCTCCCTTACGAGTATCTTTTTCCCCTCTGGCTCTCTCTACACCTCTCCAGCCACCTCTGGATCTTCTGTTCGTTCCCCTCTCTGAAGTTCATAATTCTCAGGATTACAATCAGTAGTGTGCTGGTAAATGGTTGACAACTGGCTGGTGGGGTGGGTAGGAAGTTGGGGGAGACAGATTTCCAAAATGATTGTCAATTTGCACGCTTTAAATATTCCCAGCGTGGCCAATCTCAGGCAATAAATGAAACGTCACTAAACTCAGAATTGGAAGAGGACATAATCAGGGTAAGAACCAGTACACACAAGCTCCAGGCTAGAGAACTGGGAACACTCTGCAACCTTATTTGTGAAGCTGACAGACCTCAAAGTCCTCGAGTCTTTCCAACATACTCCAGTCCAGCCATTTTTAAGTATGTATTGTAACTGCCACATCTCTGCTCAAATTATTTCCAGAAAACTTATCCAACACTTTCAAGTCTTATTTCTGTCAGAGGCCTTCCCTGACCACCCCTATCCCTACTAAATTATCTCCCTTCTTTCTGACCTGCCCCAATACTCACCTGCGACACATATCCTCAATTCTCATGGGATTTCTTGATGGTTTAGTGTATATAAACTGTCTGCAATTTCTCTACAATTTCTCTAATACAGACTATCACAGGTCCCTTTGGCATCATCCATTGTACCTTTCATAGGCATGTGTATGAAGCGTGCTCAATAGCACCTGCATTAAGTTTCCTTTGAGATAATCTAAGTAGCTCTGAAAACCCGAGCTGCATAAAACCCATTCAACTGTTCTAAAATATGAGAAAGTCTAATGTTATACAACCTTACAATTTGCAGCAAGTGTTTTTCTAGCTTTGAGGTATAATTTACATACATTAAGCTTCACCCATTTTTAAGTGTACAATTTTACGAAATTTAGTAATCATATGCAGTTTTGTAATCACCACAATCAACATACAGAACAGTTCCCCCACTTTACAAAGTTTCCTAGTACCTTTCTGCAGCTGATCTCCTTCCCCAACCTCTGGCAACCACTGATCTACTTTTTGTTGCCACAGTTAGGCTTTTCTAGAATGTTACATAAATGAAATCACACAGTATGTTTGTGTTTCTATTTCTTCACTTAACATAATGTTTGAGATTTTTCCATGTTTTTGTGTGTATCCATGTCCTTTTTTTCATTGCTGAGTAGTATTCCATACTATGAATATACCACAATTCTTTTTTAAATCTATTTACCAGTTGAAGGACATTTGGGCTGTCTTCAGTTTGGAGCTATTATGAATCATGCTGCCATGAAGTCTTTGTGTACAGAGATTTTTTTTTACATCATTTGAGTTCTTTTATATACCAGACATGATTATATATGCAATAGAACTACCATCTCAATTAATGCTAACATCTACCCTAAGAGATGGATAGTTTTTGTTCATCTAAAAAAAAAAGTGAAGTTGCACAAGTTTATACAGCTAGGAAGTGGAGGAGTCCGGATTTGAACCCAGCTAATCCATATAGTTGTCATAGGGATTAGATGAGTTAATATAAATAATGTGCTTAGAATAGCAAATGTTCAATAAATGTCAGCTATTATAACTATGCTCTTTCCCCCACACGATCCTACCACCCACAGAGTATTCAATAGTGCTGGAAAGTAAGGATGTACAGCTACTGAAATAAATGAATAGGGCACCTCACTAATGTATGCCTGTCAGTTGCATCATTCCTTTTCTTGACTCTCTTTTCTTCCCCATCCTCCATTCCAGTACCAGGTTAAAAAAGAAATCCATGTTTTATCACCTCAGCAACTGATATCACACAGTAGTGACAATGGATACATCACTTGGTGCTAACATGCAAGCTAAGAAAAATATTTCACAGTGAGTTGAAAGAAAAACTATCAGTTGGCCAGGCGGCTTTTACACAGGAAGGAATTTTAGAAGGAAAAAACAAGACAATCTTCACTACAATTTTTATTCATCACTAACCTCTCTTTTCTCCTTTGAGATATTTTAGTTTTGTGGATTTTAAGCATACTGCACAAAGATGTTACATAAACCCTGTTGGGAAGGGTAAAATATGACTGTCATTTAAAATGTACATGAAGGTTATAACACTCTTTGGTATGGTGAAAGATTCAGTATAAGAAATGGCTCCCATGAGGAGCCCAATCAAGGCAAAGCAGTCACTACAATCCCAAAACGTGGGGTTTTTTTTTTTTTTTTTGCTCTCAAAGAATCACACAAAATAAGCTATGCTGAAAACACTGTAGGAAGGTATCCTTATTCTCGAGGATTATCAACTCTTACCCTTTTCATACTACCAGGTAACCATTTTTGGCAACTGTAAGAAGATTTTTCCCACCTGAATATGAGACCATTAACACAAAAATTCATTTTAATATTTTATTTTTTATTTCAATAGGTTTTTGGGGAACAGGTAGTGTTTGGTTACATGAATAACTTCTTTAGTGGTGATTTCTGAGATTTTGGTGCACCCATAGCCCAAGCAGTGTACACTGTACCCAATGTGTAGTCTTTTATCCCTTGCCACCCCCAGCCTTTCCCCCCGAGTCCCCAAATCCCAGTGTATCATTCTTATGCCTTTGCATCCTCATAACTTAGCTCCCACATACAACTGAGAACATGCAATGTTTGGTTTTCCATTCCTGAGTTACTTCATTTAGAATAATTGCCTCCAATTCCATCCAGGTTGCCACGAATGCCATTGTTTAGTTCCTTTATATGGCTGAGTATTCCACAGAATGAATGTGCATACACACACACACACACACACACACACACACACACACACATATATACATATATATACACATACATATATATACATATACACACATATATACACATACATATACACACATATATATACACATACATATATATATAATATACATATATACATATACACACATACATATATATATACACACACACCTCATTTTCTTTATCCACTCGTTGATTGATGGGCACTTGGGCTGGTTCCATACTTTTGCAATTGCAAACTGTGCTGCTATAAACATGCACGTGCAAGTATCTTTTTCATATGATTTTTTTTCCCCCTGGGTAGACAGCTAGTAGTGGAATTGCTGGATCAAATGGTAGATCTACTTTTAGTTCTTTAAGCAATCTCCCCACTATTTCTATAGTGGTTGTACTAGTTTACATTCCCACCAGCAGTGTAGAAGTGTTCCCTTTCACTGCATCCACACCAACATCTATTATTTTTTTATTTACAAAAATTCATTTTCTATGTTCAAAATAATTCAGATAAAAATTCAACTGTAGATCATTTCCTCTATTATTATTTTGGCTCTCAGCAATATTTCTTGGCAATCACGATAAATATTTTGCAATTGAAAAAGCCGACGAATACTATGCTTTCAAATGGACTCTCAGGATTCAATACTGAACTTAATCAGATAAGAAAAATCTCTTTTAGGCTCTTAGTCTTCTAATTAATTTGTTAATTGAAAAAGTAACCTAGACAGATTCAATTAACAGAAGTAATATACACAGACAGTAACAACCTCACAACAGAAACAAAGGGTATATAGTGAAAAGTAAATCCCCTAACATGGATTTCCTGGCCATGAATCCCTCCAGAATCATAAGCCAAATCTGCACACATTTGTATAGACACTTTTCAGGGAAGAGGGTTTACAACTTCTCACCAGATTCTTCAGGAACCCACGATCCAGAAATGGTAAGAATCAACAGTCCAGTTCATCTGGCTCAGTACAGCTCAGTGGGTTAAATCTAAAGGTAGAGGTGAGTGTGAATGAGTGTACGAGTGAGCATGTAAATGTGCGTGGGTGGGGGTGCAGGGGGTGTAGTGACAGGGTCATGGATTAAGTTCTTAAGTCAGTAGATGAGGCAAAAATGCCACGGTCTATTAAGTGGATCTTGGTCTTTGGAGGCTCAAAAGCAACAGCAACAACAACTACAACAAAAAACAACAACAACAAAAATAACGCTTCCGGTTGGTTTTCAGCTGTCACCCTTGCTTCCTGGAAGCAAGGTAGTCAAGACCCATGTTGAAAGAGGGGAGAGACAATGGGGTAAACCACTGGCCCTTCTCTCTCTTCTGCTGAGATCATTCACGTGCCTGAGTTTGTGAGAGTTAACTACACACGTCAGGATACTCACTGGAGTCAGGGAATGTTCATTCTGATGACACCAGAGTGCTCAGCAGTCTTGGCTTCTGTGACTTCTTAAAAATCAACCCATGGCTTCCGCTTTAAATCCCAAACACTATTTTCATAACATTAGATGACAGGAGCAACAAGGTGGGTAGGTGGGCAATATGAAGCAGTGGTAATACATAGAAGTCCATTTTAGAGCTTTTGGAAAATAAGCAATGAGAAAAGTATTATGAATATGAACCCTTCTCCAAGAGCTGTCTCTTTCACTTCTGATTTGTGGAAATATTCTTTACTATTTTTTATTTTTATTTTTTGATACAGGGTCTCTACCACCCAGGCTGGAGTGCAGTGGCACAATCACGGCTCACTACAGCCTTGACTTCCTGGGCTCAAGTGACCCTCCCACCCCAGCCTCCCCAGTAGCTGGGACTACAGGTACATGCCACCATGCCCGGCTAACTTTTGTGATTTTTTTTTTTTTCTGTAGAGATGGGGTTTTGCTACATTGCCCAGGCTGGTCTCAAATTCCAAGGTTTAGGCAATCCTCCCACCTTGGTCTCCCAAAGTGCTGGGATTACAGGTATGAGCCACCATGCCCAGCTGGAAATACACTTTAAAAATTGGTATAATTGTAGAAAGACACATAACCTTAAAATAATCTCCCCTCTCATCTCTCTTCAATACCACTAATATTTTGCATCTTGGATAGGCAGTAGGCAGAATCTTCAGGAACAGCATCCTCCTCAGTTCTGTTCTGATAAAGGGTCTTGAACATTTTTACATATTCCATAAATAATTTCACCAAAACACCCTCCGGGGCAATCTTTGAAAAATGAGCAGCAAAAGATACAGATAATTTCACACAATCTTAACACATTTCATTTCTGGATAAGAACAAATGTCCTATCCACATGCTAAGACTATTGGGAAAAAAAATTTACTGAGCTGCATTTCAGTCACTTGGGTCAGAGTAACTGTTTCTGTCTCCTATAAAAATGGTAGATGACAATGCCACACGCACAGTGGTTTCCAAGACAGACTCAGTGAAAACTATGCTTGAAGACAGCAGGGATTCAGCCCCAGAGAAAACCACAAAAGCTATCACACCACAAGCAAAAGTAAGCTAAGAGTAGTTATTCAGATACCAAAGTGGCAATTGTGTGACCTTTTTCCACGCTGGCTGCTTCCCAAGGCTCATTATGAGAAAGGTTGTTCTTTCTCCCTTCTGAAATGAATGCAGCTTTTGAACACACTTTCTAGTTCCATTTGGTCCCAGAGCCGAGAGATTATTTTAACCATGATCTCCTAATGGGAAATTCACTCACTTTCTTCCCACAGAAAGACTGCCTTGTGATAATTATAGCAGTTTTCAAAACTCCAGGATGTGTGCATTTTGAAAGGAAAGGTCTTTGGCAAAACAACAAAGAAATAATTTCTTTTTGGTCCATTCTGGTCCCTTTTCAAGTCTGCAGTGAAATGGTGAAAGGAATCAGAGAGAAAACACTCATGTTGCAGTTTCATAATTTGTATCATAAGTGATAATCAAATCAGTACTTTCGTGAAAGCAATTTATGATATCTTATTATATTCAGAATTGAAAACAAATAATAGCAGGCCATGGTTCATTTTTTGTGGAAAGCAGTGAGAGGTTGGTGAAGACAAGAGAAAAAGTTGTTACAGATTGAACCAACAGAGTAACATTGAAAAGGTCATCTGATGCTTGATTCTCCCACTTTGTAGTACAAAGGACCATGGGAAATCTGCAAGAGCCTTGAGGAATCTGAAAGAATCGATGCTGTCCCTTAACCTTCTGCCATCTCTCCAAGGACATGCAGAATAATGTAAATAAATCAGCGAAATAGATCTGCAGTGTCTTATTCAGCAAAAAAGTAGAGTCGCTGATTCTGAATCGCCTTGCCTAGCATTGCTGCCAATTCCCTCTTGTAGAAAGCACGTTAGGGGGGATGCTGCACTAGACCCAGTGCAGATCCCCCTTGGGCACCAAGTTGGGGAAGTGAAAGGAATCTTGGGAGGACACTGACATGACTTGCACATCAGGTGGTGGAGCCGAGGGGCTGGTGCCCAGGCACGTGGGGCACAGCAAAGGGAGTAGCTCTGACTTCAGCATATTGCAAACGTTCCAAAAATGCAGATTAGATTCCAGGGTTGGAGTTTTTAAAGGAAGGCTGCTTTAGAGGATTTGGATGATGTCAGAAATGATGTTCTGGAAATATACTCACTCATCGGTGAGCCCCACAGAGAAATGAAAGGGAGTGCAGGAAGTTAGAGTGGCTTATGGGCATCACCCTTCCCACATACTGTGTATGAAAGACAGAGAATGGCATGAATTAAAGAGTAAACAAGGATTTCAGGGGAGAAAGTCAGAAAGGTGTGCTTCCAACGTATAGTAAAGTACAGGTCCCCACTTATCCATGAGGTATACATTCCAAGACCCCCAGTGGATGCCTAAAACTGCAGATAGTAACAAACCCTATATACAGTGTTTTTCCCTGTATATACATACAATAAAGTTTCATTTATAAATTAGGCACAGTGAGAAATTAGCAACAATAACTAATAATAGATCAACTATAACAATATACTGTAATCAAAGTTATGTGAATGTAGTCTCTCTTTCTTATCTTATTGTTCTGTACTTACCTATTTTGGACCACTGTTGACCACAGGTAACTGACACCATGGAGAGTGAAACCGTGAATAAAGGGGGACTACTGTATGTGATAAATGTGGCAAAGATTGCATAGTG
This sequence comes from Homo sapiens, assembly GCF_000001405.40. NCBI lineage: Eukaryota > Metazoa > Chordata > Mammalia > Primates > Hominidae > Homo > Homo sapiens. The sequence goes on from NC_000023.11 coordinate 13,865,162, forward strand.
AAAAAGCTGGGAGGCATCCAACTTGGTCATGAACAGGCTCCACAACTTGGAAAAGTCACCCAACCCTCCATGTCACTAAATGCAAGTTCAACTCTGCTTCTTTGTTTCTAAAATACAGGTAGTAAACTCACTAGCTCACAAGGTGGTTGTAAAGATCACATGCACATGCGGGCACTTTGTAAACTGCAAAGCAGTTCATGACATTGTGATAAAAAACAGCAAAGAGGTCACGGGCCAAATTCACGGATTTATGTTTCCATTACAATAGGCAAAGAAAACCCCATTCTCAGCCAGGCACGGTGGTTCATGCCTGTAGTCTCAGCACTTTGGGAGCCTGAGGCCGGCAGATCACTGGACCACACGGTAAAAATCCATCTCTTCAAAAAAAAAAAAAAAAAAAAGAAAGAAAGAAAGAAAAGAAAAGAAAAAAAAAACAAAGAAAAATATTAGCTGGGCATGGTGGTGCACACCTATAGTCCCAGCTACTCAGGAGGCTGAGGCAGGAGGATCACTTGAGTCCAAGAGGTCAAGGCTGCAGTGAGCTGAGATTGTACCACTGCTCTCCAGCCTGGGTGACAGAGCAAGACCCTGTCTCAAAAAGAAAAAGTAAAAATAAAAAATGAAAGAAAAAAACCCCATTCTCTTCTGCACTTTGCTTCTGACTGCTTGGATAAAAACACAGACTACTATTCAGCCATAAAAAAAACAATAAATCCTGTCATTTTTGACAACACGGATACACCTGGAGGACATCATATTAAGTGAAATAAATAAGCCAGGCCCAGAAAGACAAATACCTCATGATCCTGCTTGTATGTGGAATTTTTAAAAGTTGAGCTCATAAAAGTAGAGAATTGGATAGAAGTTACTAGGGGCTATGGAGGGTTATGGTGAGGGGAGTTAGAAGTAGGAAGAGGTCAAGCCGGGCGCAGTGGCTCACGCCTGTAATCCCAGCACTTTGAGAGGCTGAGGCTGGCGGATCACCTGAGGTCGGGAGTTTGAGACCAGCCTGACCAACATGGAGAAACCCCGTCTCTACTAAAAATACAAAATTAGCCGGGCGTGGTGGCACATGCCTGTAATCCCAGCTACTAGGGAGGCTGAGGCAGGAGAATCACTTGAACCTGGGAGGCGGAGGTTGCGGTGAGCTGAGATCGCGCCATTGCACTCCAGTCTGGGCAACAAGAGTGAAACTCCGTCTCAAAAAAGTAGGAAGAGGTCACTCAATGGGTACAACATCACCAGTTAGGAGGAATAAGTTCTGGTGCTCTAATGCACACTGGAATGACTATAGTTAACAACACATATTTCAAAAAAGCTAGAAGACAGGAATTTGAATATTTTCACCACAAAGAAGTGATAAATGTTTGAAGTGATGGATATACCAATTACCCTGATTTGATCATTACACAATGCATTAATGTACAGAAATATCACATTGTACCCCATAAATATGTACAATTATTACATGTCAATTAAATATTTAAAAATTTAAAATATATATCTATTTTTAAAAAAACAATGAGCTTCAGCCAGGGAAGAGTAGACGAAAAAAATCTAATGAAGAGAGAACTGAGGTCCCAAATTGATTAGAAGATATTCTAAATGAATTTTAGCATTATAGTGAAGACAAATTATACCCAGATACTTGGAGAACTTGAAGATAAAATAACTAAATCTTCCCCTGTAATACGAATGGAGTCAGAGAGATGCATTTGCAGTTTTCAAAAGGGAAAAGGAAAAAACATGCTTCAAAAACCACAGATTGGTGAATCTGATATACATCCTAGTCAAGAGTCTAGAAGAGACAATTGAAGAATATTCTGCAAGCACTTAGAACATTCAGTGACTATTACATGCAAGATCAGCCTCTCTTGCTTTCACTTGGTACGGTTAGATTCTTAGGCTGAGGGAAATCTCTAGACACAAACCATGGGAATCATGAAGAGGCATTTATTTTTGTTTTGAGACAGGGTCTCACTCTGTCACCCAGGCTGGAGTGCAGTGGAGCAATCACAGCTCACTGTAGCCTCAATCTCCTGGGCTCAAGAAATCCTCCCACCTCAGCCTCCCAAGCAGCTGGGGCTACAAGTGTGTGCCACTACGCCTGGCTAATTTTTGTATCTTCTGTAGAGATGGGGTTTTGCCACGTTGCCCCAGCTGGTCTCAAACTCCTGGGCTCAAGCGATCCACCCACCTCAGCCTCCCAAAGTGCTGGGACTACAAGCGTGAGCCGCTGTGCCTGGCAGGCAAGGCATTTGTAAGGGCTTTCCAGCTATTCTTGTTCACAAGGGAATGTAGAGGGGAAGACCTTTAGTGAGGCTGATTCACAACAGATCTCAGGGGTAATAAAGTATGAAACTGCCGAGCAGTCTCCAGTGACAGGCATGGTGTGGGGGTGGCACTTTCCCTATTTTGCCCTGCTTATCAATGGCTCACATGAAGTTATACACATCTTCGTGACCAAGTCTGCAGGTAACATGAAGCTAGGAAGTGAGGCCAACCCATTCAACAACAAAATTACCAGATGCTGAAAGGAAGACAAACCAGAAAGATGAGGAGGACCTGAAAAGGTCATGGGAACAAACGGTTGTATCCTACACTTGGGTCTCAGCAACCAAATGCATGATTTCAAGATGGGGGTGAGGGAAGGTGGTGGTGGAACAGGCTCAGTGGCAGCACAGAAGAGACTGAAAAGGCTTACTTGATACAATCATCAACTTGAGCCCAAATGATGTGTTCACCCAAAAGGCCAATTAGACCAAAAACATGGATCCCAGATGATATCTGTTGCTCAGTGTTCTGTTCTGGACATGGACTTCTAGAATAACCACAAGTTACTGGAAGGGCCAGTGAGAAGACCAGAAACTATGCACATGAGTATCTAGCACGGTGCCTCTTTCTGAACTCTTAGATTCTGTGAAATGTCTTCATTTCACATTCAGGTGAAACACCAGAATATGGAGAAAGTTTCAAGCTGGGGAAAGAATTTTCCAGAAAGTCAAAAGTTGCTCATAGACATTTAAATTGTGTGTGTGTGTGTGTGTGTGTACGTGTGCATACTGCTGGAAAAGAGTTATGTAAATGACGGGAGGAAATGCTTTGTATTAATAACTTTTAGATAACAAGAAGTGAAAATTGCTAGATTTCAAAAATAAAAGGCCAACACCTCAGCAAAAAGTAAGATGACAGAGTCTGTTTGGTTTCTGGATTTTGAAGGACATCTTCACAACTGTATATAACTGTAGGACTTTAAAATCTGATCCAAGTCCTGGGTTTTTCTTGCATTTCCTTATATTCCCATAACTCTGCTAATAGAACATGAATTAGATATGTAAATCAGCTCTCACTAAAAGCGAAATGCAAGATCTTAGTCATCTTAGATAAAATTGTCTGTTGTTGGTTATTAACCAGCCTACATATAAAAGAATAACTTTTAAAATGGGATGGTTGCATAAGAGTTTTTCTTTACCCCTTGGGTCAAATGAGGGGAAATTCCATGGCACAGAATAAAATGTATGCTGTTTCCACAGAAAATACTCTGTTTCCACAAAGTTTGGCAATAGCATTCTTGGACAACTAATATCTTTCCTTTCTCACACTTATTCAATAAAGCAATTCACTGCACAACTCCCTGAAGTGGTGGTTATGGATTTGGACATAACATAACCCACATTTTTTCCCTCTCTGGGACTCTAAGGACATTTCTTGCCTTAACACTAAAGACATTCCAAAGTGGCTAATCATGTATATAAGTACACAATGCTGTTTGGGATGCTTGGAGATGGTGTCAACTCTTTATCCTAAGAGTCTATCTTCTGGAGCAATGGATGCATAGAGCATGGGAGGCTGGAAGGGCAGTCTACCCTAGTATTCAACCAAACCCATCAGAATAATAGTCCAAAAGGTATTAGGTGTTCATCGACTGATGAATGAATAAATAAATGTGGTCCGTATTCATACAACAGAATGTTATTGGGCCACAAATAGGAATGAAGTACTGACACATGCTACCACATGGATAAACCTCAGAAACATCATGCTAAGTGAAAGAAGCCAGACACAAAATATCACATATGATTCAATTTAAAATAAATGTCCAGAATAGGAAAACCTATAGAGACAGAAAGGAAAAAATGGTTGCTTGGCAGCAGCTGGTGGGGTGGGATATTGAGTGACAGCAAATGGATATAGGTTGTTTTTTTTTTTTTTAAAGGGGACAAAAACGTTCCAAAATTAGATTGTGATGATGGTGGTGCAACCCTGTAAATATTCTAAAACACAGTGAATTATACACTTTAAATGGGTGAACCGTATGGTATGTAAATTATACCTCAAAATAGCTATAAAAACATGAGGGAGTTTTGACAAAACCATAGGGGCATCAACTTGTAATCTATGATGGTCCAGTTTGGTTCCGATTGTCGAACCAATGGTCTCCCCTTGGACTTCTTTACTCTCCTTCCAGAATGCCCTTGTTCAGTGACATTTCAATTATCTTCCATTCATTTTTTAAATTTAACCTTTTGTTGGTTTTGAGATAAATTCAGACTTTCAGCAGTGTTGCAAAAATATTACAAAGAGTTCCAATACATCCTTCACTGAGCTTCTCCTTATGTTAACATCTTACATAACTACAGAACATTTATCAAAACTAAGAAATTAGCCTTGGCACAATGCTGTTAACTAAAGCACAGAACTTATTTGGATTTCACCAGTTTTCCCACTAATGTCCCTTTTCCATTCCAGGATACAATTCAGAATCTTGTGCGGCATTTAGTTGTCCTGTCTCCTTGGTCTCCTTCAATCTGTGCAAATTCCCCAGTCTTTACTTGTTTTTCATGACCTTGACTCTTTTGAAGAGTATTGGTCACAAATTTTGTAGAATATCCCTCAATTTGGGTTTGTCTGCTGTTTCCTCATGATTCAGCTGGGGTTATGCATCACTTGGAAGGAAACCAGAGTAGTAATACTGTATCCTTTGCAATGCATTGCATGGGGGGCAAATGGTATTGATGCAGGTTACTCATGACATTAACCTTGATCACTTGGCTAAGGTGGCATCTGCCTCGAGATGCCACAAGTCGAATTTAAGACTGATTTTCATGCACTCAACAAATAGTTATTTAATGTTTACCATGTTCCAGATATAATGTCAGTCTCTAAGGCAATGATGTTCATTCCTGTCTGAAAATAAAGATCATCTGTGAAGCCTTTTAAACATACACATTCCAGGGCTCATCCACTTAAGATTCTGAACCAGTAGGTCTGAGGGAGGAATTCCCCAGGAGGTTCTGATAGTGGCCGGGATAGACAGGCAGAGAGAAATAGGGCAGTGGCCCTACTTTGAAGGAGCTCTCAGTCTAGAAAGAAGTACAAATAGAGAAATCATAAAGCAATAACAACCATTCCAACAAGGTATGGACTGAGGGTTATATGAACACAGAAAACAGAGCCCCTAACACTGCTTCAGGGAGAATCTGAGTCCAGGGAGGTCCTCAGCTATTAAACAGCTCTGGTCTCTGTATTTGCTTTTTAAAAAGTATACAATGAACATGTGTGTGAAGAAAAGTATAAAGTAATTCAAAGAGTATGTATGCAATATGTCAGAAAAGCCACATTATCTAGAACAGCCCTTTGCAAAGACAGAAATCTTTTACAACTGTGAGGCTAAGTCTGGCACCTTCCAGATCTATTTAAAGAAGTTAGACCAGGCTGGGTAACATAGCAAGACCCTGTCTCTACAAAAAAAAATAAAAACTAGGTAGGTGCAGTGGTGCACACCTGCAGTCTCAGCTACTTGGGAGGTTGAAGTAGATCACTTGGGCCCAGGAGGTTGAAGCTGCAGTGAGCCATGATCACACCACTGCACTCCAGCCTCGGTGACAGAGCGAGACCCTATCTCTAAAACAAAAACAAAAACAAAACAAAACAAAACAAAACAAAACAAAACAAAAAAAAAAGAAGTTAGAGCTGTTTCATTCTCTGCCAGTTTCAGGAGATCTGGGGGAGAAGGCAGATACAGAGACTCTATTAGGGACTTCAGGCTGAAGATGAGTAGGTGCCACACAGAAATCCCAGTGGCTAACTGACTTGTATTCACTGGTTAATTCCATCTTCTTAACCCTAAATCTTTAGTAAAGTCTTATTTGAGCAGCTCAGTCTGGGCTCATCTTACATTAGAATCACCTGAGGAGCTTTCAAAACATGTCAATGCCCAGGTTACTCTCTGAGGTCCTGATTTAATTGGCTTGGGAAAGGCCCTGGGCATCTGACACATTTTTAAACCTTCCCCCGTGTGGCTCATGTGAGCCAGGGATGAGAATCGAGTTAGATTAGCGCCTTTCTCCTCAAAGTGTGGCCCTTAGACCAGCAGTGTCAGTTTCACCTGGAAGCCTACTACAATGGGGACGCTCAGGTCTTGTTGCAGATGTACTGAAGCAGATTGCACCTTTCAGTGAGATCCAGGTGTTTTGTATGCATGTTAAAGTTTGAGAAGTACTGAGGTAGAGCTGCTCTATAACATATAGTAGCCACTAGCTACTTGTACTTTGTTAAGTCAGTTCCTCAGCTGCACAAGCCCTATTTCATGTGCTCAATAGCCACATGTGCTAGTGGCTGCCAAATCGGACAACACAAATATAGAGCATTTCTGTCATGGCGGAAAGAGCTGCTGGGAAGTGCTGGGCTAGAGAATTAAATGAGCAGTAGCCCTTGATTCCAAGGAAGGGTGACAGGGAACAGAGGTGCAGACTGCTGGGTCCAGCTGTTCTTCCAGGTGTGGTGGTCTTCCTTCAGCCTTGGAGAACTGAGATTGAGTTTATGAAGAGCCAACAGCTTTCCTTGTGGATATAATTAGTCAAGATAGAGAAAATTGAGGTGGTGCAGCCTTTAGGCAAGACCCTGAGAAGTTTTATTTCTGATCTGTTGCATTTTGTATGCCTGAGAAACGTGCTAGCAGAATAGGAGTGCTGGGGAGAAGGCTGCAATATGTGACATCACTTTTTTTTTTTTTTTTTTTTTTTTTTTAGACAGGGTCTCACTCTGTCACTCAGGCTGGAATGCAGTGGCGTGATTTTAGCTCACTGCAGCTTCAACCTACCAGGCTCATGATCCTCCCACCTTCAGCCTTCCACGTAGCTAGGACTACAGGCATGTGCCACCACACCGGGCTATTTTTTTATTTTTTGTAGATACGGGGTTTCACTATGTTGCCCAGGCTGGTCTCAAACTCCTGGGCTCAAGCAATCCTCCTGCCTTGGCCTCCCAAAGTGCTGGGATTACAGGCGTGAGCCACCATGCCAAGCCTACATATCACTTTTGAGAGTGACAAGAGGCACTGCCAATAATGATTCCAAGACAACAAGCATACACTGGGACTTTCCAGGCCAACCAGGACATATGGTCACCTAGGCTGAGGGTGAAAGAGAACTGCAGGTATGAGAGTTAACACAAAGACAGTAGCACACAGAGCGGACGAGATGACCCAGCTGGATATAGAGTAAGAAAAAAAAAAAAGACAATTTAGAGGGCGAACAGAGCAGGAGCATCTCCAGAGAGGAGGGACATAAATGGTCAGAGACAGGACAAGGAGTCAGAAGTGAAAAGGATCCTAGAATTCTTTAGAGGGAGGCAAGGAATGAGAGGGAGTAGCAACTGAACATGATCTTGGAGGAGGTGTGGGGCAGGACCAGGACTACGTGAGGCCAGAGAGTACTTACTCGGCTTACAGGACCCTGAGAGGGAGTGCCCCCTTCCATTTCGCACCCTGGTCATCTCTTTTGTTTTATGCTAGTCTCGACCCTAGTGAAGAGGTGGGAATCTTCTGAAACATGAATGAGAGAGTGATGATAATAGATAAATGTGGAAGTGGGATATCAAGAAACAGAGGGGAGTCCCTGCCTGGTGTGCTGTTTGTTCTGCAGAAATGGGGTCGGGAAATTTGATGAAGAAAAGCTTTGGCCTGATTCCCATGGAGAATAGCGTAAGGAATTTTTTTTTTTTTGCAGCCCTGAGATCTTGGCAACCAGCACATTATCTTACTGCTTTTCACTTCAAGAACCTGAGGTTAGAAGTGAAGTGCTTTGCCCCCACTACACTGGAGGTTGGTAGGAGGTGGGTAAGGTGGCAGTGGGACTAAAGTATAGATCTTCAGAGAGCGACAGAGAGTGGCCTTGAGTCCCAGTGTCCGGGCTCAAACATGGCTCCATCACTTCCCAGTTGGGTAACTTAAGGAAAGGGGCTTATCTCCATGTCTCTGTTTCCCGATTCTTAAACGAGGGATTATGGGGTTCCTTTGAGGGTGATCAAAATGTTTTGGAAATAGAGCTGGTGGTTGCCCAATGTGGTGAATAGACTAAATGTCACTAAATTGTTGACCTTAAAATGGTTCATTTTATGCTATGCAAATTTAATCTCAATTTTAAAAGAGGGATGACTACATCAACTTTGTAGGGTTATTTTGGGATTAAATGGGTCAATCCACATTAAGCAATTAGAACCAAGCCTGGCATATGGTAAGCCCTCCAGTGACACTGATTATGAATATATCCTGGGCCAGCTGCTTCATTACATGTAAGTGCCATGAAAATGTGCTCAAGGGATCCAGACAACTCAAATGTCTCCATTTTTGCCTAATGAATGATTAAACACCAAACATTTATATTTAAAAATGTATTTCCTTTTAGAATGTGTCTGGAGTATCATGTCCTTCACATTGAAACAGCAAGTTCCTGTTTCATTAAGCTGTACTTTGTCTTTTAAAAATTAAATACAGCATTAAAAAAAGACGACTGCTTTAAATGGCAAAAAAACAGTCATCTTTTCTTACCCTGAGCAATAACACGAGAATACTTAATAGTACATATTGTGCAAAAAGATATTTCAAATTGAGCTGCCAGCAATTTACAACGGATATATTAACACTTTTTATTCAAAAAGTGTGAGATTAAGAAAGACATTAGGAGGCAGTCAAAATCTTTAACAGTTTGTAAATAGATACAAATAAAGATTAAGGCTCCTTTCTTGAAATAAAATGAAACATTTTCATTTTTTAAAAAGCCTACACTTTTCTAGGGCTTAAGGAGAAAAATGTAACAACAAAAACTATATTGGGGAAAATTAACACAGCAAATGGCATATTCCTTGACAATTAGATTCAATAAATATTCACTGAGCACTGACTATACTCAACACATTCTGGAAGGTGCTAGGGATACAAGAACTGGTGAGCAACTTTTAAAGTGGGAGGCCCAGGGTAGGCGCAGTGGCCCACGCCTATAATCTCAGCACTTTGGGAGGCTGAGATGGGTGGATCACTTGAGGTCAAGAGTTCAAGACCAGCCTGGCCAACATGGTGAAACCCCATCTCTACTAAAAATACAAAAAAAAAAAAAAAAATTAGCTGGGCATGGTGGCACATCCCTGTAATCCCAGGTACTTGGGAAGCCAGGGCAGGAGAATTGCTTGAACCTGGGAGGCAGAGGTTGCAGTGAGCTGAGATCGTGCCACTGCACTCCAGCCTGGGTGACAGAGTAAGACTCCATCTCCAAAAACAAACAAACAAAAGACAAAAACAAAAACAAAAAAACACAGACTCTGGAGTCAAACATACTGATTTTGCCACATAAGGGATGTGTGGCTTTGAGCCATGCACACTAAATCTCCATCTCACATGGTCGTTGTGAAGACTAAACGAGGTCAAACTCAAGAAGGTTGCATTAATGCTATTATTGTTATTTTGAACCTCTTTATTTATACTCCATACACATACCAATCCCCCCCCCACCCCCGCTTCAAACTCTCCCTCTTTGGCCTGTTTGAATCTTCTGACATTTTAATATTTCAAACAGGATAGGCCCTATGATGCCTGTATTTCAGTGGAAACCTGACCTTGATGAGCAATAAAATCAAAACCTATTTCTGTAATTTCCAGCTGTTACTAGAATAGCCCAACAATAGAAAGGCAAAAATAGTGACAAGTGCCTTTGAGCACAGAGAACGAGTATCCATCTCCATCCTTGAGATGGTGACAGTTGCATGCAGTTAGTGGGAAAAACATCCTCAAAGCCAAAAGAAGTAGGGTAACCCCAGATGAATATATGAGGAGGCAAAAGTGAAGTTTCTCCAGGCAGAGCTGAATGAGGGGTGCTCATAGGGACTAGTAAGGATGCATGAATTATGGGAAGCTGCAGGGGACTATCAGGAAAAGGAATCAAGGTGGAGGCGAGTCCTAACATAGGTTTGAAAGAGAACAGACATCATATGGCAGAGGAGGACTGGCATGAGCAAAAGGCCGCACGGGTAGCTCCTCAAGAAGTTAAACATCCAATTACTGTCTGACCCAACAATTCCACTTCTAGCTACATACCCAAACGAATTGAAAACAGGTGCTCAAACACTTGTACACACATGGTCACAGGAGCACTCTTCACAATAGCCACAAGGTAAAAACAGCCCAAATGCCCATCAACTGAGGAATGGATACATGAAATGTGATCTATCTGTACAATGGAATAGCAGTCAACGATACAAAGGAATGAACTCCTGGCACATGCTACGACATGGATGAATGTTGACAACATTATGCTCAGTGAAAGAAGCCAGACACGGTAGGCCACATGTTGTGTGATTCTATTTATATGAAATGTCCAGGATAAGCAAATCCATAGAGACAGAAAGCAGATTAGTGGTTGCCAGAGGTGGGGGAAGGAGATGGGGAGTGACTGCTTAATGGTATAGGGTTTTCTTTGGATGACAAAAATGTCCTAGAACTAGATAGTGATGTTTGTACAACATTGTGAATGTACTAAATGCTACTGAATTGTACACTTTAAAATGGTTACAATGATCAGTTTTATGTTGGACATATTTTACCACAATAAATTAAATTAAAAGAATTCCACAAGAACAACGATGAAAAAGACATGCTGAGTTACAACGATGTGTTATGTGGAAAGAAGAGAACCAATGGTAATTTCAATTGTCACAGAGATGAGATTAACTTGATATAAGCACCTAAGGCAATCTTTCTTTCATCAAAGATCAAGGAGGACACCATAACCAACAAACAATGGCCATCCTCAAGGCTCTGCACAGTTTAAGATTACAGATTAGGTCCTACACTACTTCCAGATCACCAATAAGTGTATTAATATGTCCATAAAGGATCACTGATAAATTGTTGACTGGTTATCAAGGAAGACACATAAGTGAACGTACAACATGTCTGCATCATTATCTTCAAAATGGAAGTCTCATTTGTTAAAATTTTTGACATACAAATGTTCTCTGATGAATACCCATAGGCCCTATGTTCCTGGCATGCCCAGGAGTGGTACCAAAAGCCCTGCTGCAGTAGATAATGTCACAGGGAACTTTAAGCTGTTTATGAGAAACATTAGGAAATGAGAGGCCACTGTGCAGGGCAGATGGTGGGATGGATCCAGCCAGATGGTCAATGGTGGTCTGGAACAATCTTCCATTTGTGAAGATGGCTGACTGCTGACTCTGAAGGCAGAAGGAACTTTAAGCCTGTGCAAGCTCAAGTCACAGCACATCTGCCTATAATCACTGGGGACAGCAGACAAGAGAATGGCTGTTCTCGGTGGAACCCAGCCTCCATTATAAAGTGCTGTATGTCCGACTTGAGTGGGCTTGTTGTCTGGCAACGTCTGAGGTGACATCATGCACATACCATGATGCTGTGTCACCTCCTGGAATAACAGACAACTCACTGGAGTAATTTGGGAACACCATCTCAACTCCCGAATTTGGGGGCAGGGCTGTAGTTCATGCAAGTGCACAGACAAGACCATTTTTTGGATCACACAATTTCCAGCTGTGTATTTCAGTATCATTGCAAGGCCTGGGTCACAGGGCAGGAGAGGACACTTCCCTGACCTTACACTCCCACAAAACAGCCCCTCACCACCCCAAGGCAGCTCAAGATCCACTGGGAAACGCGTAACAGCTAGAACTGCAGATGATTAGAGCAGCTCTCAGTCCCACTAAGTAAGGCTCTCTTTCTAGAAGTGGGATGCATCATCTAGCAGTTGAAGAGTGGATTGTGATATGGGACGAAACAAACCTAACAAGATCCCAGTGTTCTCTAAAATGTAAATTATGTTCCACCAAAAGGTGTGGGAGCATGTAAACTTGACAAGGATAGTGAAGTAGAGTTTCCTTAGGACATCTGATAAAGCATGAGCTATGTCAACAGAGCAGAGTTTGGGAGTGAGTGGACTAGAATTGGTAAAGTTCACAGAGAACCAAGTCATTTAAGTGAAGTATTAAGAAAAAGAAGTTGTTCCAGAAACTATACATCTGGCCACCTGGGTCCTTTGCATCACTTGATTGTATCTAATATTTTAAAAAAATGAACCAGGCACAGTGGCATACATCTGTAATCCCAGCACTTTGGAGGCCAAGGCAGGCAGATCGCTTGAGCCCAGGAGTTCAAGACCAGCCTGAGCAACATGGCAAAATCCCATCTTTACAAAAAAAACCCCTGAAAATTAGCCAGGCATGGTGGTACATTTCTGTAGTCAAAGCTACTTGGGAGGCTGAGGTGGGAGGATCACCTGAGCCTAGGGAGGTTGAGGCTGCAGTGAGCTGTGATCATGCCACTACACCCCAGCCTGGGCATTAGAGCCAGACTCTGCCAAAAAAAAAAAAAAAAAAAAAAAAAAATTCACCATATTTGCTTCGCCTTTTTTTTCCCCTAGTTTAAGTCCTTCTGACATTTCACAACTAAATATCTCAGTAAGTATCTTGAAAAAATAAGCATTTTCTTACATAAGCACAACACTATTATCACTCATACAAGAGTTAATGTTTCTTAATATCATCCAAGATCTGCCTATATTCAAATTTCAACAATTATCCCCCCAAATAGTTAATGACAGTTGGTTTGATTGAATCAGGATTTGACGAGGTCAGAAGTAACTCTAGCAAGGTAGAGAACAACAAATGGAAAATTATACCTTAATAAAGCTGTTAAAAAAAAAAATCAAAGGAATCTCCCAAACTCTTACGAATATTCTATTCAGAGTTTAAAGTATGGGGGAAAATAGTAACTGATTAGAGACAAGAAGGTTTTTTTTTTTTTTCCTCTCCCCTACCCTTTCCACTTGCATATGCTCTAATTATTCCTATCAGCATGGGTCAGGGAGACCACCCAATGGGAAGGTGGGGGAAGGGGTACCAAAGAACAGAGCAGAGGGGTCTGGGAGTGAGAAGCAAGCATTCAAATAATTTTTAAAAGAATCTATGTAGACACTTTGTGAACATAAAATAGTGTTAGGCCACCAGCATCTACTGAAGGGCAGCTCTGTGCCAAATAATTTCACATGTATCTCCTGTAATGCTCAAGGAGAGCCTTCAATAATTTTTTACTAATGTCATTATGCAGATAAGGAAACTGAGGCTGTAAGGAAGTTTAGTGGCCTGCTGTGGTAGGCAGCATCATACCCCCCACCCCAAGATGTCCACATCCTAATCCTTGGAACCTGTGAATTACATGACATGGCAAACGGGGGATTAAGGTTGCAGATAGAATTAAGGTTGCTAATCAGATGACCAAAGATTATCCTGAATCATCCAGGTAGACCCAACGTTATCACAGGGTACTTAAGTGTACAAGAGAGAGGCAGAAGAGGTCCAAGTGATGCGATGTGAGAAAAACTTAACCCACAGTTCCTGGCTTTGAAGATGTAGGAAAATGGCCACAAGCCAAAAAATGCATGTAGCCTCTAGAAGGTGGAAAGGGCAAGGAAATGGATTCTCCCCTAGGGCTTCTAGAAAGAAACACAGTTCATCTACACCTGGATTTTAGCCCAGTGAGACCTGCGTCAGACTTCTGACCTCCAGGACTATAACAAATTTGCATTGTTTTAAGCCACTAAATTTGTGGTAGTGTCTTAGAGCGGCCACAGGAAACAGATACAGCAGGGATATAAGAACAGCCCCACAGTAGAACATCCTTGGCTTTGACAACAGTACTGTATTTGGAATGTTTATTTCCCTCCCTCCCCCAACAAGTAGATATACCTTTTATGATGTATCTAAACTAAAAATCTGTCTGCTTTCCGTAAGCAGGTCATAACTTACGGTGAAGATCCACATAAGAACAGATTGGCTGGCAGCATGAGCCACCCAGGGGTTAAAAACTCACTGAAGGGAAGCTGTAGTATAGACAGTCTACCTGTGGACAACAAAGATTCAAATACAATGCTGCTGGTTGTTTTCAGTGGGAACTTTCTATCAGGACAGCCAGAGGCTTCTTCCAATTTAGACTGTTAAATTCGACTCAGGGAGGATGTAATTACATCAATTCTGAAAATTCCAGTAAGGAGAAGCCAGCCCAGAAACCTTGTAAATATTATACCATACAGCAGCATCCAACAAAAGAACCTAAATAAAACATGAATAGCTTCAAACACAAAAGGCGTGGTTCAAACACTTGATTCCAAAAGCTACCCAAATACTCAGCATTTACATTAAAAAGATTACAATGAAAGGAGTATCACTCTGCTCCTCAGCCATGTTTAGTAGTGCTTTTTACTCTGAGCAATCATCTCTAGCAGCAAAAAACAGGGATTCCCCAAATTCTGAGGTGCATCAGCTGGAGGGCTTGTTAAAACACATTGCTGGGCCCACTTCAGAGTTCAGTATGTCTCCTGGGGTGGGACCTGAGGATTTGCATTTCTAGCAAGTTCCCAGGTGATGCTGATGTTGCTCGTCCAGGAAGCACACTTTGAGAACCGCTAGTATAAACCCATTAGTACTACCTGAAAATTAGCTGCACTTGGAGGAATCAGAGCCTGCCTTTTGTTTATGAAGACCAGAGCATGGCCATTTGACTCATCAGTGGCAATTTTCAGCTTCTGTGAGGGATTCTTTGCTCTTGCTTCGCAAAGAACACAACAATCCTTTTGCTAACACACGGATTCTTCTAGGAATGTGCGAGCATGTGCATGGTTATGTCATAGTCTGAAATGGCAGGCCACGTTAGCGTAAAGGTCTCTCTACTCTCCTATACAAGCAGAAAATGATCTCTTTCACAACACAAGGCCAGTGATGGGGTTGTTGTAGAGGAATCAGCTATGCTCAAAGCAGGGGACAGAGAGCTATGTCCAATCTTACATTCTTGAAAGCAGATAGTAGTGGTCGTCTCTCTCCTGCTCCCATTAAATCTCCTGAAGCCAGAGTGACCATTTAAAAAGGCAAATCAGGCCGGGCGCGGTGGCTCACGCCTGTAATC
This sequence comes from Homo sapiens, assembly GCF_000001405.40. Classification (NCBI taxonomy): domain Eukaryota; kingdom Metazoa; phylum Chordata; class Mammalia; order Primates; family Hominidae; genus Homo; species Homo sapiens. The sequence continues at coordinate 13,880,424 of NC_000023.11, forward strand.
CCAGCACTTTGGGAGGCCGAGGCGGGCGGGTCACCAGGTCAGGAGATTGAGACCATCCCTGGCTAACATGGTGAAACCCCGTCTCTACTAAAAATACAAAAAATTAGCCGGGCGTGGTGGTGGGCACCTGTAGTTCCAGCTACTCGGGAGGCTGAGGCGGGAGAATGGTGTGAACCCGGGAGGCAGAGCTTGCAGTGAGCCAAGATTGTGCCACTGCACTCCAGCCTGGGAGACAGAGCAAGGCTCCATCTCAAAAAAAAAAAAAAAAGGCAAATCAGGTTCTATTACTTCCCTGCCTTAAACCTTTCGAGGCTCTTAGAATAAAATTTCAAACTCTTTATCAAGCTCTGCAAGGCCTTTGAGGTTCCAGCCCCTGCCTGCTTATTGACCTCATCTCCAATCTTTACCCCCTTCTTACACTCCAAACACAGGAGCCAGCTTTCAGGTGTTCAAATACGTTACACCGGTTTCTCCATGGGGCCTTTGCAACCTGCCGTTCCCTGGGCTTGATGCTCTGCCCCAAATTTGCACCAAGTCATGCATGTCTTGGCTCAAACATCACCTCCAGCTTCTCATGGTCATGTTAACCTGTTCTAGAGACTCTCTGAACACTCTGCTCACACTCTGGAAATACCTTGTTCATTTGCCTGTTCTCCTGTCTTGTTTATTGCCTATTTCCCATCCCTAAAATGTAAGATGTGAGAACAGGAATCTTGTCTACCTTGCCCACCACTATAGGCCCAGCAACTGAAACAGGCAACTGAAACACTAAGTGGAGCATAGAGAGTGTGAAAGTGAAATACAGAACTGGGCACGTGGCTCACGCCTGTAATCCCAACATTTTGGAAGGCCAAGGTGGGAGGACTGCTTTAGCCCAGGAGCTCGAGACCAGCCTGGGCAACACAGCGAGACCCCATCTCTACAAAATATTTTTAAAAAATAGCGTGGCATGGTGGCGCATGTCTCTAGTCCCAGCTACTTGGGAGGCTGAGGTGGGAGAATCGCTTGGGCCCAGGAAACTGAGGCTGCAGTGAGCCATGATTGCATCACTGCACCCCGGCCTGGGTGACAGAGCAAGACCCTGTCACCAAAAAAAAAAAGAATGAGATATAAGAGCACAATTTTCAGTGACGATGATGATGATTTAATAGCTAATGCTGTAATAGAATAGCTCACTGCTAAGTACCAATCTGAGGCCTTTGTTTTAGTTTATTTAATCCTCATGACCCTAGGAGATAGTTACTATTACTGTCCTGAGTCTTCAGGTGAGGAAAAGTACACATGAAGAGGAATCTGCCAAAGATCACAAAGCGAGCAAGTATTAGGTTGGCGCAAAAGCAATTGCGGCTTTAGCCATCAAAAGCAATGGCCAAAACTGCAAATGCTTTTGCACCAACCTAAATAGCAGAGCTTGGCTGTGAATCCAGGCATTGAAGCTACAGAGCTTATTCTCTTAAAAGCTACAATACAATCATCTGCCTCTCAATGTCATCCTGATCTGGTTTTCCAGAAGCACAATCTGAAGGCAGAATGTTCTTCCAATTCACATAGAAACATTTTACAAATTGCTAGTTCCCCACTGCGCTCTTCAGACAAAAACACAGATTTTATGTGGAAAGTGGTTTAGTTTCTAATATCAACTATTTGAAGGAGTCTTTCATATTTTTTTTTTCAGAGAGCTCCTTTTCTCAATGTTTAAGTCCCCTTTCTAAATTGGAGCAGGAGTCTTGATTGGTTATCAATCTCTCAGTGCCTGGGTTTAGGAATGAAGGTCCAAAGCTGTGTTGTCCAACATGGTAGCCGCTGGCCACATGTCACCAGTGGGCATATGATTGGGGCTAATCCCAAATGAGAAGTGCTCTAAGTGTAAAATTTACATTGGACTTCAAAAATAATGTAAAACAACTCAGTAATTTTTTATATTGGTCACATGTTGAAATAACATTTTGGAAATACTGGGTTAAATGACATGTATTGTTAGGGCCAGGCACAGTGGCATACAAGCCTATAATCTCAGCACTTTGGAGAGGTCAAGGTGGGAGAATCACTTGAGCCCAGGAGTTTGACACCAGCCTGGGGAACATAACGAGACTTCGTCTCTTAAAAAAAAAAAAAAAAAATTAGTCAGGCGTGGTGGTACACACCTGTAGTCCTAGCTACTAAGGAGGATCGCTTGAACTCAGGAAACTGAGGCTGCAGTGAGCCATGATTGCATCACTGCACCCCGGCCTGGGTGACAGAGCAAGACCCTGTCACCAAAAAAAAAAAGAATGAGATATAAGAGCACAATTTTCAGTGACGATGATGATGATTTAATAGCTAATGCTGTAATAGAATAGCTCACTGCTAAGTACCAATCTGAGGCCTTTGTTTTAGTTTATTTAATCCTCATGACCCTAGGAGATAGTTACTATTACTGTCCTGAGTCTTCAGGTGAGGAAAAGTACACATGAAGAGGAATCTGCCAAAGATCACAAAGCGAGCAAGTATTAGGTTGGCGCAAAAGCAATTGCGGCTTTAGCCATCAAAAGCAATGGCCAAAACTGCAAATGCTTTTGCACCAACCTAAATAGCAGAGCTTGGCTGTGAATCCAGGCATTGAAGCTACAGAGCTTATTCTCTTAAAAGCTACAATACAATCATCTGCCTCTCAATGTCATCCTGATCTGGTTTTCCAGAAGCACAATCTGAAGGCAGAATGTTCTTCCAATTCACATAGAAACATTTTACAAATTGCTAGTTCCCCACTGCGCTCTTCAGACAAAAACACAGATTTTATGTGGAAAGTGGTTTAGTTTCTAATATCAACTATTTGAAGGAGTCTTTCATATTTTTTTTTTCAGAGAGCTCCTTTTCTCAATGTTTAAGTCCCCTTTCTAAATTGGAGCAGGAGTCTTGATTGGTTATCAATCTCTCAGTGCCTGGGTTTAGGAATGAAGGTCCAAAGCTGTGTTGTCCAACATGGTAGCCGCTGGCCACATGTCACCAGTGGGCATATGATTGGGGCTAATCCCAAATGAGAAGTGCTCTAAGTGTAAAATTTACATTGGACTTCAAAAATAATGTAAAACAACTCAGTAATTTTTTATATTGGTCACATGTTGAAATAACATTTTGGAAATACTGGGTTAAATGACATGTATTGTTAGGGCCAGGCACAGTGGCATACAAGCCTATAATCTCAGCACTTTGGAGAGGTCAAGGTGGGAGAATCACTTGAGCCCAGGAGTTTGACACCAGCCTGGGGAACATAACGAGACTTCGTCTCTTAAAAAAAAAAAAAAAAAATTAGTCAGGCGTGGTGGTACACACCTGTAGTCCTAGCTACTAAGGAGGATCGCTTGAACTCAGGAGTCTGAGGCTGCAGTGAGCTATGATTGCACCACTGCATTCCAGCCTGGGCGATAGCGTGAGACCCTGTCTCTAAACCAAAAAAAAAAAAATTTTAAACATATTGTTAAATTAATTTCACGGCCAGGCGTGGTAGCTCATGCCTGTAATCCCAGCACTTTGGGAGGCCAAGGCGGGCAGATCACAAGGTCAGGAGTTCAAGACCAGCATGGCCAACATGGTAAAACTCTGTCTCTACTAAAAAGTACAAAAATTAGCCAGGCGTGGTGGCACACGCCTGTAATCCCAGCTACTCAGGGGGACTGAGACAGGAGAATGGCTTGAACCCGGGAGGCAGAGGTTGCGGTGAGCCGAGATCCCACCACTGCGCTCCAGCCTGGGCGACAGAGTGAGACTCCATTTCAAAAAATAAATAAATTTTAAAAAGTTAATTTCACCTGATTTTATCCATTCAAATAATTTTCAATAGGCTGCTAACCTTAAAAAAGTTACATATGTGGCTCACATTTCTATCAGACAGTGCTGGTCTAGAATACTCTAGAATAGTTCATATTATATAAAATATCTAGCATAGTTCTCCATGTCAGAAATATATACTTTCTCAGTCAGGTTTTTATCTGGAAACAAATATTAGATTCCTCTAGACTCTGAATGACAAATGAATTCACCAGGCCTCCTCTGACTTAGCCAAATGCACAAGATTACATAATCTGATGTTCCTCATCAGTTTCAAGAGTAGTGAATGGGGTTGTCATAAACCATTGTTCTGAAATAAAGAGAAAATGTTTTTAAGGACCTATCAATCGATAATGCAAACTCTCTAACCTAAGGATTCTGCAGATTTTACCTCACTTTTATTTACTCTCATGAAAAGATTCTGGAACCATGGCGTAAGAAGAAATAATAAGCAGTCTCCATTTTCTTGCCACATTTTCCCCTGAGAGCTACAAAATAATGCAGCATGTCATTAAGTGGGTTGAGTTTTCCCATAGACATCAGATAATTAAACCTGGGTTCCTGACCAAGGACTCCAGATAAAAGAGACAAAGATGCAAATAAATGTGACAGAAGGAAACATACAACCTCTAGCTTGTGTAAGTATTTGAAATATTGAGAGAAGGTCCTATGTAGTGATGGACTCAAATGACACGACCCAACAGAGCACACGGCCTGCCCAAAATTTATAGGAGAGAAAACGAAAAACCCAGAAAAAGGGGTAGAAAATAACATTTGTTGGGCATCTCTATATATTCTTCATATGTCACCTCATCGAGGGAGACATCCAGTAATTTCTTAGTACAGGAAGGCATCTTGTTCCCCAACTCTGCATTCCCAGAACAGGACATTTGAAAACAACTATCTGTACCACTTTTCTTACAAAGTCCTAAACTGTGCATAAGTAAAATTATCAAGTATACACGGAGGATTGGTTTACTATAAAGTATATAGGTATCATATAAAAAATAAAATTTCATTGTGACTTTATTTCATCCCAAACTAACATATTAGATAACATAAGCACCAAATATTCCATTAATTATCTTACTTGCCACCTTAGAAAAAGGAATTCTTAGCTGTTCAAATAGATGTTCAGGAAGTTTAAGCTCAATCTCTCTCTTTTTTTCCTTTTAATCAGTTTGCCCCTGGCAAATAGAAGCATTCAAAAATGACATCCCCAAAATTAACCCTTACAGTTTCTCAATAGTGAAAGAAGGCATGTAAAGTCTGATTGGGGTGAGCGGGCCAGGACTCCTAGAGGTGGCCCTGGCCTCCATCCTATACCCTGCTACTTCTGGCCCCTCCTCCTCAGTGAAATCTTCAGAGGCTGGTGGAGGATGCCCAAGTGATGGCAGGGAGGTGCCACCCGCTTCGGAAGGATGCAAAGGTCTTTTGTATGAACAACAACCCCCCGTCCCCGCCCCACCAAGGGCCAGGCATCTTGTGGTCCCACCCCCCTCCATCTTAAGTCACTGCTGCAGACAAGCGTGATGGATGGTGCCTATGAAGTACAGTCAAGGCAGTCAGTGACCGCAAGAATGAGCGGAGAAGCAAAGGGTGCGTGCCAGGGAAACAAGGCTGCCTTAGAGAGGAAGTCTGATAGTATTTTATGTTTGAGTTTCGAGTGGTTTTAGTTTTTCACTCCTACTGCTTTCCAATGTTATAATGGCTCCAAATGAAAAACTGACATATCTTTTTGTTAAGCTAAAACACAAAGAACGAATGCCTAAGAAGCACAAAATGTATACGTATGCTTTTGCGATATACTTGTAATATGTTAAGTTAGCAACAGAAATAAAATTTTGACCTATCTACCACTTTCTCCTGATTCTACAACACCTAAGCATAAAACACATTCATTTTTTTCATTATGTGCTGCAAAAAGACCTCACTGAATTAGCTTTCTACATATGCAGGGATGCAAATGTATTCAAATCTAAGCTAATGAATCAGAAAGCAAAATCTCTCTGAAGTTTCACGTTTAATCAATGATTAATTTAACCCAAATGCCTTTAGGAACTCAATTGCTATCTTTGTAGGCTACTACATTTTTCTCCAGTGAAATCTGAAAACATTTCCCCTAAATCCTGCATTTTTTCATCTTTATGTTTATAGTACTGTGAGTATCAGGATAGAGTTACTTTACTTGAGTACCTGAAAAACGCTTCCACACAAAGGCAGTATTTATAAGTTCCCAGCACTATGGACATTACAGGGCATGGAAGGGATAGAGTCCCTATATAATCCCAGTCATTCCACACCTCTATACCCGAATTTCAAGACATTTCCTCTCTTAGCCTACATGAAAAGAGGCCACAAAACCCTAAGCAGTCGTTCTTCTGCTGACATGGTCACTTCCCCAGCCCTGAACAGGACTGACCATCAACATCAAACCAAAGAGAATGACATCTCCTAAGTGCCACCTCTCTCTACCTTAAGTCACTACTAAAAAAAAAAAAAAAAAAAAAAATCTAGAAACTCTTGTTCTCAGTGTTTGATGTATGATGTTGGGTACCAGTCTACAAATGCCCCCTCTAACACAGCCTTCATCTTTTTGTTTTGGAGATGGAGTCTCACTCTATCACCCAGGCTGGAGTGCAGTAGCATGATCATGGCTCACTGCAACCTCTGTCTCCAGGGTTCCAGTGATTCTCCTCCCTCAGCCTCCCGAGTAGCTGGGACTACAAGTGCATGCCACCATAGCCAGCTAATTTTTTTGTATTTTTAGTAGAGGTAGGGTTTTGCCATGTTGGCCAGGCTAGTCTCGAATTCCTGACCTCAAGTGATCTGCCCACCTCGGCCTCCCAAAGTGCTGGGATTACAGGCGTGAGTCACTGTGCCTGGCCCGAGCCTTCATCTTTGAACGACATTAACTGCCATCCTATCCATGCCAATCTGTCCACTGATAAATGCTTTGTGTTTTCCCTGCTGGTAACAATGACAAAAGATAACCTCAAATGATGAGGACTAAAGAGGGAAGAGTTAAGTTAATCACTTTGGGTTTCTCCTTCAGGAGGGCCTGTAGGGACATCTTGGGGGAAGATACAGAAAAGCATGTTGGAGTGAATAGCATGGCATACCATCTTGATTACACAAGACACACTGGTAACAAGAGGACACCACATCTCTTCCAGTGGCTGCAGAGGCAACAGCGTCCACAGGAAAGTCTCAGAAGCCCACCAGTCTGTTTTTACCACAGACCAGTCACAGATTTGAGCCTCCTGGGCTTACTTTCCTCCTTGAAGTTATAATTAAGTGGGCTGCGTTTTCCCACAGACATTAGATAACTGAGCCTGGATTCCTGACCAAGGACTCCAGATCAAAGAGACAAAGATGCAAATAAATGGGACAGGAGGAAACATACAACCTCTCCCCTCTGTAAGTATTCAAAATACAGCCATTTGCAATGGAGGGAGAAAAGAGTGGTGGTTTTTAAGGAAATTAGACTTAAAGTTGGCTGCACTTAGAATCACCTGGGTAGAGTTTCATAGTCTCTCACTAGGCTGCACCCTAGAAAAATTAAATCAGAATTTCTGCAAATGGAACCCAGAGAGCAGTCGCTTGCAAAGCTCCTCAGCTGATTCCAATGTACAGTGAAGTTTGAGAACCAGTGGGATATGGGCATCTCAGAACTACTGAGGATTTTTTGTTATAAAATGGGCTCTTCTCCACCCCTCCTGATTCTGCTATGACCCACCCAGCTTAAAAAGACATACAGCTGGCGCTAATTGCAGAATTTTATATTCTATGGGTGTGTTGAGGACAGAAAAACAGATTGAGAACCACTGAATTAGATGATCCCTAAAGACACTTTCAGTACCCAACTATTTTTCAGTGATTCGAATAGCATCTCACATAATCTATGGAATGTTATAAACACCAACGGAAAACGTCATGGTTTGGGAACATTTCTTTATGCAGCCAGGGCTTATTATAAAGCCCACTTTCTTGCAGAAGCCATTTGGTTAACAAGCTTGGTATTTAAAAGGCTTTCAATCATAACAGATCTTCCAATGTACATGCAAAACTCTGGAAGGGAAAATTAATTACCTTCCATTTTCTTTCACTCAAAGCCTCCGAGGATATAGAGAAACACTTACACATTTCTGTTTCGCCCTAGTAAATGAAATCAGAAGCTGCATCTGTCACATGGTTTCTAACTGAGCCAGTATTTGGCGGTTCAAACTCTGTCCTCTCAGCCATTTCTGTATTCTTTGTTCAGCGGCTCTGTGCACACTGCCGCATTATGCCCAGGCTCTCGGCGAGGGCAAACAGGAAATACATTCTTTTCTCTAGCAGAAAAAGATGTAACTTGTCTTTTATTTTTCTTCTGCATGAGACAAGACTATTTTATTCTATCCATTTGGTTCCTGCAGTCCCTCGCCACCACCAACCCCCACCCCCTTTTTTTTCCTGTTTTGTTTGGTGGTGAAAAACCAAGACTAGAAATGAAGTAGAAAAAAAATGTTTTTTTGCCTTTTTCCTCTGAAGCCAATGATCTAAAATAGAATCACAACTGATTCTGATGGTAACAATACCGCTTTCTCTGTAAACTATTTTTGCATTGCAGACCTCTCTCTGCCTCCAGAAATATACAACACTTTCCTTCATTGCGGAGTCAACAGCTCTCTAGGCCAACTAGAACAATGGGCTTTTAACTAGAAAGGAACCTGTAGGTTTCTCAGGCTTGAATATACAAACAATTTACCTGGGGCCTTTGTCCTGGGACATTTTGAGAAGCAAGGAGTTACACGGTGGTTTTCCGTCTTGATGCACGTTGGAATTAACTGGAGACCTTTATAAACTACTGATGCCCAACCCCACCGCAGATCAACAGAACCTGAAGAACCTGAATCCTTGTGATGTGGCCATTAATAATTATAAAACTACTCCAGGTGATTCTAATCTAAGCCAATTCCCAGAGAATAACATCATAAAATAGTACTTAGCCATAACCTCTCCATTCCACAATTCCTCCAGTAGCAAAGGGCTAGGAGACAGATGATACTAAATACAAATGTGTGGATAATGGCTAATTCCTGTTCCTAGGGAGGTTAACATATGTACTAGTAGTAAAACCACCTACCCAACAAATATCTGTGGAATGCCTACTAAATCCCAGGAAAACTGTGCTGGGCATTGGGAGTACCATGAAGAATAAAACAGACTTGGTTCTTACCTTCATGAAGCTGACAGTTTAGTGGGGAAAGGCATACTCAAATAATCACATAAATCCATGTGATTTCAAGCCACGGTGAGTGCCAAGAAGGAAACGAACCTAGGATGCTAAGAACATGGAGCAGGGATGGTTTCACATTAGATGCAGGCAAGCATATGGTTTATGGTTCAACCAATGATCTCAGAATCATGGTTTTTTTTAAAAAAAATTGTGGTAAACTATACATAACATGAACTTTACAGTTCAGTGGCATTAACGACATTCACAAAGTTATGTAACTCTCACCACCCATTTCCAGAACTTTTTTTTTTTTATCACCAGAAGCAGAAAATCTGTAACCATGAAATAACTACTCCCCATTCCCCCTGCCAATCACATAATTTTTTTTTTAACTGAAAAGGACTTTGGAAGCTTGTATTTCAATAGCCTAATTTTACAGGGGAGGAAGACTGACTTTCCAGTTCAGAATACTTGCGACAGTAGTGTGTTGTAAAACAGAATTAGACATGAAAGAAATGCTATTAGCTACGTGCTATTGTCAGAGGCATGTGAACCAGAGCAACTCCATCTTAAATAGGAGCTGGGTAAAATGAGGCTGAGACCTACTGGGCTGCATTCTCAGATGGTTAAGGCATTCTATGTCACGGGATGAGATACGAGGTCGGCACAAGATACAGGTCATAAAGACCTTGCTGATAAAACAGGTTGCAGTAAAGAAGCTGGCTAAAACTCACCAAAACCAAGACGGTGATGAGAGTGACCTCTGGTTGTCCTCACTGCTACACTCCCACCAGCGCCATGACAGTTTACAAATACCATGGCAACGTCAGAAAGTTACCCTATATGGTCTAGAAAGGGGAGGCATGAATAATCCACTCCTTGTTTAGCATGTAATCAAGAAACAACCATAAAATGGCTCTATGGAGTAGCCATTCTTTTATTCCTTCACTTTCTTAATAAACTTGCTTTCACTTTACTCTATGGACTCGCCCTGAATTCTTTCTTGCATGAGATCCAAGAACCCTCTCTTGGGATCTGGATTGGGACCCCTTTGTTGTAACACTATTAGTTAGTTACTCTCAATAGTCATTGAAGAAGGAAGTGTTGAACTTCCCAGCCTTTTGAGGGCAGGAGTGAGGTAAGCTATACCAGGGTTTCTGTCTCAGCACCATCGATACTTGGGGCCCTTTCATTCTTTGCTGTGGGGAGCTGTTGCACTGTAGGATGTTTAGTAGCACCCCTGGACTCTATCCACTTAATTCCAGTAGCACCCCCAACTCCAGTTGTGACAACCAAACGCATCTGCCAGATGTCCCCTGGTTGAGAACTGGTGAGTTAGAAGGATGCTCTTTCTTCAAGGGCTGAAGAACTCAGCTCAGATTGACCTAGGACCAAAAAGAAGACTTATCTTCCCTTTTAAGAGAACAAATCCGATTCTTACACCTGTAAAGCTGCAATATAACCACAATGGTGCATATTGAGACCATCTGAGGCGTTTAAAAAACTCCCTAGGCTCAGATCACACTCCAGACCAGTTAAACCAGAATCTCTGAGGGTGGGGCTCTGGCATCAGTAGTTTTTAAAGCTCCCCAGGTGATCCCAACGTGCAGCCAAGGTTGAGAGCCACTGAACTAGTGTTTAGATTGATGCAAAAGTAATTTCAGTTTTTGCCATTACTTTCAAAAAAAAGGGCAAAAACCACAATTATTTTTGCACCAACCTAATACTTGCTATTCAAATGTGGTGGTCCATGGCCCAGTAGTCTCAGCATTACCCGGAAGGTCATTAGAAATCTGGCCCCACCCCAGACCCAACAAATCAGAATCTGCATATTAACCAGACCCCCAGGTGATTCAAATACATTTTAAAGGTTGAGAACTGCTGCTCTGGAATTCATAAAAAATAGTGCTTTCGGAGTCATGCTAATCTTTTCTTCCAGCTTTACAAAGCAAGTCAGATAGAAACCAAAAAAAAACCAAACAACAACAACAACAACAACAAACCCTGCAAATGGTAATTTTGAAAGAGCTGCTTCTCAATTTTCTTCCTCTCAGCCCAGGAGGCCACACTTTTGGGGGCGGAAACACAGAGGGAGAAATGTGGCATGTTCGCCATTGTGGACATTTGTCTGAGCTTGCAGTCCCCAAAAGGGGAACCGACGCACTGCTATGTGTCCGTGGGTGTTTAATATTTGGTGGCAGGCTCACCCACCCAAATGTGAGAACAAAGTGTGTTTCCTCAGCATTGGGGGAAATTGATCCCCTAATCAGTTCATATGATTTAAGTCTGCTTGTCTCTAGGTTTTGCAAAGCAGTGAGGCTGGAGGAAGGCAAGGAGGGGAAGATTAGAACAGTAAGGGGTGAAGCAAGGGGTTACAGAGAGCACGGATGCACTGCTGTACTCAGGGCAGGGAAAAAACAGAAGAAAAGTATGCCAGTCACTGCATAATGAATTCTCCACTGGCTGCCAAATAGGAGTCACAGAACAATGAACAATCTGAGCAGCTTCTGTTCCCACAATGCAGCCTTGTGAAAGTCCACAGGCAGAAAATTCTGCCTACCATGCACTGGGCATGTTTCTTGCTGGGCTCGGCTCTAGACCTGGACAGCAAATTGTGTACCTAAGAAGCATTTCATTTCAGGGCCAGAAAAATGAACATTTGAACCTCCTGTCCAGCATAGCTCTTGGTGCTATGACAGAATTTCTTTTTCTGGAAATCCCTTTCTCAAGGAAAAGCGAGCGTTCAAAACAATAGCGGTTGTCCACGTAGCTGAATATTGACATAGTAAAATGGTATCAAGAATCTCCTAGGCACAGCTGGAGGATAATCATGTTGCCTTTGAGTGTTCAGTCATTATTTGTCTACTAACTTGACAAATCATGTCAGTATTCTCCATAAATATGCTCTCACATGGACTAACATAGATCATAATATTTGCGGGTTTTGCCATTACTTTTAATGGTAAAAGCCACAATTACTTTTGCACCAACCTAATACAACACACACAATCAATTTCTGTCCATGCTTATATACCAAGTGGCCTACCAAAACTGTCTCCAAACTGACATTTTGAGAAGTCCAAGAATACTCACTTCTTCAGACAAAATCTGTTTTTTGTTTTGTTTTAATAGATGGGGTCTCACTGTCACCCAGGCTGGATTCAAACTCCTGGGCTCAAGTGATTCTCCTGTCTTGGCCTCCCAAAGTAGCTGGGACTACAGGCACATGCCACTGCTACTGGCAAAATCTGGGGTCTTAATACTGTTTACCCAGTAAATACAGGGTGAATTATCATTTTAGTCCCTCCTCTGAAAAGCTCTTTGCAAATAACAAAATCTTTACCTGTAATCTCAGCACTTTGGGAGGCCGAGGCAGGAGTACTGAGGTCAGGAATTCAAGACCAGCCTGGGCAAGATCCCATGTCTCTACAAAAATAAAATACCTTCACCGGGTATGGTGGTGCATACCTGCAGTCCCAGCTACTTGGGATTGCTTGAGCCCAGAAGTTGAAGGTTACAGTGAGCTATGATTGCACCATTGTACCCCATCCTGGGTGACTTGAGCAAGACCATGACTCAAAAACAAATACATAATAAACATTTAAAAACCATTGTTAGCTTGTGAGCTGTTCAAAAACAGCGGGCCAGATTTGGTCCATGGGTCATGCTTTGCCAAACTCTGATCTAGACGGCCATTTTATGATCAGATTTCATCCCTAAATTACATACCTGAATTGGCAGTTGTGTTTATCATAACTTAATATCAAGTCAAAGATTTTCAGTACAAATGTAGCATTTCTTAAACATGGTCTCAGGGATCTCCAAGATCTCACATCTAAGAACTCCATCTTAAAAGCATATAATTAATTATCTTAGTTTCTCAAATGACTAGATTTTCCTCCTAGGTTAAATTAAATTACCTACAAGCACGAGACGGTGTGGTGGTCACACTGAATCTACAAAAAAAAAAAAACATGCTTCCTGTCAAATATTGGCTTCCGCCTTCTCTCTGACCAACACATTAATGGAGTTGATGACAATTTATATCATGTACAAGCTTAAATTTCATTTCTTTTCCCTGCTCTGTATCTGAGGGCCAATCTTAATGAAAACCAATGGTCAAATTTGACTGAATGGCCAAAGCAGCAGCCAAAACGAAGAAAGACATCAGGGACCACAAAATGCTGTGTGTGTCCTGAGTTACTGAGTTACTGGATAGCCCATGGTTTTTAATACCCCACAAATAAGGGCTCATACACCAAAAGTCACCTACTAGCTCGTATCTTTACTTTCACTCATAAACTAGAGTTCCCCAAGTCACTGAAGGGAAGCCTTCCACAGATCTGGTTTATTTTCTTCACTAAAAGTAATTGAGCCTGGTGCATGTATGCCTTTGCCATTAGGGTACTATGCAAGAGAAGAGAATTTGCCTTCTGTGCAGAGATGTTGTAAACGGATGGAGGTCTCCCTCCTCTTCTCCCAAGGGGTCTTAAACATGCCTGGAGGTTTAGAGTAACAGGCTGAAACTCTGCAGGGCATTCCTTCTCTCCACATCCTCAGAGACCTCATGGGGAGAACTTGCTGGCGCCAGGCCTGGATCCTCCCTGGGATAAGCAAAGCTGATTCCAAGACGGAAACTCACTGTCACTTGGGAAAAGGTTGTCTCTCTAGGACATCTCAGGGAACAACACTCACCGTTTCCACATACGTAAGGAAGACAGGGAAGCAAAGCCCAGACACACTGATCCCCTCCAGGTGACCCCAAAACATTTCAGTCCACTAAGCCTTTAAATGAGCCCACAGATCAAACGGATGTGCATCACAGCCACTGTATGAATGACACAGAACCCCTCCTCTTCAAACTAGAACCTCTTAGATCGAAGACTTGAAAAAAACTATGCAGTATTATTGTGGTAAATCTGGACATAATACTGTGAAATCTAGCTCATCAGACAAGCTAGACAATAGAAGTTTATCAAGCAACCTTCACCACATTTGATCTCTCTTATGTGAATTTGTATAAGGCAGGTTTTTTCAGCCATGGATCTTAGGTACATTTCATTTACTATAGGGTTAGAAACGAATATTCCTATTTAGCATATTTGTCCTCTTAAAATAGTTGAGTCACAGGCTGAGGTATTTTATTGTACCTTGTTACAAATTAAATCATAGCCTCACACACTCATTTGCTACCGATTATTTACAAGTGAAACAAAAATTCATAAAACCACATAAGAAAGAATACAGGAGATCAAACAGTTGGTTAAAAATAACGTTGGGTTCTTTTCTAAATAGCAATTTGCTATGGAACCACTTTACATGTTATATCTTGCATCTGCAACAAAAGGGTCTGCTGTTTTTAACTCATTTTAAGGATGAAACATAAATCTGCTAAAATGTGGAGGTTTATATAAGCAGAGAACCAAAGCAGGCCTCCCATACACTCCCCCTATCTCTTATCCTCTCTGACAACTGTTCAGCCCTAGGAGATATAAATGACAATAATAAGTAAGTCGCAGTCACTGTTCTCCCTGAAACATTACGACATCATTTTGGTGAGTAAAAAAGCTCTTCATTCCTTGCCAAGTGAATATTTTCTTTTGAGGGTTTTTCTCATAATGGGAGAGATCTGAATTTGAGAGTGTCTACTGGGGCATCTCAGCTGATGCTCTGCTTTCTTTGTAGCTTCTAAATATATCCACATAATCACAACAGCCCAGGGGGACCATAAGCTCCTTAGCATCTTTCTGCTATGATCCTATCCCTCAGTAAGGCATTGACAATGGCTACAGTAAAACCCGTAAATCTAATTTTTGCAGAACATAATAACGACCTGGTACTTTTTTTTTTCATTTTTAGTTGTTTTAAGATTTCTAAGCTTGTGTTGAAACATGCTGCTTCATTTCCCTAGAGGAGAATAATTCCTTTAGCAAAATTCTTAGGTCAAGCCCGTGTGTATTTTGGAATAGACCAAAAGCTGGGGGTGGGGGGTGAAAAAATCCACAAAGAACAACATATTCTGGGGAAAGAATTATATAGCCAGTTATTAATAAACCTTTCTGGAAAGTGACTAGTGTAAAACAGAATTTTCCTGACTGTATACTAAGGACTGCTAGTTCCATGAGATTTTTATAGGTATTCAACAGTAAAGTATGTTTGAAAAGTGACTCAATTTGTATCTCTATCATAGGAAACAATAATGAATGTTAGAACATCAGCTGTAAAAAATCATTTTAATAAATCTTGATGTTTTAGACACTTCTATGACCTCAAAATCCTCATTTCTTTCCAATAAATACCTGTCCATATCTTGAGATCTAGGTGTCTGGTTCTTGGGGCAGAAACAGTAGGATACAATTAGCATTTTTGAAAATCTTAAAATTAGGGCTTTAGAAAAATCTTAAATATGGGACTGGGCATGGTGGCTCACTCCTGTAATGCCAACATTTTGCGAGGCCCAGATGGGAGGACCACTTGAGCCCAGGAGTTCAAAACCAGCCTGGGCAACATAGTGAGACACTGTTGCTAGAAAAACTTTTTTTTTTTTTTTTTAATTAACCGTGTGTGGTGGCATACACTTGTAGTCCCAGCTATTTGGGAGGCTGAGGCAGGAGGATCTCTTGAGCCCAGGAGGTCGAGGCTGCAGTGAGCTATGATCATGACACTGCACTCCATCCTGGGTGAGTGTAGTGTCATAATCATAGCTCACTGCAGCCTTTTTTTCTCCTTAAAAATAAAAGAAAAAAATCTTAAGTATGGTGCTTATGAACAAAAAAGTAAATAATATACAGCTAGAAGACAGGTAGTCCATCATTTTAAGAATTAAGAGAAATGAGACCTCCATATGGCTAGAAAAATAACAGAAAGAACTACCATGACTCCTATGAAAGGTGTCACCCCAAGTTGAAGGGTTACTGGTGTGAAATCATATCCTGCACAGAGACGAAAAACAGAGCCAGCTGTTCAGAAAACACATTATGCCTAGATATTAACCCTCATGCTTATAAAAGCTACTTTTTAATGCAAGAATTAAAATGTTCCTAAGTAATATTAGACAGAACAACATGAAATTGCTAGTTTTGTAGGTAAAACATGGCCCCATATTGACAATTTCTCTCTTTTTTTTCAAATTGAGACAGAGTCTTGCTCTGTCGCCCAGGCTGGAGTGCACAGTGGTGTGATCTCGGCTCACTGCATCCTCTGCCTCCCAGGTTCAAGTGATTTTCCTGCCTCAGCCTCCCAAGTAGCTGAGACTACAGGTGTGTGCCACCACACCCAGCTAATTTTTGTATTTTTAGTAGAGACGGGGTTTCACCATGCTAGCCAGGCTGGTCTCGAACTCCTGACCTCAGGTGATCCACCTGCCTCGGCCTCCCAAAGTGCTGGGATTACAGGCATGAGCCACCGCACTCTGCCATATTGACAATTTCCTATGTTTGCTCTAACACAGGAATTACATAGAGATAGAAGACAGGGTAATCTAGAGTTTTAAAAATTAAATAAGAGAAATTGTGATGGTTCAGTTCATTAACTTGATTTTACCCATGGAAACACAAATAAAGAACATTTATTCCAGATGACTGAGTCAACTGCTCAGCAGACATGTTTTCATTTGTAGAAAAAGTCTGTGTTTGCTTGTGTTAAGTATATACAATACACAGACTCAACACAATTGGGCTCAGTCTGTAAAGTCCCACTGGCCTTGAGATTTGTTAGAGTTGTGTACTTTAGATACTTTTCTTCTTCAGAGTCAACACATTTTTAAACCACCTTAATTGACCCAACACACTTTTTCTCCCTTCTGTGAATGGATCAGTATTATCCAGGTGACATTTACTTACTGTCATAATATCTTCCAAGACAGACTGTGGTTAAACTCACAAATACCTCCCAGGAGCAAATTGCATCTTAATAAATTTCATTTAACCTGAGAGTAAAATTATACTTGACAGAAAAAAAGCTCTCAAACAACCCTTCTTCAGATGAGCTACTTTTATCTCTTGCTACTGTTTTAAATTATTCATATACAAACTGACTATATTAACACATTAAATAATCCAGATGCTGCCACATGTACATCCCATGAAACAGGAATGGTTTGTTAATAAGCATACCTAGATCTACGCATCAATCTATCTGTTACTCTCTGGAGGGGAAAATCCTCCACAGTGAATTCTTGATTATTTCTGTTGTTTGAAAGAATCTTCAATCTGTGGATAATATTGCACTACTTCCCTACCCAGCTGCAAGTCATATTCAGAAGGCCAAAGGAATGTCCCAAGTTTGTTCCAAAAATGTCCAGATGGGCTCGCTCGAACACCACTCCAATAAACAGTGCCAGCCAGGCGTACACAGCCTGGTCAGCCCACCCAATTCCTGCCCAATAAGGGACAGGCATTCCCATCCTTCAACCAGCAGGGTCTCCTTTGCTACATGTAAATCTCCTCTGACAGCTCATGACTCCAAAAGTGTTTTCCTTTTAATCTGCTTAACTGCATTTCTTTATATTACAATTAACTTACTTCCCCATATCAGTTAGAGTAATCTATTAATGTCAACTGCAGAGCTTGACCACTACAAACTATTTGGGGCTATCACATTGAATTGAATATCACTCTTGCCAAGGAGAGAGGGTATCTGTATTTGTCCATGCTGCTTTACTGGGAGTAAGTGTGTGATTTCCTTTAGGCAAGGGTTTCCAACCTCAGCACAATGGATATTCTGGGCCAGATAATTCTTTCTGATGGGGGCTGTCCTGTGAATTGTAGACTATTTAGCAGCATCCCTGGCCTCCACCCACTAGATGTCAGTAGCATCCTCTAGTTATAACGACCAAAAATGTCTGCAAGACATTGCCAAATGGCCCCTGGGGAACAAATCGCTTCTGAGTGAGAACCACTGCTTTCGGCTTTCTGAAATTCTTAAAATAGTTTGAGAGCTAGTTTTAATTGCCTCTGTGTATTCTTAGGCTACTGCTGCTCAAAGTATGGTTCTGGGACCAAGCAGTGGCTGTATTACCTGGGAGTTTGTCAGAAATGCAGAATCCCAGGCCTACTTGAATGAGAATCTGCAATTTAACAAGATTCATGGGTGATGCCAATGCACATTAAAGTGTGAGCAGCACTAATCACCTTGGTTGGAATCTATAATTTAGTATCTTAGAAAGATGATGATTTGGAGCGAAAGGTGCCAACTAGGGCTGACAAGCCAGAATCATGTGTCATTCAACCATTGATTTCTTTCCATTTATGTTTGGTTTGATGTGTGCTCTTTATTTCTTTATATAGAGAAACTGGAAGAAGGGAAATCATGTGCTACCTCTGAGGCCTCGCTTTCTCACAGAGCTTAGCTCTATGTGAGTCACCTGGCTGTGTCATCCTGTCGGGCTCATCATAAGATACTAGGAATCACAGCCCAGACAAGGGGGCTTGTCTTCACAAACTCAGGTATATGCTTCTAAGGTAGCATGATACTAATTTTAAAAGCGGATCTACATATTAAAAATAACTGAAGATACAGAACATGCCTTTTCAACACAGGCAAGATCACCCCAATAGGATGAAAATGACTTCTTGAGGGGCAAAAACAACTTTACTCTTTAATGCATATAAAGCACAAATATACACACAGCACATAGACAGATATGCAGTGTATCTGGGGTGTTAAGACTGCATAGGGGCTGGGCATGGTGGCTCATGCCTGTAATCCCAGCTCTTTGGGAGGCTGAGGTGGGCAGATCACTTGAGCTCAGGAGTTCAAGACCAGCCTGACCAACATGGTGAAACCCCATCTCTACTAAAAATACAAAAATTAGCCATGCGTGGTGGTGGGCGCCTGTAATCCCAGCTACTCAGGAGGCTGAGACAGGAGAATCACTTGAACCCAAGAGGTAGAGGTTGCAGTGAGCCGAGATGGTGCCACTCCAGCCTGGATGACAGAGCGAGACTCTGTCTCAAAAAAAAAAAAAAAAAAAAAAAAAAGATTGCATAGGGAGGCAATTAGGAAAAAAAATGCTTAAAAAGTCTCCCAGGTTGTGGGGTGATAAAAAATTAAAAGGTTGAAAAAAATGGATACAAAAATGTAGCCTGGGTAAATGGATGGATTGTCAGCAGCAACCCACAGGAACCCACTAGTAGTCTATTTGTGTCAGAAGACAGAAACACGCAAGTATGGAATGGGAAAGACGATGAACAACAAGGACCAAGAACAGTCTGGAGCCCATGTTGCTGTGATCATACCTCCAGATGGGCTGCTCCTCAGTGGTGACTCGCAGCCCAGTCACTTAGGAGCTGTACGGACATTGAGCAACTTTCACTCTCTCCATGCCAAAATTCCCTACCACCCGAACAGGTTGACATGAGAATGAAATGCAGTCATTATTGGAAGGCATCCAACAGGACCTGGCATAAAGCTAGTTTTCATGAAATGTTAGCTCTTTTCCCATTAATCATCCTCTCCAGTTGTAAGATTTTAAAATGTCATTAATTTTGTTCCTTGAGCAAATCTACGCCTTCTTGTGTGGATTCTGAATAAATCATAAGTAGAACTTCATTATATGATAAAGTATTTGTAAATAGATGAGACTGTCTTATCCTGAAAATAACTCATTTAATAGAGTGAAGTTAGATGGAAGGTTTAGTCCAAAAGCTTCACACAGTCACTTGTTCGGTAATGCCTCATAGGTGGTCCTAAAAATCATCACTCTTTGCAAAATGCACAATAAAAAACACAGGGCTTATGGGAAAAATGGGGTTAGGAAAGCAACACTCAAAAATTTAATCAGTGACATTTACAAAAAGATTGCAACCTAATAAAAATAGTAGCACCATTTTACACACATTAAATAGTTAAGAAATACATAAACACAACAATAAATGTGTCACTTCGCCTAGAAAAAGGCCTGAAGTTGGCTGTGGGGTGGGTGTCGGAAGGGCTGCGGTTGGTGAGTTACTGGGAAGGGCTGGAGGGAGGGTTACCCGAAATTGGAGGGACAGTCATAACACCAGGTATGGACAGGTGTGGCTCTTAACACGCGGGGTAAACTGAGGTAGCTGTAGACATATGAGGTTGTGCCACGTGCGTGTTTTGTGTATTCTGACGTCATGTAGTTCAGGTGGGCGCAGTTTTCTGCATTCACCTAATGTTTCAGCAAGAAAAAATGGTATTAAGCAAATCCAAGATTCTGATTATGCACACATTGTTCATGGTTTCAAAGCAAGCATTACAGGAGAACTATCTGCCTGCTATATTCCAAAGCTGCTTAACTTTTAAATCTTGGATAGTCTCTAAAAAAAGCGGGATCTATTTTCTAAAGGATGTTTTAATTCAGAATCAGACCCATCAACTATAGTCTCAAGCCTGCAAACGGAACTCTCTAGCCCATTTTTCTCTGACAAGGCTTCCAACTAATAACATTTCACATCATTCCTGAGTTTCCATAGAGTTCAAGTATTTACAAAAGTCACACAACATGGTGAACGCAGGAGGAAGCTGCAGAGATGGTTCTAGACTTACAGAGAGGAGGCTATATGCAAACCCCTGTATGACTTGCAATGTCCCTTTGCCTCTCTGAGCCTCATTTATAAGATTGTTTTGAGGATCAGATAGCATATCTTGAAATTATCTGGGCCAATATTTGAAAAATATTAGTTGAATGTAAATCTGAACATAGACTGACTCACAATCATGAAGAAAGCATAATCCTTCTCTTTCTAAGAGGTAAGGAGCACTGAATTGGAAACATCCACTACTGCCTCGGCATAAATGGTCAAGTGGTCACTGAGGCAGCTAAAAAAATGCAGAGAAAATAGAAAATAAGCATCCCAAACACTAAGCTAGTTACAGACACAGGAAGATGTGAGGGAAAGCAGCCGCTTCTCCTAATTCAGAGAGAATTTCATTTTCTCCCTCAAGGTTTCATCTGCTCTCATCTCCCTGGTTTCTTGTGTTACCATCTGGAATGCCCCACTTCCTTGTTTTTTTTTTTAAAAAAAAAGGACTCAAACTTCCAAGTCTATAAAAATTATTCTTGCTCAATCCATTCCTTCTGTCGTGGTGTTTGAAGGAGCTTCAGAGTCATCTGACTTGGTTTCACTCTCCCCCTAAACCTGCCAGGGATGAGGACCAGTTGTTCCTAAAGTCCAGCCAGCCAGACAAGGTCACACGGCAAAATCCAAAAATATGTGCTTCCTTGTACTGGGGACTCTGGGTTCAAGTCTGCTACTGGAGTAGAGAACACACACTTGTACCTGAAGGATGCAGATCATAAGAACCTGGCTGTGAACTTGGTGAAACTGAGCATAGGGCCCCTTCAGTAAATTCTCCTATTGATCCCTACTCAACCTAGGACTACAAGTTGGACCTCCAGGGAGCTTTCCCAACCAAGAAAGAGATGCTTTGAAATCCTAAGTCTACCTGCTGATTTTATTTGTCATTACAATTAAATGACCTCTAATGTTGTTTTATTTTAAAAAAAGAATTGCTAAGTGTCACATAGAAGCAAAAAGTGACAACACAAAGTTACACTAAAACTATACACTTGTATAGTTCAAGTTTTGGCATTTGTTGGTCTAAATTCATAATTCCTATATGATCATTAAGTTTGTAGCAGAAGCAGAATATTAGTTGACTATGGAACAGGAGTATAAGTGTGTGGTTTTCCTGGCAGACTCAGTCTACCATCTCTGAGTTTGAATCTTCTTTAACAAAAATCCTTTGCTACAGAAATACAAATAAGATCCCATTTAGTAAGGTCTTTACTCCTTTGTGACAATGGGTACCTTCAAAAGCAACTGGGAAACACTCCATGCCTTAAATACACGAATGTTTACCCTCGCTCAATTTGTCAATAAAGGCAATTCCATAAATGTGGACTGGATTTTTTTTTTTTAGCATTTACGTTGATTATTTCATTTGACCGTTTCAGCCCTCTAAGCTAGACATAGCATGTTTCCCCCATTGCATTAATGAAAATGGCTTGCTCATAAAATGCTTTCTCAACATCGCCTCATTTATTCTTCAGGGAGGGTATTACTCTATTGCCAACGAAGTCACTTAAGCACACAGAGTTTAAGTGGTTTGATCTCATGATCTCATGAGACCCAGGTCTCTGCTCCTCAGTCCAGCACTCTTCTATTCTGCCACAACAGCTACCACCTGAAGGAGCTGCCCAAGAGCCAGCTGAAAATCCCTAAGGAAACCAGGAGAAGAACCACAGGCTTCTGTCTCCTACCCGGTCAGGGCTCATGACCCACACTCACAACCAAACTTCAATTCAATCACAGAGAAGCCCATCTCTCTTTATTCCCACCACCTTGGCAATTCCAATGACAGTTACTGGTGCCCACCAAAGCACATGACCTGCAGCACCACAGACAACAACAGGAGGCCCACCTGACCCAGTCTCATAAAGAAGTTACTAAAGATCAGTCTCCCTCAAGAGGGCGGGAGACTCAACGAAAGAGGACCCAGTTGGATATTAATGGGTCTATCCATAGTTTGATTCCACCAGATGGTCCTAGAACTATCTAGGAATCTCTGGGGCTGGACCCTGGGTCCTAGAAATGACCACAACCTAACATGGGTGTCAGAATCAGAGCTTCACTCGAGGAGGACCTCATTAAGGGCTAGCTGACTTAGACAGACTCACTCCCATACTTTGTTAAGGGGTCTTCTCCTGGTCCACCACAGCCCACTGTGATTCTGCAAGGTGAGAGCACCTTGACACCAGGCTTAGACATCTCCTTCCATCTGTCTCCCACGCAGGGTCTCAAGGCATCTTTGGGTTCACAGGACCACCTCAAAATCTCGATTTATACCAGGCTAACCCCCAGCGCCCAACCATCAACCAGCCCAGGCAAATACTACCTCACAGGTACTGAGCATTTGCCATGCACCAGGCACCACTCCAGGCACTTTTCTTAGAGTCAGTATATTATTTACTCTTGATGTCATCCTGAAAGGTAAGTATAATCCCCAATTTACCAATGAGGAAATTGAAGCTCAGGGAGAATAAGTATAGGCACTTGCCCAAAGCACATAGTTAGCAGAATAAACACATCAGCATTCTGCCCCTAAGCTCACGTTCATTATCATTTTACCACGCAGACTCTTGGATCTTCTCCAATGCAGGGCCAGTCTCCAGGCATGGTCAGGACAGCATAAGTTCGTCATCATGAACACCGTCATCCAACACCAATGCGTTACTCAGCGCAAGAGAAGTGGTTCCTTCCAACAAGGAATCACAGATCCATTGGATTCCAGAACTGACTCTCACTAGGGCTGAAACATAAACTAAACAAATAGAACACCCCATGAGACGGGCCGGGGGTGAATGCCTGTGTCTGGCAGCCAGGGTGGTGGAGCCAGAGGAACAAAGGACTAGGTGGACTCATGCAGGGCTTTGAAGGCTGGGTGGAATATGATATGGGAAAATGGGGTGGGGGCATCTCCGTAGAGCTAGAGATGACTGCCCCTCAGTGGCTGGGAGGAGAGGGATAGGATCATTTGAGGAAGGGGAGGTTCTCCCCATTATGAAGACACCAGTTAGACAGGGCTTCTTAGACTCCCTGGGCAGTCAGCTGAACCCTCCAGATCTCCTTTACAGAACAATGTTCTTAAATGCACGAAAAAATATACATAGCATTAGAAAGAAAACTAAATTGAAATACATCAAAATAAAAAACAAGTTTGAAATACATAATATATAATAAATATATGTAATCATTTAATTTTATATAAATGTAGAATACATATGTTCTGTTAATGCTAGTGGAGGTATAACATACACTTCCAAAGTAGTGATGAGTTTAATGATATTTTGAGATACCTGCAATAACTGTAATGGGATATGAAATTACCTTTGATTTCTATTAATGACCAAAGTCACAAGTATTGCTAAGTCACTGGTTTGCTGCCTGTATTCGTAAGAGAACAAACGCTGTTTCAGTTAGAGGTTAGTGACAATACAGATAGATTTTTTTTCCTATCCCAATCCCTCCTGAGTTCTATCCCCCACAGTCCTGTTGGAGGCATGTGGACTCACTTGTTTGGGAGCCCTCTCTCCAGATCAGGGGTTAGCAAACTATAGCACAAATCAAATTATATCGACACAGAGCCCCACACCCATTCACTTCCGTATCATCTAGTGCTGCTTTTGTACTACGACAACACCGTTTACTTGCAACAGATATTCACTATCTGGCTCTTTGCAGACACAGTTTGCAGACCCCTACGTTAGACAAACTAGGTGTGCTAGGAATTAAACCTCTGGGACCAGCTGGGGCTCAGGCCTGACACTCTCGGGGTATGTGTCCTGAAGAGTCCAAGCAGATCCTTAAGGTTTGACCAGGCAAGCAGTTTACACCACAACCATCCTCTAGGTGTCCTGAACTCTCTAAAACTTAAGGCTATACAATAAATTTATTTCTGGGATCAAGATAGAGTGAGGCTCAGAGCAGGCTTCCTCCAGTTCAGGCCCACATCTGCCTTCAAGAAAAATCACGCCAGATGTGGTGGCTCGCACCTATAATCTCAGTACTTTGAGAGGCCAAGGCAGGAGGATTGCTTGAGCCCAGGAGTTTGAGACCAGCCTGGGCAACATGGCGAGACCTCATCTCTACAATTAAAAAATTAGCCAGGCATGGTGGTGCACGCCTGTAGTCCCAGCTACTCGAGAGACTAAGGTAAGAGGATCGTTTGAGCCCAGGAGGTCAAGACTGCCGTGAGCTGTGATCATGCTACTGCACTTCAGACTGGGCAGCAGAGTGAGGCCCTGTCTCAAAAAAAAAAAAAAAAGAAAAGAAAAGAAAAGAAAAATTCAATTATTTGATGCTCAAAAAATCCAATTATTTGATGTTCAAAGATGTGCTATGGCCTCCAGCATACCAAATCATTCCATACTCAAATGTGGCTCTATGAAGAATTTTAGTTCTTCACACAGTTTCTTAAACTCAGTGGCTGACGTGGAATATTTCCTAAATACTATGATAAAATTACCTTTCAGAGTGAGCTACCTTGTAAAATGCCAAACTCGCCCGTGGTGCTAAGAAACGCAATGATGTAAATATTGCACATACGTAGGCCATCTGTACAACATGAAGATGACCGCCTCCAAGAAGGAGTTTTCTAGTACAACATGAAGATGACCGCCTCCAAGAAGGAGTTTTCTAGTCCAGCCAACCATTCTGCCTCTTCCATGTTGCCTGGGTAATTCTGATTTTTTAGACCAGCAATATGTGTAATTAGCTATCATAAGAGCTTCCCACAAGATAGATCAAGGTTCTACTGCTGCCTGCCTTCCCAGTTTCCTAGCCTTGTACCACATGTACTTGTTATTCTACTGCCATAAGCTTAAAAACCCCTATTTGATCTTGGATGTGAGAAGATTTGGTCTGAGCCAGTTATATCCTCCATTCGTGACACAATGGGATTAAAAAAAAAAACCCTCTGAATCCATCTTGATGCTGAATATTAAACAATAGTTCAGAATTGTAAAAAGAGGCAAGGGCTGTGTTAATTCAAGAGTCACTGGTCTCCTAAATCAATTTCATTTATACATTAATCCACCAGCTTCATAGACTTCATTTCATTTCTCCCCAAATAAAGAACATCTCGAAACCTTCAAAAACTTTAGAGAGATCAAATGTAAAGTGAAGGCTTCTTCTTTTGAGAATCTGAACAGCTGTTGTGGCCGAATTGTTTTTCTTCACCCCCTTTCACTGGGTTTTCTCTCCAGCAGCTGCTTTTGTTTTTTGTTCATGCACCTCCTCCCACTTCCCCTCCCCTAACCAGTTACAAAGTTGGGGGCTAGGGAGCATGCTGAAATACAAAGCACTGCTTGTTACAAATTTGAGTAAGTCTGGGCTAATAGCCAAATTTAATTCTAAAGACCCATTTTGGAGGCTCAGCACTAAAATGGAATCCAGTATAGGTCTGGCTGTTTCTAGGACACCATGTCCCTATTGGGGGAAGGGGGTGGGGAGGATAGCTGAATTTGACTCTACTGGTCACTAAGTATTGGAGATTTGATACATTTTTTCTTTAACGGCTACCCATAGAGCTAGGCTGTTAAAAGATTATCAGTTTGAAATAATTGTGATTAGATGAAATTTTAAACTCAATGGATGTACTCTATATCACTCATGTTGTAACTCATATCTTTCAAACCACAACCTAACTAGACCTTACCTTTCTAGACATAGAGCAAATATAGGATTTTTATGGGTTTTAAAAGAAATGTCTAGCCTATATGATCTTCATATTTTAGGCTCAAATTCATTAGAAATATCTAGTACTTCAAAGAATTATTGGGAAGGAAAAATCACCCAAGTTCATAAACTCTTTTTAATGATCAGATATTCCCAAACTTGACTCCAAAGGACAATTTTCATAAGCTAATCTCAACAGATCCCTCTTTTACTAGTAAATTATGTGGTAGTTATGGGGCAAAATGCTCTTGTGTTCTCCGGTCATCTCCAGATTGATTCAGGAATGATGGTCATAAAAGCAAGACCACTAACTTTAGAATGATCTCAACTACACATAAATATGATGGAATAAATATACAAAATAGTCTCTATGCTTTTTCTGTTTCTGTGTCTCCTGGTAGTCCTACAGCACAATTACAGATTAATTAGGGTGTAAAGCTAATTATTTATCCTTTTGTGCTCTGTCAACTCTTAAGCGACCACAAAAGCCCTATGGGGGATAATATCAAAGACAGCAACTGACATTGATTGGGTACTTCCCATGTACTGACACAGTGCCTAGCACATTCCCTACATCTTTTCATTTACTCTTTATGACAACCCAAGAGATGGTTTTTTGGTTGTAGAGACTGTGGCTTGGAAAAGCTAAATAATTTGCTAGTGAGGGGTAATACCAGGATTTAAACCCAGGTTCGTCTGACTTTACAAATTACTCTTAACCATTTAAAGTTATAGTTAAATTCGGCTGGGCACAGTGGCTCACGCCTGTAATCCCAGCACTTTGGGAGGCCGAGGTGGGTGGATCACTTGAGGTCAGGAGTTCGAGACCAGCCTGACCAACATGGTGAAACCCCGTCTCTACTAAAAATACAAAATTAGCCAAGTGTAGTGGTGCATGCCTGTAATCCCAGTGAGGCAGGAGAATCACTTGAACCCGGGAGGCGGAGGTTGCAGTGAGCCGAGATCACACCATTGTACTCCAGCCTGGGCAACAAGAGCGAAACTCTGTCTCTAAAAAAACAAAAACAAACTTATAGATTCAAATCCAGGTTTGTTTAATGTTAAAATGGACTATTGAAGATTGCACTTCGTTCTTAAAATTGGCAGAAAAAAATGCTTCAAATAACACCTATTAATGTATTTTATTTCCAGAGGACTCTCTCAAGTCTTGATTTATAGCCTATTCACTTTTACTTTACACACAATTATAACAGCTTCTCCGCTTTATCAATTGCTACTGGTGGCACAACTCTGAAAATAGGGAGAAGTCATTACTGAGAGCACAAATGAGATTAAAGAGAGAAAATTATGGAAATTACATGTAAAAAGTCAAAAGCACAGCTATTTGAAACCACTTAATGTGTTGGCATAATTCCTCCCATCTCACTCTTATATTGTGATATGGCACATGAGTGGTATCTATTATCAAAGATACTTATAAAAAATACATTAAAACTTGGGGGAGGCAATGCATGTGTGAGGGCAGTGAGTATATAGGAAATCTCTGTACCTTGCTTTTAATTTTGCTGTGAACCTGAAACTATTCTGAAAACATTGTCTTAAAAAAAATTGATCAAAACCTGCAGATGCCCCCCTTAACCAAATGATCAGGATTAATATCACCAGCAGTGAGATATATTGGCATCATGTGCCCCCTTATATGACACACTGCAAAGGGTACAACATCCCATCTGTGGCATTTTTGCCTCAAATGTACAACCTTAATGTACTCATGAGAAAATGTCAGACAAATCCAAATTGAGGGACATGCTACAAAATACCTGACTCGTACTCTTCAAGAGTCAAAGTCGAAAGACAAGGAAAAACTTAGGAACTATCACAAGTTGGAGGAAACTAAGGAGATGGGACAACTCAATGCCATGTGAGATCCTGAATTGGATCCTGCCACAGCAAAGAGAAAAACTGGGGAAATCCAAGTAAATGCTATAGTTACTGGCATTTTATCAGTGTCAATTTCCCAGTTTTGACAGTTGTACTAAGATTATGTAAGTTGTTAAGGTTAGGGGAAGCTTGGTGAACGGTTTAACAGAAACTTTGTACTATTTTTATAACTTTTCTGTATCCAAAATTATTTCAAAATAAAGAAATTTTAAATGGATCAAATTTGGTTCAGCATGCATATGGAGATACATATCTTAGAAACGTCTGCCTCAGAAATACTTAACACAAAAACATTTTCGTTCTTCATGTGAGGGCTAAACTTCAGATTTACTGAACACAAAGCTAGCACACAAATATTTGTTGGAAAATGAACAAAAAAATATTATATTCCCACTTAAGCCAAGTACTACATTGGCAATAACATTTTTAACCTTTAAAGCATTTTTAGATTTACAGAATTATTGCAAAGATGGTACAGAGGGTTCCCACATACCTCACACCCAGTCTGCCCTATTGTTCATAACATACCTCACATCTAATCTGCCCTATTGTTCATATCCTTTTTTTTTTTTTTTTTTTTTTGGAGACAGTCTCACTCTGTTGCCCAGGCTGGAGTGCAGTGGCATGATCTTAACTCACTACAACCTCCATCTCCCAGGTTCAAGTGATTCTTGTGCCTCTGCCTCCTGAGTAGCTGGGATTACAGGTGTGCACCACCATACCCAGCTAATTTTTGTATTTTTAGTAGAGAGAGGGCTTCACCATGTTGGCAAGGCTGGTCTCAAACTCCTGTCCTCAAGTAATCCGCCTGCCCACCTAGGCCTCCCAAAGTGCTGGGATTACAGGTGTGAGCCACCGTGCTCAGCCATATTGTTAATATCTTACATTAGTATGGTATATTTGAACAATGAAGATGCTCCATGCCAGATATTTCAATTTATGTCGTTGCTGATGCCACAGGCTCTTCAGACAGGCTTATTACAAGGATGATGACGAAGATCAACATGATGCTAATCATGCCCTTATTATTTATAATCATGGTACTGACTATGGGCCAGGTATTATAGTCACAGTTTTCATAAATCATCTCATTTAATTATCATAATAATGAAATTAAGTGGGTGCCTTTTCTTATTCCCACTAAATAGAAGAGGAGGCCGAAGCTCAGAAAGGTTAAGGAACATGCTCCAGATCCCCCAGGAGGAAACAGTAAAGCCAGATTCAAACACAGGACTGGTTTCTAAGTATACACTCTTAACTACTGCAGCTGTCAGTCAACCAAAACTTCCATGCAGCTGTTGAGCTAAGCTTTCTGTATCCTATACCTGCTCAGTTGGTTTTATTTAAAGTAACTAAAAGGTTTGCCTTCCCCTTAGATTCACTCATCTTTCCCTCCTACCCGTCAATAAGGCCTTTGGCACCTGTAACCTAACAGCTAGTCTCCCCTTTCAGGTGAACCGCGTTATCCATGGGTCTGATCAGTATACTTTGCACTGATTCCTATTACTGATAAAACTGTGGAACTGGACAAGACCCGGAGAAAAGCCACCAGCTACCTCCACCCTGGAGGGTGGTGTGGCTCCCCCTTAACCGGCAATGTTTGGGCCATATTTCAAAAAGTATCCTTTCCATATCACTCAGTGCAGGCCATCCTAGCACTTCTCAACCCTGGCTGCACATCAGAATCATTTGGGAAGCTTTTAAAAATCCCCAAGCCCAGTCAGCACCCTGCACAATTACATCAGAACCTCTGTGAGTGGGGCCAGGCATCGGCATTTTTAAAGCTCTCTAGGTGACTCCACTGTACAGTCAGGGTGAGAGCCACTGGGCGAATGCACATTTCCCCTCATCCAAAAAGAAGTCCAAAAGGAAGACCGTTGATGACTATGTCAAACACGGTGGACTCTGAGTACTGTATCTTGGCATTAGCCTCATCAAGTTAAACCACCCCACTGAAAACGGATGCAGGCCGCCTGTGCGGTATGACAAAACCTTTCTAAACAAGACACTGGCCCTTGTGATTTACTTCGTCCTACAATCTAAGGAATTGGAGAGAGAGGAACACAAATAACAGTGAAGGGAGAGTCTGCTCTTCTGCTCTAGAATTTCTCAGCATCGACGTCAAGCTTGTTAATATCTTTGGAGAAGAACCAATTATACAGGTGGATTAAAGAACAGACCATGAGTATGCCATTCTAAATTGTAAGTAATTTACTTTCTAAAGGGGATTAATTTATGCAGGACAACTAAGCATTAAGAAGCTACCATGTGGCACATTTACATTCCTATATAACATGTTACAAGGAGGTTCAAAGACCCAGAAAGTAACGGCAAACTGAAAACAGCATTTGTAACAAAAGCTTTTGATAGCACCTTATACTCTTCAATGGATGATATACATAATAGTTAAAACACTATTTTCCATGGGCCAGGAATTGTTCTATGCACTTCACATGTATGAAACTATTTAACACTCAATCATGCAAAGGAGGTATTTTATTGCTCCAGTTTTTCAGATCAGAAAATCAAGGCCCAGACATTAATTTAGAAGTAACTGGTATTTTAAATCTGGCAGTCTGACTCCAAAGTCCACTCTCTAAACCATAAAATGATACTAGTATATCCGATCTTCATGTTAGCATTGCAATATAAATATACAAAAGTATACAGAAGTCACTGCAGTACTGATGTGTGCACTGAGGCCTAGAGTGGTTCAGATATATGGTCACAGAACTTTTAAGGGCCCAAATTAGAATAGAGTCATCTCTTAACTTCCATCTCAAACCTCCTCCTTGCTATACCATAATTCTTTCTTAGGTGGCTACAGACAAATGCTGTCCAGCAAGGAAATTTTGGTGATGATGGAAATATACTGTATTTTGTCGTCCAACATAGTAGTCTCAAGCCACATGCCACCACTGAAGATTTTAAATGTAGTTACTGCGGTTAAAGAACTGAGTTTAACTTAATTGTAACTAATTTCAATTTAAACAGCTAGTGACCATCATATTGGAAAGGCAGCTACACAGACCATGAAAGGTCTATCAATTTTGGCCTTTACAATTACTTTTCAAACTAAATTTACTTCTAAAACTAGGCTCTGTTTCCACGATCATGTAACAGCTCATCAGTCTGTCTCAAGCCCTCCTGAAATAAAATAACACACCAAGAGGTTTACATAATACAAGCTTGAGCTCTGTGATCTTATTGGGTATTTGCCTGGCAAACTAACTGCAGCAGGCTCTGCTATAAGCTGGAATATGTGACTCACAAAATGGAGCTAAGTCAATAAAAATATTTCCCAAAGAAAAACTGTTACACATTTCCCTTCACACTGAGGATGTAGTTTGCTACCAAAGTGTTGGAAAACATTTCAAGGTAAGGCAAATGTGAACTCCACTCACCAATAACCAATCTCCTGGCTGACCTGAAATACTGTCACAAATTTGTGACATTTAAGACATTATTACCACCAGACGCCCTTCCCCAGGCTCCAACCACATAGGGCGTTATTTCCTTTGTCCTACCACTATTTTCTTTTCATAGAACAGAAAACTGAGGCCAAGACAAAGGTGAACAAACTTACCAAATCTATAGTGAATAGGCTTAATCTATAGTGAATCCAAGAATAAAATCCAAAATATTAACTTCTATTTCTAAAATTCAATTCCAAAAACACTGCTAAAGAAAGTACAATTTTTGTGTAGTTTCTCTACGGATGTATATTCCACTGCTGCAAAATCTCTATAGTTCAGACAGCCAAGAGATGCTGAACCAATAAAAGATGAAATTGTTGTTACTGTTTAAAGCACTTCATACACAGAATGCTTTAATAGCATCTAAAACCCAACTGCAGAAACTTGCTTTAACACCCCAAATCATCTGACCTCCTCCATTACTTTTGTTCTTTATGATTTTGATGTTAATATGAGGTTTGTGCCTAGAATAATTTGGTAAAAGACTAGGGAACAAGATGCTTTTGAAGCAATCCTTTTGATAGATACAACTGGAAAAAGGTCAGTATTTTTTCAAATTTGAAAAAAAAAATTAAAATGTTAATCTAAATAGAGAGCCAATAATGTGAAGGCAAAAGAGAGAACTGCTCAGGCAATGAAAGAAATAGTTGGGGCACTTAGCTTAGGGAGGGCAGGAATTCCTACTTTTCCTCAGTGGAAGGTTGGAACATTGTAAGAAACTGTCACTTCATTTTACAAGTGCCACTAGGATAATCATCGCCTTCTGCACTTGATACAATCTTGGCTATTTAAAAATGACTCCCCATATGGTTACTATAGGAAGAAAATTACAAATTTCCAGTTTGTTTATTTTGTTTCCGTATCTTGGCCTGAAGAAAACTCCACTTGACATCTGCAAAATCACTGAATCCATCTTATGTCAGTGTGAGGAAAATACAGCATATACTTTAGTTACCTTTTATTTAGATGAAAAGTATTAAATATTTGTAATCAAAAGTTTGTGTAGCTGAGAGCCATATGCTTATAATTAGAACATAGGAAGATATTAGATATTACCTTGAATAAACAGTTCAAGACAATTATAGCACGTCCCAGTCTTCCCTGTCTGTCTGTCTGTCTATCTATCTATCTGAGACAGGATCTCACTTTGTTGCCCAGGCTGCAGTGCAGTGTCACAACCTTGGTTCACTGCAGCCTCGACCTCCTGGGCTCAAGTGATCCTCCCACTTTAGCCTCCTGAGCAGCTGGGACCACAGGCATGCACCACCATGCCTGGCTAATTTTCGTATTTTTTTTTTTGTAGAGGCAGGATGTCACCATCTTGCCCAGGCTGGTCGAACTCCTGGGCTCAAGCAATCTGCCCACCTCAGCCTCCCAAAGTGCTGGGACTGCAGGCGTAAGCCACCATGCCCAGCCTCCATTCTTTTTAGATCACTACACTGCACCTGACCTTGAGGTAGGGTTAGGCCTCAGTGTTCAATGTAACTTCAAACTAGCATAATCTCATATTATGAAATATATCCTTTCTCAATTTACACTGGTCAAAACATGAATCAAAAGCAGAGGGTGAACCAACTTCAAATGCTAACCATAAACAGTTGGGTATCTTCTTGTTCTGTCTTGTTCGGTCTTAATTTTGGAGCATTTCACAAAATAACAAAATTTATACTCAACATGCTTTCATACTCTCAACTATGTGAAAAACTCTCCCTTTTCTCCATCATGAATTTTTCGAGACAGGGTCTCATTCTGTTGCCCAGGTTGGAGTGCAGTGGCATGAACACGGCTCTCCACAGCCTCAACCTCCCAGGCTCAAGCAATCCTCCCATCTCAGCCTCCCGAGTAGCTGGGACCACAGGCATGTGCCAACATGCCTGGCTAATTTTTTTATTTTTTATAGAGATGGGGTTTCGCCATGTTGCCCAGGCTGGTCCCGAACTCCTGGGCTCAAGAGATCTGCCCACTTCGGCCTCCCAAAGTGCTGAAATCACAGATGTGAGCCACTGTACCCTGCCTCATCATGGATTTCTTAATAGTTATACCATAAGCTACATGGGTCTTTCAAAGTTTTACATTTGCAATGTTAATGTGGAACATTAATTGCCAGTGTATCATTATTCTGAAAGAAAAATCAAATTATTCTAACATCTGAGATTTTTAAAAAATCTGAAGGTTCATGTGATATGTTTTTACTAGTTTTACTTTTTTTATACATAAGTATGGCAGATGCTCTTCACTGTTTTCCAATATCTACTCCCCCATCTTCTATGGTAATAATATTTTTAGCTGGCTGCCCAGCTAAAGATTACATTTTCCAGAGTCTTTTGAAGCTAGGTGTGATTCTATGACCAAGTTCCGGCTACTGGGATGTGAAAAGTGACAGATGCAACGTCCACAGAATGGCCTTTAAAGAGAAGGGCCTGAACTCCCTTTTCTTCTTCCTATGAGCAGGGATGTGAAGGTGATTGCAGGAACTGCAGCAGCTGTCTTAGATCATGAAATGGAAGCCACGTGTTGAGTATGATAGAATAAGACAGAGCCTAGGTCTCTGACCCCTTTGGGGAGGAGTGTCCCTGTGCCAGCTTGGACTTCCACATCAGAGGTATGGAAACTTCTGGCATGCTGAATAACATTTTGGGGGGTTCTATTAGAGCAAACAAATCTATATTGTAGCTAACAGAGTATAATGAAGTAATGAAATTAGGTGTGTTTTATTAATAATTACAAAAGCATCCATACAGCAAACTGTTCTTTCAAGCCACCTGGCAGCCAAAGATGCTCCCACTCTTCCTTTGGAAGTGCCTCCAGAGAGGATCAACAATTTACATTATTTTTACTGAATCCTAAAATGACAGACCTCTGGGGTGTCATCCACCTTACTCATCAGATCTGGCCCAATTGATTGTGACTACTTTCCCCAGATCTAACCCACCAACAAAAGTGTGCCACAGCTGGGCACGGTGGCTCATTCCGGTAATCCCAGCACTTTGGGAGGCCAAGACAGGAGGATCAGTTAAGCCCAGGAGTTCAAGACCAGCCTGGGCAACATAGTGGGACCCCATCTCTACCAGAAATACAAAAATTAGCTGGGCGTGGTGGTGTGCCCCTGTAGTTCCAGCTACTTGGGAGGCTGAAGTGGCAGGATCACTTGAGCTCAGGATCTGAGGCTGCAGAGAGCTGTGACTGTACCACTGTACTCCAGCCTGGCCAACAGAGCCATACCCCGTCTCTAAAAAATGTGTAAAAAAAAAAAAAAAAAAAAAAGGTGTGCCTGTGCCATCATTGGTACCATTTTAAAATGAGCCACAAGTTCCCCTATTCTCTCTCCTGTACTGGCTGATGAAAACAGGTAGGAAAAATGGCATTCTCCATTCTCTCTCTCTCTCAGCAGGTCCCTTTGTGGTTATGAACACCAACACCCAACAAACCAAATCAATCATGCCTTTAAATGACACTGACTGCACCCCCTCCATCAGGAGGAGGTGAGAAACACAGCTGGAGCCAGAATTCTTGGGCTTAAATACTGGCCTTGCCACTCCCTAGCCATGTGACCTCGGTTGTCACATCTGTGATACAATGAGGATTACATTAGTTGATTCAGGTGAAACAGGACTTACACATAGTAAGGACTCAGTAAATTTTTTTGCGCGTATATATGTATCATGTATATGTGCATATAATATGTATATATGTGTACAATGGTTGTTATATACACACCACATACTTGTATATGCATGTCTGCCTGCATATCTGCCATTTTATAATAGGTATGTATGTACATGTATATATGTATTACGTATATGTGTGTGTATATATCCCTTCATTTCTTGACTGATATACACATTCTGATTTCTGTGAAAATCAAGTTGATTCATAAGAAGCATCCTTTTGTCCCAAATTCAAAACTCTCTCAAAGCTCATTCTCCTGCATTTGGAACATATCTAATAATTAAGTGCATCTGCCACTTAAATATCCCCTAAGAGGCTCTGAAAGGCTCGGCCGGATTTTCAGCTGCTCTATCCAACCTCAGGAGGTATACAGCAGGAAGGGCGCCTGAGGCAGCAGTCTCTGGGCCTGCCTCATGAGGCTAGAGCTATAATTTTATTTTCTCAGAGACCAAGGGAGGTTGTCTGAGCCATCAAAAAAAGATGCCAACACAGAAATACACACACACTCTGCCAATGAAAGAGTGCCATAAAGGCAGAGATGGATAAAAGAGAAGCTCACAGTGGAAGCAGTTCTCTTCCTACACTGTCCCCAAGTTTTTGGAATGGATATCTAAACAGAAAGAAAAAACCAACACAGAATTGTCATTGCTCACGTCTCCAAAGTAGGAGACTTTGGAGTCACCAATGGGGATACACAATGCAATTCAGGCTCAGATATATCTACATAAATTGTTATTCCCTGCTTGTCTCAAATTTGAAGTGCGTTGGAAACCCCAGTCATCTGCAAAATAGTCACGTATAAAGACTCTCAGTGGTTAAGGGCAGCCACAAAGCCCAGCACCTTCCTCCTGAGGTAGAGCTGTTCCCAGGCACCCACGCCAAGCTATTGGATGGAAACTAATGCAGCATGTCTGCACTGTTTAAGTTTGTTTGAAAAGAACATGTATTAGTTTATTAATGTGTGTGTGTGTGTGTGTGTGTGTGTGTGTGTGTGTGTGTAAGGAGGCTCCATCTTAAAAAATAAGGCAGCAGGTTGGCTAAAATGGGACTTCTGTGACAGCAGAGGAGAGATACAAATAGATCGAAACTTTCAAGTCCACTGTTATAAATTCAAGTGAAAAGCCAGTAGGCACATCTGCCTTATAACTTCTGCTAGCTTAATATGCCCCATATCACACCAAAGTACAATTCATCACTGTGCCCATGAATTATCAACAAACATGAGGCCAGGTCCAGTGGCTCATGCCTGTAATCCCAGCACTTTAGGAGGCTGAGGCAGGCAGACAGCTTGAGCTCAGGAGTTCGAGATCAGCCTGGACAACATGGCAAAACCCCATCTCTACAAAAAACACAAAAATTAGCCAGATGTGGTGGTGCACAACTGTGGTTCCAGCTACTTGGGAGGCTGAGGTGGGGGAATCGCTTGAGCCCAGGAGGCCGAGGTTGCAATGAGCCATAATCACTGCTACTGCACTCCAGCCTGGGCAACAGGGTGAGATCCTGTCTCAAAAAGAAAAGAAACATTCCACTAAGGTTGTTTCACTCTTAACTTGGCAAAAACACATGTAAACTATTTTTTAAAACTCAAAATCTTAAATGATAGAAATCTAAAATATCTTTAGTGCCCTAGAGCAATAACCTTCTGTTAGTTCTCCAAACAATTTATGTGATCAAGCCATTTGCTGAAATGCCAGTTAAATGAGGAGTGAGTCACTGGACGTGAGCAAATTATGAACACAGGTTTTTACAGCAATCAAACTGTAGATATTTTTAAATCAAGTAAGCGCAGCCTGCCATTTTAAGTACAAAGTTACCATGGGAACAATAACATATACCTTGTCTCCTTGACCCTAAAGATAATGTCTGTAGGTAATAAATTTATAGACATAATTAAATGAAGCATCGTATCTGAGACTAAAATATGTGAGACTAGAATATGTCCACATTCAAACAATGACTTAATCCATTTTCAGGCTCCTGTGATGCTGTTACCAGGCTTCTGAAGAAGGAAGTACCAAGTAATGACAGTGTCTTATTATGGCATTATAGTTACTCATATCATTTATGGTTTATTCTGTGACACAACTCATGGTTTTAATCAGTTTCGTTGCCATTCACTTCCATTTTCCTAATTGCATTAAACTATCAGTGGTAATTTGCTACATTCAGAAAATGCCCTTTCAAAAAGGCCAGATTCTTCCCAACTGAATACGTTTCAGCAGGATGTTCACTTGCAAAAGTAGCGACATTTAGATATAACTAAAATCTGAAAATTGTTAATACAGTCATTAAGATAGCCAGCTACTATGTAAAAGAAAAGAGAAATGCATGTTACATATTCATATGTGGTAGAAATGTAGACCAGTATTAGGACTATCCTGTCACCAGAAGAAAGTGCGTTTTTGAACACAATAAAAATTGCTATTGTTTTGCTTATAACCCTTATAATTTTTCCGCCCACCAGACTGTGGGCTCTTCCTCAAGGACAAGGACTGTCTTATTCATCACTGTAGCCCCTGCACTTGCAATTGCACTTGGGCAATGAACGTGCACAACGACAGTTGGGAAGCTGGCTAGGAAAGCAAGCTATGCCTCAAATAATGCCTTTGATGGTATCAACAAAAGCAGCAACATCACAGCAAATAACTACCTTGGTCATTAAGAGCTTGGGCTTCAGCTGTGGCAGTCTTATTTTTCCAGAGGCATCACTGTAGCTGACTATGACAATCACAAAAGAGTAGATCTTTTCTGTAGCATGTATAGAGACATTTCCTCATGGGAATGAAAGCACAGAAAACTCCCAATTACCTGGGAAAGATGATATATAGTTGGGCAAATTTTCCTTTCTTTCTCACTTATTGTATTAGCCCATTCTCACACTGCTGTAAAGAAAACACCCGAGATTGGGTAATTTATTTTAAAAAGTTTAACTGGCTCATGGTTCTGCAGGCTGTACAGAAAGCATGATGCTGGCATCTGCTTGGCTTCTGGGGAGGCCTCGGGAAACTTACAATCACGGCAGAAGACAAAGGGGAAGCAGGCACCTAACATGGCCAGAGCAAGACCAAGAGAGAGAGCAGGGAGGTGCCAAACACTTTTAAAAGATCAGAGCTCATGAGAACTATCAGGAGGACAGTACCAAGGCAGATGGTGCTAAACCATTCATGACAAATCCACTCCCACAATCCTTCCACCAGGCAGCATTGCCAATGCTGGGGATTACATTTCCATATGAGATTTGGGCGGGGATACACATCCAAACTGTATGACTTACCCTCTTAACTCCCTTCATTTCCTTATTTGGAGAAATCTCTTCAACTTTAGGGAAGGGTCAATTGCGGCCAAAGTTTTCATCAGAGAGTTCAAATATCGTTATACCAGCACAACAGACATCACAAAGCGGGATTAGGCAAACAGTCTGGAGGTGGGATGGAAGGTAAGAAGAAGAGAGTTTCCTGACTGGCCAATATGTAGCTCTATGACTTCTGTTTAATATTTTCAAGAACACACACCTGCTTTCAAATACAAAGATAATACTATAATAAACAGGGTTCTGATTTCTTGCTGTTTCATATTAGGATGAACTCAATTCTGGGAAACCAAGGTATGCATTTCTACATTCTTAATTTCATCCTCAAAGACCAACATCTTTATTTTAAATAATGTTCATGAATGTTTAACAGTTTTACATAAACAATGAAAAAATAAGACTTTCAAACAACCTGTAGTATGTGAGATTATATTGAATTTTTCTCACAAAGATGTTAAAGATGCACCAACTGAAAATTTATAGTAAGATAGAGATCCAAATATATTTAGGAATAAGTAAACTGTATAAACATAAGCACCTGACATTGAATAATTATCTGAAAATGACATTTTTACTGACTTCAACTAAATATATGGGTGAAAACTTTCCTGCAAATATCTATTACAATCAATTTTATACACCTATATTTAGTTACTGAGAAGCATTTATGAAATATAAATTAAATGACAGACTGAACATAACCGAGAATTTCTCCCATGTCATCCTTAACAATTACCCAAACAGGAATACCATACGCCTGCAGAAAAGAGAACACACAGAAATCAATACTTACAGAGGAGAGAAACTGGGGGATGAGTCTTTGCTTCTCCAAAGGAGCTGTTGAAGGACAGCATCCTCTGGCTCTTAAGTATTTTGGAGAGAAACCCCAGGTCTAAAGCCAGAGTCCTTTGAAGACTGGTCAGAATGAGACTATAGCTACATCTGCAAAGTTTCAGAAGAAAAAGAGGCCAGGCGCAGGTGCTCAAGCCTGTAATCCCAGCACTTTGGGAGGCCTAGGCAGGTGGACCACTTGAGTTCAGGAGTTCGAGACCAGCCCGGCCAACATGGTGAAACCCCATCTCTAC
Source organism: Homo sapiens (assembly GCF_000001405.40). Lineage (NCBI taxonomy): Eukaryota > Metazoa > Chordata > Mammalia > Primates > Hominidae > Homo > Homo sapiens. The sequence continues at coordinate 13,920,101 of NC_000023.11, forward strand.
TAAAAATACAAAACTAGCCAGGCGTGGTGGCACGCACCTATAATCCCAGCTAGCTACTCGGGAGGCTGAGGCAGGAGAATCACTTGAACTCAGGAGGCGGAGGTTGCAGTGAGCCAAGACTGGGCCACTGCACTCCAGCCTAGGCAACAGAGTAAGACTCTGTCTCAAAAAAAAAAAAAAAAAAAAAAGAAAGAAAGAAAGAAAAAAAAAGAAAGAAAAATAGGCAATTTATTTGTCCTACTTCAGTATCAGGCTGGAAACGGCCCTGGTAGGGGTGGTGGGGTTGTATTTAGATCACTACCTTCTTCTATTAGAACCACAGGAAAATGCTATATTTGTATACCACAAAGGGTCAAATATTGTCTATTTCATAATCTGAACCTAACATCTTCACCAAGGATTGGGAAAGCCAGGGAAACACGATACGTAAACCAGCCATTGTACTATTCATTAGCAGCTCTTAGAAGAAAATAAAAAGATTAAACCTATTGCTTGAAATTAATGGGTAAGGCCGGGTGCAGTGGCTCACGCCTGTAATCCCAGCACTTTGGGAGGCTGAGGAGGGCAGATCACAAGGTCAGGAGATAGAGACCATCCTGGCTAACACGGTGAAACTCCGTCTCTACTAAAAATACAAAAAATTAGCCGGGTGTGGTGGCGGGCGCCTGCAGTCCCAGCTACTCGGGAGGCTGAGGCAGGAGAATGGTGTGAACCCCGGAGGCAGAGCTTGCAGTGAGCCGAGATCGCGCCACTATACTCCAGCCTGGGCGATAGAGTGAGATTCCGCCTCAAAAAAAAAAAAAAGAAATTAATGGGTAAATGAAAAAAACAGTTCACTTCAATGTTTTATGCTGTCTTCTTTTGTTACATGAATATTTGAGAGTTTGCTAGAAAGAGGCTTAAATAGAAACTTCCAAGTACTATTTTCCAAAGCTAATTACAATTCAGTTTTATATCATATATGCTATCATCATTTATGTTTCATTATCATAAAGAATGCCTTGTAAGAGTTTAATGAATATCAACTGACTTACACAAGTAGGCCCACATCAGCAATAGTAATGAATGAAAACCAGTACTACGTCTGTCTGCATCAGGAAAAGATTTGTCCTGAAAGATGCCCTTCAGAAAGTACCTCCTGAACTGGGCAACTCCTATCTATACCTGGGTCTCTTTATTTGCTGTCTAGAATTTTTTGCCCTATTCCAGCCCAAATCCCAAACCTTCCTACAGGTTATATGTTTTAAAGGTTTGCAATGATGGTCTTACACTACTTTAGTAGAAGAGTGGGGCTTAGCCCACAGGGGTTCTTGGCTTTGCCCAGGGAAGATTTCAAGGGCTAGCCAGAGGTAGAGGAAAAAACAGCTTTATTGAAGAGGAGATGTTACAGCTCTGTGACTGCTCCTGTAGAGCAAGGCTACCCCATGGCCAGAGAGTAGCAGCTCAGAGCAGTTTTGCAACCACATTTATAACCCCCCCCCTTTTTTTTTTTTTAGACAGAGTCTTACTCTGTCACCCAGGCTGGAGTGCCGTGGCGCAATCTCAGCTCACTGCAACCTCCGCCTCGCGAGTTCAAGCAGCAATTCTCCTGCCTCAGCCTCCTAAGTAGCTGGGATTACAGGCGTGTGCCACCATGCCCAGCTAGTTTTTGTATTTTTAGTAGAGACGGGGTTTCGCCATGTTGGTCACGCTGGTCTCAAACTCCTGACCTCGTGATCCACCTGCCTCGGCCTCCCAAAGTGCTGGGACTACAGGCGTGAGCCACCGTGCCCGGCCTATACCCACTTTTAATAATATGGAGGTTAAGGGGTATTACATGCAGAAATTTCTAGGGAAGGGGTAGTACCTTTTAGGTCATCAGGTCATTGCCATGTAAAGGGGAGGTAATGCCCAGGTGTTGCCATGGCAATGGTAAGCTGACATGGCACACTAGTGGGCATGTCTTACAGAAAGCTGCTTCCACCCTGGCCCTGTTTTACCTAGTCCTCAATTTGGTCCAGCATCTGAGCCTGTCTCTGGAGTAGAGTCCCGCTTTCTACCTCACTTCAAAACTCAGTCTGCCTTATTGTTTCTTAACCTCAGCACTCTTGACATTTGGGGCCTGATAACTCTTTGTTGAGGAGAGGCTGTCCTGTGCACTATAGGACGGTTAGCAGCAACCCTGGCCTCCACCCACTAGATGCCAGGAGCACCTCCCCATCCCCCGAATCTGTAACAACCAACAAGGTCTCCAGACATTGCCAACTGTCCCTTGAGGGGGACAGAATCTACCCTAGTTGAGAACCATGAGTCTAACTGACAAACTCTTCTTGAGACAAAAAGAACCTCGCCTTTGCTTCTTAAGGAATCTGAAGTCTCAATTTCTCCCCAGTCCTTGACTTTCCAAACATTACCTGTAGGTACACGAGGGAGAGACTGCCAGGCGGAAAGCCCAACGCCTTCAAGCCTCCAACCAGGTCGACCTTTTGAATCAACAGCCCACTCTACGTCACAGCTACTTCACATATGAGTTTTTCTTTTTAATGCTATGTCACTTGTCATGTTGGGCTGAGGAAACTGCAATTGAATCACAGAGTAGAAATACCACCACTTTTACTCAAATCCCTAAATGCTAAAATAAGATAAAAAATAAACTTCACTTTCACATCCAAATTTAGACTTCAATTTTAAATTCTAGAGTTTCTACATTGAGAGACCACCCCCAAGACAGAAACATATGACAAAAGAAGTTAATTTTAAAAAGGGATTTTTATGCCTGAGGCCTTTCAGGATTACACAAACCTAAGTGTACCTGGCCGGGTGCGGTGGCTCACGCCTGTAATCCCAGCACTTTGGGAGGTCGAGGCGGGCAAAGCACCTGAGGTCAGGAGTTTGAGACCAGCCTGGCTAACACAGTGAAACCCATTTCTACTAAAAATACAAGAAATTAGCCTGGTGTGGTGGTACGCACCTGTAATCTTAGCTACTTGGGAGGCTGAGGCAGGAGAATAGCTTGAACCCAGGACGCAGAGGTTGCAATAAGCTGAGATCACGCCATTGCACTCCAGCTTGGACAACAAGAGTGAAACTCCGTCTCAGAAAAAAAAAAAAAACCTAAGCATACCTAAGTGTGCTGGCTAGTGGGGGATACTGCTGCCCAGGGACAGCAGGTGACATGTAGAAAATGTCTGGCAGTCCAGTTTGGTTGTAGCCATCATCAGCAGACAGGGAATGGCAGCACCCTGTGAAAAATCACATTTCCAAAGAGATGTTTTAGGAGAATCTACATTTGTGATTTTTGTTGCCCTTAAATAAACAAAAGTTTGAGGCCTTGTTGAGGAATAAGAATATTTCTGTGAAGTGATGGCTAACAGCCACACATATAATCTCATTTGACAGCTGAACAAACTGCTTTCCGGAATAAATCAAGCTCTTGCTACAGCCCAAGTGCTGGCCCCTTCTTCGCAGGGTGAGCAGCTATGTAAAATCTGCCAGGAGAAGTTTTCCATTAAATGTCTTAGGGAAACTAGGTAATCTTGAATTGACCAAGGAAATTTCATTATCATGAATAACATCTCCAAACATGGAAGTAATGTTTGAACAGAAGAGCTCCAATTAAATCTTTCCTGGGTTACTTTAGCTGTATCGCTCTAAGATAATAAAAACTGGCCTTTTTTCTTTCTTTCAACCAAGAATTTGCATCTTGAATGTAAACTTGGTCTTTGTAATGGTGCACATCAAGTCATATTTTTCTTATAGAAGAAATCTGCATTTTAACATATTAAGGATTTTTATTTTCTTTTTTATTTTCTTATGTTATGATATGGTGAAGGTTGGTTTAAGTAAAAATATCTCATTTCACTTTAGTTCACCCTCCAAGGCTCCTCCCGGGCATTTTACCTCCACTGAGTGGCACTGTGGGTCTTCCACCTGTTTTATCCGTAACGTTTTCCACATGGGATCATGACAGGTGTTACCTTGTTGACTATCCTCAATGAAGGCAGAGTGCCTTGAGGGCAGAAACTGTTACACGTCATCACTAGCCAACACAGAGTACAATTGCTACACAGCAGACTCATCTGCATATAACCTTAATTCACCTGCATGGGACCAAATCACTTACCGGGTGTGAAAATCATGACTTAACCATCCTTCTATTACAAGCTTAGCACTCAGTCTAATAAGTATTTGGTGAATGGATAAAATCGATCCTTTATTTTTTATTTTTATTCTTTTTTGAGACAAGGTCTCACTCTGTCGCCCAGGCTGGAGTGCAGTGGCGCAATCATGGCTCACTGCAGCCTTGATCTACTAGGCTCAAGCAATCCTCTCACCTCAGCCTCCTGAGTAACTGGGACTAAAGGTGCGTATCACCGGCCAGGCTAATTTTTAAAATTTAGTTTAATAGAAACAGGGCCTCATCATGTTTCCTAGGCTGGTCTCAAACTGCTAGGCTCAAGCGACCCTCCCACCTCGGCCTCTCGAAGTGCTGGGATCAGGAATGAGCCTCCATGCCCGGCCACAACCACCTTCAACGGAAGGATATTCCAATATCTAACTCAAACTCTATTTCCTCTTTTCTTGTATTCTGCATAAATATCTAAAAACAGGATCCCATCTTCAGGACTCCTGTGGACTTTGATGAGGTCCCTTCTTAGCTAAATTGTGAACTCTATCACTGTTTGGAAGTTTTAACATTCAACATGTGACTCCCAGGACTCATGGGCTCCCTGCTCTTGGAGAAAATATCAGGCAAGCAAAATTAATTGTGGTATGTTACCCACTAGCTTTGTCTTCCATTGGCAAACAGATTTTATTCTTGAATTAGTAGAAGAACTGATTTGACTTCTCATTCTGCATCAATATGACAATGAAATCAATATCTTTCATGAAAATACTACTAGTTGGAAAATATAGCACAAGCAAGCAGCTAAAACTCAGCTTAGAAACTGAGTTTTCCCTCAGTGATGATGGATTCTGTTCTCTTCCAGGAAGAGATGAAATTCTATTCAAAGGATGTAGCCCATGATGCATCCCATACGTTTGCTACTCAGCAGGTTCTGGGACATAGTCACAGAGTTACCATATACAGCTCTTATGACCAGGCTGGTATGTGATAACTCAGAATCAGCTTCCCTTCACAGTTTCTATGCTAATCTGAACAAGTTTGTCCATCCAGCTGGACTTTCAGAAGTCACAGGTCTATGGAAGGGAACCATGGCATTGCATGGAATTAGATTTAACCCTAATTGCTTTACTTTTTTATTTTTTAGAAACAGAGTGTCATTCTGTCACCCAGGCTGGAGTGCAATTCATAGTTCACTGTAACCTCAAAATCCTCAGCTCAAGCAATCCTCCCACCTCTGTTTCCCAAGTAGCTGGAACTACAGGCAGGCACCACCATGTCTGGCTTTTTTTTTTTTTTTTTGGTAGAGATGGGGTCTCGCTATGTTGCTCAAACTCCTGGCCCCAAGTGATCCTCCTGCCTTGGCCTCCCAAAGCACTGGGATTACCTTACATTTTACCTTTAAAAAATGCCACAAAAACTATGAGGGACCTTGAAATAAAATTTTTAAAGGTATGCAAAAACATCTTGGGGTACAAAGGAAAATCTAAATGTATGAAGAGATATACCATATACACAAATGAAAGACTTAATATAGTAAATACATTGACTATCATGAAATTATTCTGGCCAGGCGCCGTGGCTCACACCTCTAATCCCAGCACTTTGGGAGACCGAGGCAGGTGGATCACGAGGTCAGGAGATCGAGACCATCCTGGCTAACATGGTGAAACCCCATCTCTACTAAAAATACAAAAACATTAGCCAGGCATGGTGGCGGGCGCCTGTAGTCCCAGCTACTCAGGAGGCTGAGGCAGGAGAATGGCGTGAACCCAGGAGGCGGAGTTTGCAGCGACCCGAGATCGCACCACTGCACTCCAGCCTGGGCAACAGAGCGAGACTCCATCTCAAAAAAAAAAAATTATTCTATAAGTTCACTGCAACCCCACTCAAAATCCTGACAGGTATGTTTGTGGAGCATAAAACGCTGATTCCAAAAGCAAAGGATCGCACTTTGGGAGGCCGAGGCAGGCAGAGCACGAGGTCAGGAGATCGAGACCATCCTGGCTAACGCGGTGAAACCCCGTCTCTACTAAAAAAAAAATACAAAAAATTAGCCGGGCGTAGTGGCGGGCGCCTGTAGTCCCAGCTACTCGGGAGGCTGAAGCAGGACAATGGCGTGAACCCAGGAGGCGGAGCTTGCAGTGAGCCCAGATTGCGCCACTGCACTCCAGCCTGGGTGACACAGAGCGAGACTCCATCTCAAAAAAACAAACAAACAAAAAAAAAAAACACACAAAAAAAGCAGAGGATCAAGAATAGGTCACTTTTAAATAAGAGCAAAAGGGGAAAATTTCTCCTAAGAAATAGCCAGGCTTACTCTAAATCTATAGTAATGAAGACAGTGTAATAGTAGCACAGAGATGCCAAAACAGATCAAGGAATAGAATGAAGTCCATAGATGTACTCACACATATAGTAAGGAAGTACAGATATAGATATTATCGGGAGGAAAGAGTGAATTATTAAGTGCATGGTATTTCTGTATAGGAAATAAACAAATTTAAAAATAGCTTTCTATCTAAAACTATACCAAAAAATAGAATCCCAATGGAATAAAGGCTGAAAAGTGAAAAGCGTGATTTTAGAAAAACTTTCTTTTAGAAAATACTGAGGATTAGAAGAACATTTTCATGACTTTGGGGATAGAAACAATTTTAAAACAAGGCAAAGATAAAAAGCACAAGTCATAAAAAATTAAAGGAAAAGATTGATAATTAGGACTTTATTACAATAAAAAAGATTTAGTACAACAAAAGATGTATTCAACCAAGTTAAAAGATAAGCCATAGAGAGGAAGATGATATTGAAAACACATTTTAACTAAGGATTAGTATACAGAAGGCATAAAGAACTACTACAAATCAAGACAAATACAAATAAGGATCTAAATGGAAGAGAAAACCCAAATGACCAATAACCTACACAAAACTTTCAACCTCTCTAGAGAAATTCAACATAAAAAAAAAAACAATGAAATACCACTTCACACCTATCAGATATTTGAAAAAATAAACAATGTGACAATAGCAAATGCTGGTAAAGATACAAAGAAGCTGGAATGTTCATTCACTCCTGGTGAGAGTATAAATTGATACCACCACTTGAGAAGCAGTGGTAACACCATACGATTTAAAGCTAGTTCAGTGTGGTGACAAAGCATTCATTTTGCTGACTGCATCATTTACTCTGGTTAAGAAGATGACAAAGTTCCTCACTGAAGGAACATAGGCAAAGTATTATTGTCTAAGTCCAAACAAACGAGAAGAAAAGTCAACTGGCAAACCACAATTTCCTATGTAGTTCCATTTTCAGGATGAGAACCAAAAATCATCCCAGGCCTTTGGGCCTTTGTCCACACCTCTACTCCATTTGGAATATCCACTAGCCAAAGATTCACTAACTACTGCTAATTCAAACAATTCCTAAAATTTCACCTTCTACAGGAAACTAATTGGGAGGAGGCAGGCCTCAACATCTATTACATCCTTAAGTCCTGAAGTTAGCAAGCATTCACGTTGATCAAATCCTGAATAGGTATGCAACACTTACAGCTTTGTCTTCATTCACAACTCCTCAAAATGTACTTTCCATTTCTGAAGGGGATAATGGGGACACTTTATTTTTGTAATCTCTCCAGCTGTATACATGTTTTCATGTATCTATCTCATCTTTCATCAAGGATTTTCAAAGTCCTTCTCACAGCTGCTGTGTCAATGCTTTCCACTTAAAATAGAGGGTAGGAACCAATGATATGTGTACTTCCTAGTACGGTTCTACACACGAAAGCATTTAATAAATGCTTTTAACCATAATGATTTAGAAGCAGATCTCTTTTCCAGACAGAAAACATCCTCCTGTTTCAAAATAATGTTATCAAATGTTGGGCAAGCCACACCAGTCACAAGAGCTCATACTGTATTATTCCATTTATATAAAGTGCAAAGCTCTGCTGACAGAAATTAGGGGTGATTAGCCTTGATCAGGTATATCTGTAAGGCAGCCTGAGGCGGCTTCTAAGGGGCTGGTAATATTCTGCTTATTAATCTATAACTGCTGGTTACATTTATAAAAACTTATTAAGCTGTACACTTATGATTTGCCCACTTTTCGTGTACACATATTATACTTCAATAACAATTTTTAATGAGTTTACGATATTTGTGCCTCTTACAAAACATCTAAAAATATTTGTGACATCATATAATAGAGCTCAAAACAGTTTTTAGTAAACCGGTACAGTGGCTTTGCAAAATGGTAAGAATTCATAGGATGGAAATTCATCCCTTTAAGGTCCCAAATTCTTTTTAATTACCATGGAAACTGTCAGAATATGCCAAATGAGAAAACAAAAAGGAAAATATAAAGTACTGCATCAAATCACATTATCTTAAGAGCTTGACTTACATTGCTAATTACATTTCCATTCTTTGCCCATTGTGTGAAGGAACAGATGCCTGAATTTAAGCACCCATCTTAAAATCCACCATTTAAACATTCTTTTCGGGAAGACATTGTGAAACATTTCTAAATCTAAAACAGTGACCCAATGCACATACAATATAGCAGGTTTTCTAGGCTCCTTCTGACCCTCGCTTCCAATGTTCTTGTTCTTTTTGCGCTGGAACTATTTTGCAAGTATGGTCAGATGTCTCAGAAAACATTGACTTATAGTCTCCATTTGCAGGGAGGAGTCTAGGTTGTGGGGGCTGGGATGTAGGAATGGCAGAGATCAATGGCTATAGAAAACGGATCTCTAAACAAGGGGGAAATCAGTCCTTTCTCTTCCAACTCCTGCATCTCTCAAACACATGAACAAACGTAATGAAGACATGACTAAGGACGGAACGTGCAGGAAGGTTGCCTTAAGGGCTTAATCTGGTTAGATTTGATTACAGCTAAGAAGATGAATTCTAAATTTGGAAAGGCCATCAAGGTAACTAAGGATGTGACTAGATCCTTCATGTCTTTCCACTTAATGAGAACAAAAGATGATGAAAACTATTTTAGTAAGCAAAAGGATCTTCACAGATTCAGTCCTTTCAGAGATAAGGTGCACTAATCATTAGAAGTTACCAAGGAAAGCCAGGCACACTATTTCCCCAGGAGGTTGGCCTCATTATCGAGATGGTTTAGGCACCATTTTACTCCAAGGAAGAATGACTTAGGTGGTCTGCAAAGCTCCCCATTATATCTCCAGATTCTCTGATGATGTAAGAAAAAGATTAAAAAAAAAAAAACTTCCTTCAACTAAAAAAAACCAAGCATTCCTTTTGGAAAGAAAAACCTTTTAGACAAGAAATCCTCCCATTCTGCAGATGTGCTCAACCAAGTTCTCAACAATGCTACTACTCAGATTTTATGATATTGTGAGAAACAAAAGGTTTTCAATCCCTCTTACCCTTTAAGTAGTGGTAATCAATATGGTGCTCCCCTCCTCCCTCCCTGGGTTATCTGGCAATGTCTGGAGACATTTTTGGTTGTTACAACTAGAGGACTGTTACAACATGTAGTATGTAGAGAACACAGATGCTGCAAAACACTCTATAATGCGCAGGACAGCCCTCATACTCCCCCAACAAAGAATCACCCAGCCCAAAATGTCAATAGTGCTGAGGTTGAGAAACCCTGCTCTAAAACTATACTTAGAAAGGAAGAAAAAAGGACTTCTTTTATTTTAGTATCTATCTCCAGTTGGTCCAAAGAAGAAAATAGAATTTAACAGTCCTACAAAAACTAAACAAATAAATACCCAAGCAAATACTAAGCTCAACTCAAGATCTACTCTAACTCAAGATTGTTTATAATAGACCTTGTTATACCAAGTTCAAATATACTGAATTATATACAGCCATTAAGAGTAAAATTCCAAAGATCAGGTTTAAATACTTTTTCTTTTGGCAGATTTTATTTTTTTCTAACCAAGTAAGCAATTCTTACTTTTAGATACTTAAATTCTATTTTTGATTACTAGAAAATGTACTCCTTTTTCATTAAGTGGTCAACTTACCTATCAGATATAATTATTACATGTAAGTATCAAGCTATTAAAATAAATTTTAGAAATATTGATCAAGAAAAATAATGAGAATACCAATTACCTACATCACTAGAAATGAACAAGGGAGGCCGGGCACGGTGGCTCACACCTATAATCCCAGCACTTTGGGAGGCCGAGGCGGGCAGATCACGAGGTCAGGAGATCGAGACCACCCTGGCTAACACGGTGAAACCCCGTCTCTACTAAAAATACAAAAAATTAGCCAGGCGTGGTTGTGGGCACCTGTAGTCCCAGCTACTCGAGAGACTGAGGCAGAAGAATGGCGTGAGCCCGGGAGGTGAAGCTTGCAGTAAGCCGAGATCGTGCCACTGCACTCCAGCCTGGGTAACAGAGCGAGACTCCGTCTCAAAAAAAAAAAAAGAAACGAACAAGGGAACATCACTACAGATACTATAGATAACAGGATTAAACAGATAATACAAAATATTATGAACAACTTTGTGCCAACAAATAACTTAGATAAAATGGACAAAGCCCTTGAAAGCCACAATTTACCAAAATTGAAACAAAGAGAAAGTCTGAATATTCCTCTGCTAAAGAAATACACTTCATAACTTAAACATTTCTACAAAGAAAACTCCAGACCCAACTGGCTTCACTGGTAAATTCTTGCAAATATTTAAGGAAAAAAAAATGGCTGGGCACAGTGGCTCACACCTTTAATCCCAGCACTTTGGGAGGCTGAGGCAGGCAGATCACCTGAAGTCAGTAGCTCAAGACCAGCCTGGCCAACATAGTGAAATCTGTATCTACTAAAAATACAAAAAATTAGCCAGGCATGGTGGTGCATACCTGTAATCCCAGTTACTTTGGAGGCTGAGACAGGAGAATCGCTTGGACCCAAGAGGCTGAGGTTGCAGTGAGCTGAGATCACACCACTGCACTTCAGCCTGGGTGACAGAACTAGACTGTCTCAAAAAAACAAAAACAAAACAACAACAACAACAAATCCCACTTTTAAAATTAATAATCCATCATGCCTGTAATCCCAGCACTTTGGGAGGCCAAGGCGGGCGGATCACAAGGTCAGGCTATCATGGTGAAACCCCATCTCTACTAAAAATACAAAAAATTAGCCGGGCATGGTGGTGGGCGCCTGTAGTCCCAGCTACTCCGGAGGCTGAGGCGAGAGAATGGCGTGAACCCAGGAGGCAGAGCTTGCAGTGAGCCGAGATCGCACCACTGCACTCCAGCCTGGGCTACAGAGTGAGACTCCTTCTCAAAAAAAAAAGAAAAAAGAAAAAAAGAAAAATAAATAAATAAAATTAATAATCGAGTAAATAAATAGACATGGAAGTTGGTTCTGTTCCAATCCTCAACCCCTCTGTAGTCATGCCAAAGATCACCCCAATATCTTTCCATCCCAGAAAGCTAATACTTCCCTTCCTTCTCAAAAGGGATGAAACAATGGACTTACAAAAAAACATTTTTGTAAGATTCATTTATATGTGTCCATTTGTAATCAACTAAAATTCATTACTCCCATCTGGCTTTCAGTTCCCTGACCAAATCGTATTTCCTACTCTCTCCCATACCTACTCTCTGCTATGGCCAGGTCAGTTTCTTCAGAATTGCCCCAACAAACCTTGCTCACTCCTACCTCTCTTTCATGGGTTATCCTAATCCCTTCCACCCTTCTCAACACTCCTCAAATCTAAGTCACCACTGGAAACTTCATATAAGCCACAAGGTTTTACCTTTATCAGAACTTCTAAACTTTTATCTGGAATTTTATAGTTAGACACAAACGATTCTCTCAGTGGGTTTCTTTTATCCCCTTGGGGAGACTGTCATTTCCCTCCAGCTGCCATGTGCCTGCTTAAAATCCCTTCCTGATTCTCTGTGACCAACAGGGTAATGACCAAGTTATTTCCTGGTACTTTACAATCTGGCCTCAGCTCTCCCCACTCCCCCACATTGAGGCCATTCCCAACTCAACATACCCACACAGCAGCCTCTGCCACGGCTCCTGCTTTTACACATTTGTATCCAGGGCCTGGACCATCCTCTCCCAGACACCTGGACACCCTGACCCCTATCTTCCTGCTCATGCTTGAAGACTCTCAGATTTAAAGTAACTGCCTCCCTAGGGAATCCCTCTTTGAAATACCACCTCCCCGCTTTTTTCCTCAGACAGATACTCTTTTTCCTACAGGATCTTGTACTTTTATTATAGTTGTTTATCTGCCTTTCAGAAATGACTGTGGTTATTTGAGAACAGAGTCTTGTTTATTTTTTGCTTCAAGACTTAGCACAGTACTTGGCTCATCTGAACAGGACTCTGTGAATGCTTGCTGAGTGAGCAGCTGTCCAATACTCCCCTGAGAGCCCCATGGTGATGGACATGTGACAGGAATTCAAAGGCTTAGAGACTGGCACATGCTAGTTGCATGATATTGTGGTAGGTACTCATTTAACCCTAATACACATGGTGAGGATGGAAACACAAAGCTGCCATTGCCTTTTAATTCTCAGGGCAATAATGAGTTTCAGGGAAACAAAGCCTTCAACCCCAATCTTTCCAGAACTTCAAAAACCTGATGAGAAGGAAGTACTTTTCACCAGAGAAAGAAAAGTATTTTATAGCAGCAGAAGAAAAAAAGCTCAAGGCAAAAAAAAAGCTAATGAAAGAACATCCAAACTGCTCTTTCAATTGTTTCTGTGTCTGTATGCCTGGCAGCAATCAAATTACTTCTAAAGCAACTTCAAGCTCTGAAATTGTTATTCTGTGATAAAAGTATTATTATTAAAGAACAATAATTTACGTAATTTACCCTATTTTAGCATAGTTTACCAGAGTTTGCAGTACATCAATGTTAATTTAAATACCTTGAAATCTATAATTTTAATGTTGACAGACCTTAATAAAATGCATATGAATCCTCATTTTTAAACAAATATTTGTGTAACACCTATAATATGCCAATCATTCCAATGAACATTGGGGTATAACAATGAATAAAACGATTTCTGCTCTTGACAAATTTGGTATTTGAACAGAAAGAAGCATATGAAAAACACTAACAAGCCAGCCATCATGTTAAAATTATTAAATGGATGATGATGGCTCAAAATATAGCAGATGCTCTCTTACCAATGTTTACCTAAAGGACCCCACCCATTTACCCCATATCCTCCATTCTTTTTCTAAACCATACTGATCATTGTCCAGAACTTGGGTTGTAGGCTCTTTTGCAATATATGTATGTACTGCTTCTCCCCCAAGTAGTGTACTTAAGAAGAGTCAGTGGTGTTTGTTCCCAAACCTGTTTATGCCAGTTGTACTTGTTACTAGAATTATGAAACTTAATTCGATATTACATAAACTAATAAAATAGGAGTGCCAAACGAGAGAGTTTTTTCCTTTCTTTGAAAACCAGGTTGATTACTTTGGAGAGTCTTAACAAAAATGAGTCACTTGAGAAAATAGTTGCAAAAGTAAGTACGGGCAAATTTAAAGGTTTAAGGGGAGTGGGGTAGGTGATATAAAGGGATTCTGCCCAGAGATTGGTTCCCAATGCCTTTAGGTTTTCATTCTACTTTAATGTAAGAATCTGAAGCTGAAAATCAGAAGCCAATGAATTTTGGCTGTGATTTAATGTAAGAAAGACTTCTAGGAACTCCAATCAGGTCCTTGCACTCAAAGCAAAGGCCTTGACTCTACAATAAAATATCAGCAAATTAATGTTTAAAGTTAAACAAAATGTTTAGGCTACATAAGTGGCACGTTTTATGATTGATCCCTTTGGCATTTTCAATAAACCATCCAGCTGCTTGGTCCTGGATGTAGCAGATAAGGGTTTTCTCGGAGAAGCCAGGTGGTTTGGTCAACAGCTTTCGGTAGAGCAAAAATATAATAAAGAATTAATGACTTCCTGTTTGTCACAAACAGTACTCCGTGGTATTCGACTATGAGGTTTACTCAAAATGTCGGTTTGTGTCCCGATATTAAAAGGGAGCTCTCTCCAAGATCCAAGGGTGGGCTCCTTACTAGATCTTTAGACTCAGAGGGAGGGAAGCTAGCATATTCTGGGATCACTTCCTGCCCAGTTATTCAGCAGGATTCCATTCCTTTTTGTCTCCCACTGCATCTGAATTCCTGAGCAAGCTTCCAGAACCAAGCATTGCATGTATGGGTCTTCAGCGTGCTTCTTTCTGAGTGCAGCCTCTGAGGGTGGCTTGAGCCTGGATGTCGGGGAAGAAAGGGATTTAAGGAAAAGAGGTCAGGAGAAGCCAAAGCTGGAAGTGTTAAAGAGGGAGAACATTATAGCTTCCTCCACCAGTTCCCTTGGAGAAGAGCCAATCATACTGGAAGCATGCACATCGAAGATGCCAGCATTTAACCCAACTACAGGTGACACTTCTGATGCTGGCTTCATGCATTCAAGTAGTGTTTAGACCATCAGGGAGCTGTTTTCTCGTGGTTTTCAAGCATAACATTACTCTCTCATTTCTTTTTTTCTAAATTACATATTGGTTGACCTGTAAAGACCCAAAGAAATAATTTCATCAAATTCTTTTATTTTATAGTCAACTAAAATTATGAAGAGAAAATGATTTACCCACGATCACACAGCAAACTAGTGGGCAAGCTGGGGCAGGCACCAGGGCCTCTCTGCTTAACAGCCTTCTTTGCTTCCTGGCTCCAGGAACCAGAAGCATGAGCACCCACTGGGAGCTTGTTACAAATGCAGAAACTCAGGCCCCACCCAGGCCCACTGAATCAGACACTGCTTTTTTAACAAGATCGCTAGATGATCTGTACACATATTAAAAAGAACTGCTCTAGACCAAAATTTTTTATAATGCTATTTAGTGAAATTATTGACATTTAAATACATAATCCTTATAAAAACTTCCTTACCACAAAATGGGTTGAAACAATTATTTCAATATTTTGTTGTATCTGATCATTTCGTATACAGTTTCCATTTAAAATGATAGGCAATTGGCCACTCACAGTGGCTCACGCCTGTAATCCCAGCACTTTGGGAAGCAGAGGAGGGAGGATCACTTGAGGCCAGGAGTTTGAGACCAGTTTGGGCACCATAGAAATACCCTATCTCTACAAAAAAAAAAAAAAAAAAAAAACTGTAAAGCTTAATCGGGCATGGTGACACATGCCTGTAGTCCCAGCTACTTGGGAGGCTGAGGTGGGACGACTGCTTCAGCCCAGGAGTTCCAGGCCACAGTGAGTTATTACATCAGGCCACTGCAGTACAGCATGGACAGAGTGAGACCCTGTCTCCAAAAGATAAATAAATAAAAATAAAACAATTATAGGCAAAGAAACAAAATCCGCATTTCTCTCTGGATACATAAGCCATATTAAAGCAGCTTGGATATTCCACAAATGCCTTATAAGAGGTTATTACATGGAATTCACTTAATTGCTATGCCTTCAGGCCTATGAACAAGGTAACAGAATCAAAATTCTGTTGGGCAATGCAAGTTCCTATCAGATAAAACCAGAGTTAACACTGAAGGGTGTGTGTGTCTGTGTGCTGTGTGTGTGCACTCTCACTCACCTTCACAATATGTGCAGCCAAACATGGAACCCTTCAGCCAGAGAAATAGTTTCAACACACTCATTTAGGTAGCGTACTGCATACACAATACAGCAACATCTCATTGTGCAAAACGACCAAAGTTACTGAACAGTCAAATACACTTCAGACATCAATTGGCTCATTCCATTTACCTGAACCCTCCAGAAGAGGCAAATCCATAGAGACAGAAAGTAGGTTAGTGCTTGCCAGGGGCTGGGGGGAGAAGAGAATGAGGAGTGACTGCGAAATGGGTACAAGATTTCTTTTTGGGGTTGATGACAATGTTCTAACATTAGATAGTAGTGATGGCTGCACAAATCTGAATATACTGAAGACCACTGACTTGTATACTTAAACGTGTGAATTGTATGATATGTGAATTACATCTTAAGGCTATAAAAAAACTGGCTTAACAATGAAAAACCCATGTTTTCTTTCAAGATGTAATGAAAAGTGAAATTACACATATCACCACTACTCATTATTTTATTTTTAGGTTAAAGATTGCAAATACCTTAAAATTTGAGTCTGAAGGGACTTTTATTTCTACAAACCTCATCTATTTTACCAGTAAATTAACTGATCCTGGTTAAGGAACTAATTGTATTAAGAACCAAAGTCCCGACTTAATGGGCCAATGGTCAGAATTTTCCCAACGTTAAATCATTTCAATTAAAACATTCATAAGAGGATGCACGGTAATTAAATACATCTGGAAAAATAAAACCAGTTCATGGCCCTGTGGTGTATTTACTAAGAGTCTACCAAAGGAAATCAGTATGTTTCCTTTTTTACATGAAGGGAACTTTCTTTTTAATGTAAAAACTAAAACCAAAACCAAGGATACTGCCAGAACCAGTGAAGTATGCACAAATTAACATAAATTGGCAATTGAAATGTGGAGCCAACAATTGTCCAAAACACAAAGTACTTCCTTAAGAACAGGTCTCTGGCTCGGGCCTTTGCTTCATGAGAACTGCACCCAACTCCACACCTGTTTAAAAATGAAGCCCACCCTACCCCTAAATCAGTCCAAAGTATTGTGAAAGCTGTTCTGGAGAAGGTCCCCGTGTGATAATTCCACGTACAAATCCAAACGCCTAGCGTTAAATTAAAATAACGATTTCAGAAAAAGTAGTTGATGCTTTCCTCAATACCACACTTGTTCGTAACTGTAACATCTTTGGTGGCAATTATCACCAAAGTGATCACAGGCTGAGTAGCAGTCATCCTCTGAGCCTCATTTTGTGTATGAGCCTCATTTAAAACGGAGGTTGAATGGTTTGACTGCTCACATGGGGGACATTAAGAGAAGTAGGAACCTGAGTTACAGGCCACTCGATTCTGCCCTTTCTAGAAGGATCTTATGCTAGTTCTTGCCTTTTTAGAAAGAAATTTTCCTGTTGGATTTGGTGGGCCTTATCTCCTTTCATATTTTGATCACCTAGTAAATTTTTTAAAAATGTAAACCAGAAAATTATTTGAGCTTCCTTTGAAATGCAAAAAAGTGCCCCCTTTACTCCTCACCAAAATTTTAATCCGTACAAAATTATCGCCCCCCCACACACAATTAATAGCAAAGATAATGTGAAAGAGGGGGATGAATGATTAGGGGAAGCGGAGGAGCGGGCAAGCAATTCCCAAGCCCTCACCATTAACTCGCAATGGTTAAACCCACTGACGTCCTCGTTAGGAATGCTCTTCACAGTCTTTGTGGCTTGTGGCTGGAGTCTGTCACTAGAGAAAGATAACGGAGCAGGAGGAGAAAAACCCTTTCCCAAGCACAGCTGTCACACGTTTTCAGGAGTGCTGCGGAATGAGGCTGATTTCCACAGCACTCTTTACGAGTTTTCCTCCCAATACAGAGTCCCCACTTAAAGACATGTTGCTGACGGCAGCATTTCAGGGTGTTAGGAAGTGACAAAAAGAATCCTACAGCCGCCTTACACCAGCCTCGGGCCAGGTTGGAGATTTCAGATTTTAACCCTCCGGAGCTGAGCCTTTTGCCGTTGCTAGTCGTTCCCCCGTTGCATTGGAACCCGCTCAGCACACCGCCTCCACCTGCACCCGGGCCGCATTTTAATAGTTGGAACAAGGGACAAAGAGGAGAGACTCAGCCTCCGTCCCATGCTGTCCAGAGTCTCTCCTGTCACTTTCCTGGTTTCAAGGGTCATGGTTTCGAAATGAGCTCCCGGAAGACCCCAGGCTTGGGGAACCGGGTGTTTGTTTCGCGCGGGCTTAAGGAGAACAGAAGCACGGCGGGGCGGGGCGGGGCAGGACTGGACTGGGAGCTCGGGCGACAGGGAGAGCGTCCCGGGAAACAGGCAAGAAGCGACTCTCTACTGGCCCCTTAAAATAAAGCACTAGCCCGGGACGCGCCGTCTGTTCTCTCTGCAACCCCTCCCGGGTACCCAGCTCTTAGGCTCCCGCGAGCCGCACGTGCGGGGGTGCAGCCTGGCCGCAGCCGGAGCGGGGACCACCCCCCCCACAGGATACAACAGGGAAGCGCACCTGGGCGTTCCGGACACCTGCGCCGCGCCCCTCCCACCTCCAGCGTCCCGGCTTCGTCGCAGAGGTGGCCGAGGAGGCGCCACCTGAGCGGGGGAGGGGCGGGACCCTCGGAAGGGCGCGCCCTCCCGGGGCGGGGGCGCGAGACCGTGGCCGTGGCGCGCAGCCAGCGCGCTCGCTTACCCATGGCTGGAGACTGGCGGGAGGGGTGAGGGCTGCGGGGCGTTCGGGCTCCCCGGGGACGGGCAGAGCCGGTGGCACAAGTTTGCAGGTCTCGCGGGCACGTGCGCTGACCGGGCTTCTGCGGGCTGCGCTGCGCTGCGCGGGGCTGGCCGCTGGCTCCTAGCTCCCGGCCGGGGTGGGAGCGCGGCGCGGCTCCGCCTGCACTGGGGGCCGGCCGCGCGGAGAGGGGCCCTGACGTCAGCGCCGGGGGCTTTGTGCGCCCGGAGCTAGGGCCCGATTGGGGGCAGCGGGCGCGCGGAGTCTGCAGGCAAAGCTCGCGGCTTCCTCTGGGACCCCCCCGGGCGAGCGCCGAGGGTCGCGGGAACCGGAAAAGCCAGCGAGGGGGATGGGTAGAGAGGGGAGTGGGCTTCTAGGATCGCGGAGGCGGCGATCCGCGTCCCAGATGAAAACTATTATGGCCTGGGGAGGTTGGGGGGAGCGGGGGGCTTTGAGGTCTTAGCCACACCCGTTGTATAGATAAAGAAACTGAGGCCCGGGACACTGGACCAAGGGCACTTAGTACTTAGCGTTGCCTCAATCCACAGTCTCAGTTCCTTTTGTTCAGATACGAGTCGTTACTTAATTCAGTGGTCTCAACCCTGGCTGCAGAGGAGAAATCAGCTGGGGAGCTTCTGGAAACCGGATTTCATCATGGCCTCTGCGGGTGGGACCCAGGCATCCGTTCTTTAAAAGCTCCCCAGGTGATTCCAATGTGCATCCAAGGTTGCGAAACATTGACATAAGTAACTTGTCGGTGGCTAATGACTTAGAAAGACACAGGTAGCACCCTCCAATCTAGAGTGGTGCCAGATTTGCTGGTGTCCGTTATCACCCCTCTTGATTCCTGGAAGTCCACCCCTGGAAGGCTCTTGGAGACTTTGCAGGCTAGCTCCAGTCAACCATTTCTCCCGCTGCTCAGGCCTCGCGCTTGAGCCTTTAAGTGAATTAAATGGTTTAACAGTGTCCAGGGCTTAAATTCCTTCTGTCTCCTTAGAGAATTTTCCTGTCTCCAAAGGTATTAGAAGAGTCATGGGACCCTTGCAGTTTTTGTAGGACTAACGCTCTCTGTGACATTTCTGAGCCTGATGTTCCCCCCTGATATTTTTTGTTGTGTTCTTTTATTGTTCTGAAAATACATCATGTTATTTGAACAGAGGGTTACATAAACAGTGACAATAGATAGTACACTTTAGGGACATTTAAGCCAAAAGAGAGGCTTTAGGACTGAGAAAGGATGGAGGAGGCAAACATTTCATCTATTGAAATTTATTGGATTAGGAAAGATTTTATCAAGGCAGAGCTCTAGAAAGCCTAATAATATTTTACATGAAAGGACAGAGATTTGTGCTAGGCGGATCAGTGGCTCATTTTCACAATCCCACGGGAATAGTCATTTCTAACCAATCTTCATGCAGTCATAAAACAACAGGGAGCTCATAGGTATAACTTGTTGTCCTCCTGTTAAGAGGAAGTAATCCATTTGCGCCATTCCTGAGTGCAAGTGTATGTAGGAATCCAACAATAACAGAGGCTGCCTGTAAGGTAGAGGAAGACAAAGGTGGACTGGGTGAGAGCAATGAGGAATTCATGCTAAGTCCTAGTTGAGGGAAGGGTGAGTTTGGTCGGTTCCTACATCTTGAGGGTTTCCTAGGAGACCCTGAAAACAACAGAAGGGAACTCAGGCATGACCATCTGAAATAGTACTTTGGCAAGACATGACCTTAATGAGCCTCTCTGGAACGAGGAACTCTAAGGTTTTATGTACTGAGATGAAAGTAAACTCCTTGGTCTACTTTCTGTCATTCCCTAGAAGTCTTACGTTTTTTTTTTTGTTTTTTTTTTTTTGTCTTTTTTTTCCCCAAAGAAAGAACAGCTGTCTAAATATTGGAGCTAGCCACAATGGATGCTGTGATAAAAACTGAGTTCTAACAATTGTGTATACAATCAGGGGAAAGCCACATTTTAACAGAAAATTTTCCTCACTTTGTGAGTATCATGGATTGATTTCAACAAGCAATTGTCCCTAAAACCCTTAAGAAAAAAAAATAGCATTTGGGAAATTAGTGAAGGCTGCTATAGACGATGCAGATGATGGCTAGTAAGTATATTTCATTTCACTATTATTCAAAGAAATGCTATCTTAAAATAATAAACCATTTTTCTCAAGTAACTGAAATCTTTAAAAATTAAAGCAAGATTACACCTGCAGGTGGGTGAGTCAATTGGTCTAGCCTTTCTGGAAAGCCATTTGGCTGTACTACCAAGAGAATTAAAAATATTCACAGCCTCTGACCTAATAATCCCTCTTCTGGGACTCTCTCCTAAGTAAATAACAACTGTTTTGATCAAAATTAATGTGAAAGGAGGTTTATTGTAGAGTGAGATGTAATAGCAAAAAAACAACAAAACAAAACAAAAAAAGCAACAGTTGCTCAACAGAAGGGAATTAGTTATATAAATGATTGTCGACCTAGTTCAGGGGTTCTTGACTGGGAGCAATTTCGCCCCCAGGAGACATTTAGCAGTGTCTGGAGAGAGTTTTGGTTGTCACAACTGGGGATAGGGTGGGGGGCTTACTGGCATCCAGTGGGTAAGGGTCAGGGATGCAGCTCAATGTCCTACAGTGCAGAGGACAGCTCCCCTCCCCACAACAAAGAATGATCTGGCCCCAGATGTCAATAGTGCCGAGGTTGAGAAACCCTGATCTGTATGATCGGATATCATGTAGCCTTGTTTGCAAAGAATTATGTAGAAAAATGCTCAGAGATGTTTTAAAAGCCAAATAAAAAGCTGAATATACAACATAATCCTAGTCATGTTAGTGTATACGTGTGTACGTGTGTGTGTGTCTGTGTGTGTGTATTGAAAAACACAAAGAAAATACACTATGGTAGAGACTATTACTTTTTCAACATTTTTTTCTATCTGGCCACACAGCCAGACTCCATTTCCCCTTAACTCCTTAACAGTTAAATGCGGCTACCTGATTGAGTTGTAGCCAAAGAGGTCAGAAGTGAGGTCCACCACTTCCGGGCTTATCCCTAAAACCTTAAACATATTGCTTCTACATGCCTTCCTCTTCTCCCAGCAGGAATGAGACGTTGACCCCTAGGGTGCTTTTGGAAGCCACGGGTTGAAGTTGAAATTGTCTTATCAGCCTAGGTCACTGAATGACTTTGCCTCCGTCCTCCTCCACACACTGACAATTTGTAACTGACTTGGACATGTTTGTGACCCAGAAATAAACTGCTATTATGTTTAAGCCATTATGTATTTTGGGAGTTATTTGTTATAACAGCGACCCAACCCTAACTAATATATCCATATATTCACTTCTACCAAAATATTAACAGGGTTTGTCTCTGGGATGTGAGATTAATAGAATTGTTAGTTTTATTTGTATACCTTGTTATGTTTTCCCGGACTTCTATAATGAGCAAGAATTACTTTTATAATGAGGAAAACACAGGCATACCTTACTCCACAGTAGATACAGTCTTCTAATAATTTGATTTTAAACTATCAATAAAATCATATTTCCAACTAATTTTTAAAATTTGATTGAGGGGCCAGATGCAGTGGCTCATGCCTGTAATCCCAACACTTTGAGAGGCTGAGGCGGGAGGATCACTTGAGCCTAAGAGTTCAAGAACAGCCTGGGCAATGTGGTGAGACCCTGTCTCTGCAAAAGCAAAAAACTTAGCCAGGCATGGTGGTGCACTGCTGTAGTCCTAGCTACTTGGGAGGCTGAGGTAAGAGGAACGCTTGAGCCCGGGAGGCAGAGGCTGCAGTGAGTTATGATGGTGTCATTGTACTTGAGCCTGGGCGACAGAGCGAGACCCTGTCTCTAAAAAACAAAACACACACAAAAAATTGAGGTTTAGCAGAACTTCGATACCTCATCTAGGAGTACAAAATAATTATAAACCATAAGGATGCATTTTGTCTGTTCCAATCTTTTTTTTGTTTTTGAGACGTAGTCTCGCACTGTTGCCTGGGCTGGAGTGTAATGGCACAGTCTCAGCTCACTGCAACCTCCGCCTCCTGGGTTCACGTGATTCTCCTGCCTCAGCCTCCCAAGTAGCTGGGATTACAGGCACACACCACCACACCTGGCTAATTTTTTGTATTTTTAGTAGAGACGGGGGTTTCACTACATTCGCCAGACTGGTCTCGAACTCTTGACCTCATGATCTGCCCACCTCAGCCTCCCAAAGAGCTGGGATTACAGGCGTGAGTCACTGCGCCCAGCCTGTTCCAATCTTTTTTATCCAGCTTTGTTGAAGTATAATTGATAAATTAAAATTGTATGTATTTACCATGTATAACGAGATGTTTTGATATGTGTATACATTGTAAAATGATAATCACAATCAAGTTAACATCTATCGCCATATCTAGTTATTTCTGTGTGTGTGTGTGTGTGTGTGTGTGTGTGTATGTGTGTCGTGAAAACATTTAAGACCTACTCTCTTAGGCCAGGCGCAGTGGCTCACGCCAGTAATCCCAGCACTTTGGGAAGCCAAGCGGGGGTGGATCACCTGAGTCCAAGAGTTCAAGACCAGCCTGGGCAACATGGCAAAACCCTGTCTCTACAAAAAAAAAAAAAAAAAAAAAATTAGCCAGGCATGGTGGTGTGCGCCTATAATCCTAGCACCTCAGGAGGCTGAGGCATGAGAATCACTTTAGCTGGGAGGTGGAGGTTGCAGTAAGCTGAGATTGCACCAGCCTGGGTGACAGAGTGAGACCCTGTCCAAAAACAAACAACAACCTACTCTCTTAGCAATTTTCAGGTATACAATACAGTGATATTAACTATAGTCTTTTGGGGGACATTTACTCACTTGTGTGCCTCACTCCTTCCTGTTTAATAAGCACTCAGGGATCTTGTCTCTCCAGCACAATCCCTGTATGGGCAGAAACCTGGCTTGATGTTTGATTCTTACAAATCTCTTTACCTCCTGCTTACTCTAGTTCCTTTCTCAGCATATCATGCATGGTTTAGATCCTTTTTTTTTTTTTTTTTTTTTGACGGAGTCTTGCTCTGTCACCCAGGCTGGAGTGCAGCGGCACTATCTCGGCTCACTGCAACCTCCGCCTCTCGGGTTCACGCCATTCTCCTGCCTCAGCCTCCTGAGTAGCTGGAACTACAGGTGCCTGCCACCATGCCCAGCTAATTTTTTGTATTTTTAGTAGAGACGGGGTTTCACCGTGTTAGCCAGGATGGTCTCAATCTCCTGACCTGGTGATCCGCCCGCCTCGGCCTCCCAAAGTACTGGGATTACAGACTTGAGCTACCGCGCCTGGCCCGGTTTATATCCTTTATAGACTTCTCTCCTGTCTCTCAGCAAGACGGCTACTTTCTCAAGCCAATGGGAGGTCCATGAACTGGTCACCTATGGACAAAATGAAAAAAGACAGTTCCATTTGTACAACTAAATGAAAATGTTAGCAAACCTTGACAATGTAAAAGTGTAGCTGACACAAAGTGGAACACAGGAGAATATGAATGAAAAAGCAGCATCACAGATCAGTGGTTGCCAGAGGTTAGTGGGGAGAGAGGGATGAGTAGGCAGAGCACAGAGGATTTTCAGGGCAGTGTAACCACTCTGTATGATACTACCGTGGTAGATCCATGTCATTATACATTTGCCAAAACCCTCAGAATATACAACATCAAGAGTGAATCGTGATGTAAACTATGGACTTTGGGTGAAGTGATGAGTCAGTGTAGATCCATTCATTGTAACAACTGTCCCACTCTGATGCAGGATATCGATAGTGGGGGAAGGTATGCATGGCAAAGCAGGGGGTCTCTGAGAACTGTCCGTACACTGCTCAGTTTTACTGTGAATCTAAAACTGCTCTGAAAAACATGAAGTGCATTATAAAAAAAGCAACATCGCTAATATCCTCAGCTTCTCAAGTGGAAGTCAAAAGATACTGTCAAAATTTGATTGAAAATAGAGATTTGGGAGGGGGGCTAATGTAAGTAACATAAATCTTCATCTTTTATGTCAGGGAGTTAGTAGATACTGTTTAAAGTTGCTAAGTCAAGAAAGAGAGGACTAAGCATATTTTTTAGGCTAGGGCCATTGTTCTCAACCCCACTGGATCTGATGTTGCTTATAAACAAACATTTGTAATGCCATTTCTGCGCTCCTTAAATCCAAATCAAAGAAAAAACTCAATATAATTCCTTAACTATGAAGGATAACTGAAAATAGTTGCATGCATAGTGTCTATCTTGATGTGTAAGTCCTCAGGTACAATGAGAGTGGAAGATGTAATAAAGTCACCTAACAAGCAACCTACTTATAGAATCCCCATGAGTGGGACAAAGGCCACCTACAGAGATGTGTTGTTTTGTAATTCAAATACCAAGAGTGACCTTGCCATCAAAGTCACAATGTTCCAAAATAGAGAACAACTTGGTAAATTTCCCAGCAAAAGAAAGTGCAATCTTCCCTCAATTTACAAGATAATTGCCTCCCTGGAAAAAAATCACCATGTCTTAAAACCACCCCCCAAATATCTCACGTTTATATGTGAGATGGAGATATACTGATAATTAGAAGCAGATTTTTCATCTATATGAATGTCCAGAGGACAGTAAGCTGGGTGAGAAATGGGAACATGTCTTCATTGTTCAAGACCATGTTGTGCATTGCAGGAGGCCTGTCACCTTGTCCTGGGCCCATTAAATGCCAGTAGTTCCCCCACACCCCCTCACCGTGACAACTAAAAACACTTATGCCAAAATCCAAGCTTCCTGACTTCCATGAGTCTAGACTGTGGAAGTTACTTCCAGAAGAACCAAAACAAGAAATAGTTAAAAGAGATTGTTTCTGGGAGGGAGACCACTGGCTAGGAGAGGAGGGCTGGGAGACTGTTGTTTTTTATCATAAGTCCTTGTGTTCTATTTAATTTTTACCATGTATATGCATTACATATATATGTACATTTTTTAAAAAATAAGGCACCTTGGGAAAACTGGCTAGCCATATGTAGAAAGCTGAAACTGGATCACTTCCTTACACCTTATACAAAAATTAATTCAAGATGGATTAAAAACTTAAATGTTAGACCTAAAACCATAAAAACCCTAGAAGAAAACCTAGGCAATACCATTCAGGACATAGGCATGGGCAAGGACTTCATGTCTAAAACACCAAAAGCAATGGCAACAAAAGACAAAATTGACAAATGGGATCTAATTAAACTAAAGAGCTTCTGCACAGCAAAAGAAACTACCATCAGAGTGAAAAGGCAACCTACAGAATGGGAAAAAATTTTTGCAATCTACTCATCTGACAAAGGGCTAATATCCAGAATCTACAATGAACTCAAACAAATTTACAAGAAAAAAACAAACAACCCCATCAACAAGTGGGCGAAGGATATGAACAGACACTTCTCAAAAGAAGACATTTATGCAGCCCACAGACATATGAAAAAATGCTCATCATCACTGGCCATCAGAGAAATGCAAATCAAAACCACAATGAGATACCATCTCACACCAGTTAGAATGGCGATCATTAAAAAGTCAGGAAACAACAGGTGCTGGAGAGGATGTGGAGAAATAGGAACGCTTTTACACTGTTGGTGGGACTGTAAACTAGTTCAACCATTGTGGAAGACAGTGTGGCAATTCCTCAAGGATCTAGAACTAGAAATACCATTTGACCCAGCCGTCCCATTACTGGGTATATACCCAAAGGATTATAAATCATGCTGCTATAAAGACGCATGCACATGTATGTTTATTGAGGCACTATTCACAATAGCAAAGACTTGGAACCAACTCAAATGTCCATCAGTGATAGACTGGATTAAGAAAACGTGGCACATATACACCATGGAATACTATGCAGCCATAAAAAAGGATGAGTTCGTGTCCTTTGTAGGGACATGGATGAAGCTGGAAACCATCATTCTGAGCAAACTATCGCAAGGACAAAAAAACAAACACCGCATGTTCTCACTCATAGGTGGGAATTGAACAATGAGGACACTTGGACACAGGAAGTGGAACATCACACACTGGGGACTGTTGTGGGGTGGGGGCAGGGGGGAGGGATAGCATTAGGAGATATACCTCATGTTAAATGACGAGTTGCTGGGTGCAGCACACCAACATGACACATGTATACATATGTAACAAACCTGCACGTTGTGCACATGTACCCTACAACTTAAAGTAGAATAATAAAAAGAAATAAGGCACCTGAGTCTATTGAATGTTTACTTCTATTCCTTCTGGGCCCCTAAGACCTTATTTCCCGACATACCTCATCTGTTAAATGGGTATAATCCAATCCTTACCTCGTATTATTGTTGTAGAGATTAAAGGAGATAATATGAGTAAAGCACTTATCATTTGGGACTCAATAAATGGTAGCTATTGATGCGGATCTTGTTGTTGTTAATGTTATCATTATTATCCCTTCTTTTTACCTTGGGGAGCCAGAGGGGTCCCTGGGGTAGCCAGAAAGCAGCTTTAGGGCAAAGGCATTCCAAGCTTTTGCAGTAAAGAAAGGGATGAATGTTCCTGGTTTGAAATTTTGTCTCATATTATTTTAGGCAGGGGGTGCCCTCCCTTGGCTCTGCATCTGCTCTGGAAGGTGGAAAGAAATTGCTGATTTCCATTCTTCTATTATGTAGTGGTTTGTTTGTTTGTCTACTTATTGGTGAGGAGCGGAGGTCAGGAGGTCTTGAGTAGTAAGTGAGTAGAAAGTAGCCCAAAGTAGCAAGAAGCAACAGGCAATTAACAAAGATAACTTTCTTATGCTGTGGGACTGTCCATCATTTAATTAGAAAAAAAAAATACTTTGAGTTTAAATACATACCTCTTAAGACCACAAATGCCCCCGAACACTAAAGATCACTCACACCTTGAGTGTGAATTTAGATGGCTTTGGAAATGCCTACTTGAGATCAGCCTTCCTGAGAGTAGGCAACTTTAATGGAAGAAGGAAAGACGGAAAGTACAAGGGAAATTATAGAGCTCTAGGAAGCCTGGGCAGCCCGCGCCCGGCATGGGGACAGCCAGGAAGACCTACAAGGAGGAGCTGCCAGACCTTGGAGAGGAAGCTGACATAAAGCACCCGATCAACTTCCTTCTCCTACATTTTACTATGTTCAACTTGGGGACGGAAGAGGAGAAAATGCAATTTCTGACTACAAGATGTTTAAGGGGCTAATTGTCCTCTGGGATGGGAGAAAACAGGACCTCTGTAACTCTTCTGGGGGCTCTTCCAGTCATCTGCAGGTGACAGAGTGAGGTGTCCTGGCTCTCTGTGCCCTTGGCTTTCTCCTGAGGATCTTCCTGAGCATCAGGTGAGGACCCTAGATTCCCTCTCACACTTTTCTGGTTATCTTAAGGTGTCTGAATCTTTCCTCGTGCTCCTTTAATGAAGGAACTGGGTCTTGGAGATATTAGATTGTGTGTCCCAGATCACACACTGAGTACATGGCACATTTAGGTTTTATTTATTTAGAGACAGGGTTTTGCTCTGTTGCCCAGGCTGAAGTCCAGTGGCCTGATCATAGCTCACTGCAGCCTCAACCTCCTAGGCTCAAGCCATCCTCCCACCTCAGCCTCCCAAGTAGCTGGGACTGCAGGTACAAAGCCACCATGCCCAACAAATCTAAAAAAAAAAAAAAAAAAAAGTTTTTTGTAGAGATGGGGGTCTTGCTATGTTGCCCAGGCTGGTCTTGAAATGGTAGGTTCAAGTGATCTTCCTGCCCTGGCCTCCCAAAGTGCTGGGATTACAGGCATGAGCCACCACCCTCAGCCTAGATTTGGATTTGGGCTCACCTCTATCCAAATCTAAACTCCGTCTACTCCACCATGTTACTCTCTGTAGAAGATGTTTCCAGATTGTAGGATTGCTGGTCTGGGCTACAAGGAACAGGTGGAAGCCCTCAGCCAGGGTTACATTCTAGGGCCCACTTTCAGAATCTAGGTCCAGTTTGGCTGCAATTTAGAGAACAGGGAAAAGGCCTACATGCTGTGATGTATCTTATGGAATTGCAGGCCAGAAGTGAGGAGAATGAAGGCAAAAAAGAAAATAGCAGCATCCCAAGGGCCTCTGGAGTTCACAGCTGGTTAAAAGCAGATCCTGCCTTTAAAACACAGGTCATTTCATGATGTCTCCTGCGAGTCAGAGCAATTGGCAAGTGATTTTCCTTTGGTTTTTACTGAGCATTTCAATCCCGAAGTCTGGGCTATGTCTACCTCTAAAGCTTGTGTCTTTCATGGGATGTTCTATAGTTTTGCACTGTGGCTATGTTACCCACATATGTGAATCTAGAACAGAGTTCACAGCAGTGCATCAGGAACTCGCAATGAATGCCAAAAATTATAGCTAATCTGACAGTGTGTCCTTGTGTTTACAGATGATACTGAAAATTGAATCATGCAAAGAGCTCAATAGGTATTGAAATACCCCTTCACCTGTATTAGCTGACAATGATTTCTCTTACTTCTCCTACACTTCCCAATTGCCTAGTAATAATGAATTTGGTACCCTGTTGGAAAAAAGGAATGTCACTTTGGGCTAGAATTTTGCTATCTCCCCACCCAAGTGATTCTTTTTTTTTTTTTTTGAAACGGAGTCTTGCTCTGTTGTTAGGCTGGAGTGCAGTGGTGCGATCTCGGCTCACTGAAACCTCTGCCTCCCAGGTTCAAGTGATTCTCCTGCCTCAGCCTCCCAAGTAGCTGGGACTACAGGCACCTGCCACCACACCCAGCTAATTTTTTGTATTTTTTAGTAGAGACAGGGTTTCACCGTGTTAGCCAGGATGGTCTCGATCTCCTGACCTCGTGATCTGCCCACCTCGGCCTCCCAAAGTGCTGGGATTACAAGCGTGAGCCACTGCACCCGGCCCCCAAGTGATTCTTAAAAATGTATCAAAGCATCTCTGAGTTAAAGGGAACTTGGTTCATCCAGTCCCATTCTTCACGTTCAGTAATCCCTTGTATCTGTCCATGCCCATTAGTCATTCAGGTATATTTGAGTACTTTTCATGATGGGGAGCTCAACACTATTATTTCTCAACAACTGTGATTGTTAAAATGTTTTCCATCCTCAGCTACTGTGTTTTCAACCTCCATCACCTATCCTGGAGGGAGGCTCCTTTTACTCCAAGCTAGGTCAAGCTCCTCTGTTATACAGAGCAAAATGAGGCTGGTGCAGTGACTCATGCCTGTAATCCCAGCACTTTGGGAGTCTGAGGCAGGTGGATTGCTTGAGGCTGGGAGTTCGAGACCAGCCTGGCCAACATGGTGAAACCCCATCTCTAATAAAAATACAAAAATTAGCTGGATGTGGTGGTGCACGCCTGTAATCCCAGCTACTCAGGAGGCTGAGATGGGAGAATCACTTGAACCCAGGAGGTGGAGGCTGCAGCGAGCCGAGATCATGCCACTGCACTTCAGCCTGGGCAACAGAGAGAGACTCTGTCTCCAAACAAGCAAACAAAAAAATCAAAGTGTCTATGATTTTTCAAAACTTTTAATGAAAGTTTAGAAAATCAGCCTCCTGATTGTCCTGCAGTGAACACGGTCTAATTTTATCAAAATTCCTCTTCAAGTGGGGGGCTCTAGATAAGATGTACATCTCCAGCTGGTTAGGTTGAAACTCTTTCTTCTCTTAAGTTGGTAACACTCTGGTAATACGTATTTTGTTTGTTTGTTTGTTTTTATTGAGGTAAAATTCACACAACATAAAATTAGCCGTTTTAAAGTGTAGAATTGAGTGGCACTTAGTACATTCCCAGTGTGGTTGGGCACATTAACACAGTCTAGTTCCAGAACATTTTCATCAGCCCAAAGGGAAATCCCATGTCCATTAAGTAGTCTCTCTCCATCACCCCCTCTTCTGGTCCCTGGCAAACACTAATCTGCTTTCTTTCCCTATGGATTTGCCTCTTCTGGGTTTTCATATATATGGAATCATACAACACGTGGCCTTGCTTCTCTCACTGAGCGTAAGGCTGTAGCATGTAGCAGTATTTCATTCCATTTTTATGGCTGAATGATATACCATTGTATGGTTGGGCCATATTTTCTTTATCCATTTGTCCTTCAGACACTTGGGTTACTTCTCCCTTTTGGCTATTGTAAATAATGCTGCTAAGGGCATTGGTGTACAGATAACCTGTTTGAGTCCCTGCTTTCAATTCTTTTGTGTATATGCCTAGAAGTGGAATTGTTGTATCATGTGGTAATTGTATGTTTACCTTTTTGAGGAACCACCATACTGTCTTCCACAGTGGCTGTGCCATTTCACATTTCCACCAATAGTGTGTGAGGGTTCTGATTTCTCTGCATCCTCACCAACACCTGTTATTTTCCATCTTTTTAATTACAGCCATCCTAGTGGGTATGAAGTAGTATTCTAAGTCATCGATTTTTTTTTTTTTTTTTTTTTTGAGATGGAGTCTCGCTCTGTCGCCCAGGCTGGAGGGCAGTGACACAATCTCGGCTCACTGCAACCTCCGCCTCCCGGGTTCACGCCATTCTCCTGCCTCAGCCTCCCGAGTAGCTGGGACAACAGGCGCCCGCCACCAAGCCAGGCTAATTTTTTATAATTTTTTTTTAGTAGAGACAGGGTTTCACCGTGTTAGCCAGGATGGTCTCGATCTCCTGACTTCGTGATCCACCCGCCTCGGCGTCCCAAAGTGCTGGGATTACAGGCGTGAGCCACCGCGCCTGGCCTAAGTGATCTATTTTTTAAGACCTGCTTGCCATGGCTTCCAAGGCTCCGCCCAGGGCAACCCTAATCTCCCCCTGCATGCCCCCGTTCTTCCTGCTCCAGCCTCACTCACCTTGCTTTCAGGCCCTCTCTCCAAATGCAGGACCTTTGCACATACCATTCCCACTGCCACTTTGCCTGGCTAGATCCCAATCATCGTTTGGCTCTCAGCCTGAGCATCACTTCTCCAAAGAAGCCTCATCTGACCTCCCCACTGGGTCAAATGACCCAATTGAGTTTCATTACACCAAATACCTCCCTTTCCTAGGATCTGCCCCAGTTGCAATTTAACTTTGGATTATGTGAATACATAATATTTGTTTTTCTCCTCCATTGGGCCATGACTATAGTGCAAGTACAATTAAAACGTGCCAATTAATGAATGAAAAACATTTTGGGGAACCTCTGAGACTTTGAACTTGTGGCTAACTAAAATCTGAAAGTCTTTTGAACATAAAGTTCTCTAAATTCATGTTCCATCTCTTCCTTCCCAGGATTCTGCTCCTGCATAATAGTCTTATCTCTCCTGCATTATCAATATCTCCTTTTTAACTTGCCAATCCCACTGGTTCATACACATGTCTAGATACTGCCTCATTTTCACACTCCCCTTCTTAGCAAAACCTCTTGGAAGAGTCATCCGTACTTGTCTGTGCTTTTCTCACCTCCCACTCTCTGGAGCCCACTTTCATAAGCCTGTGTCCCCATCATTTCGCTGAAACTGCTTTTGTCAAGGACACAAATGACCAGTCGCCATGTGACAAGTTAGAACTCTTGCAGTGCCTGCGTCCATTCTTGTAGAAACATGTTCTTATCTTGGCTTTCATAAACCCACATATTCCTGGCTTTCCTTCGACCTCACTGGATTCAATTTCTCAGTCTTATTTGCTACTACCTAAAGTGATTTTGTCATGACTAGGTTTATTTCTTTATTGTCAGTTTCATCTAGTAGATTGGATGATCCACATGGCAGGAACCTTGTTTGCTTTGATGACTACTGTATCCTCCGCGTGCAGAATGTATCAGATGCTCAAGTCTTTGTTAAATGAATGAATGAGTACCTCCTCCATTTGGATTTATTAATTTATGATTCTTCTACCTAGTGTATTAGCTATCCCCGTCTACTCTTGGCAAACACTCCTAAATTTTCATCCACCTTGTGGATAAAAATATAGATCTTAACAATCTTTCTTCCTTCAGGGTGACCTCAATTCATTGATCAGCATTCTTTGAGCACAATTGTTTTCAGCCAGCTTGGTAATCCTTGATTGTGCTGACACTCGGCACACATTTCTGTATATTGTCCACAAGGAAATAACAACTTCTGTTGTGGAAAAAGGCCACCGTCTGTTTAGCACACACGAAGTCCTAGGTTTATTCAGCTGTTCAGCTGGGACAGGCACCTGTTAACAGGGTGATTTCCAAAATGCACTGTGAGCAAGTCCCACTTAAACCCCAGAAAGAAGAACAGATGTAACAATTATGCAACCCGCTGCATATTTCAATGCCCAGAAACTGCCTCATGGAGTAGGAACCAGCTCTTGTACCATATTCTAAGCAAGGTCAAGGAACACCTGCAGTGCAACAGTTTCTGCTGCTCTAATGAGGTCATTAAATGTGGTTTCAGGACTCTTCTCTCTTGTGAATGACCATTCGTCTGCTTTAGCACTTTCTAAAGTCCAGACTTTAGGAGGGCGAACATGTCTCTATTCTCCCATCTAGAAACTTTATCCAGGAAAGCAATGAAGTTGAGGGTGAGGAGCCAACTGCTGTGATTTGATATTTTCTGGTTCCCTATAATCATCTCTTTCTTTTAAAATGTGCACAGAGACCTTAGTTGTATGGTAAATCTACCATACATTTGTAGATGTACCCTATACATCACCATATATTTCCCCAATGTATTCGTGAAATAGAGGTTGGCAGGAAAAGTATTATCAAAACTTTGCAGAAGAGAAAATTAAGATTCAGTGTGAGAGTGCCTTAGCTATGTTTCTAAGTCTCCAGTCACAAGGACTCCTTGTGAATTTCCCTTCCCGCCTACCAATATCAGCATCCACTTAGAAGTGTGATGCACTAACTAGGTGACCTGCTGTTTTCTTTTGGACAAATTACCTAACCCCTTTGAGCCTGTTTCCTCATCTTTGAGAGGCAGATAAGAATACCATTGGCCCAGCCGGGCACAGTGGCTCATGCCTGCACTCCCAGCACTTTGGGAGGCTGAGGCGGGTGGATCACGAGGTCAAGAGATTGAGACCATCCTGGCCAACATGGTGAAACCCCGTTTCTACTAAAAATACAAAAATTAGCTGAGCATGGTGGCGCACACCTGTAGTCCCAGCTACCCAGGAGGCTGAGGCAGGAGAATCGCTTGAACCCGGTAGGTGGAGGTTGCAGCCAGCTGACATCGCATCACTGCACTCCAGCCTGGCAATAGAGCGAGACTCCGTCCCAGAAACAAACCAAAAAAAGATACCATTGGCCCATGCTATCTTTGTGGAAGTTTGAGGAGGTTCACAAAAGGATGTTTGAAAACACAAGGTTTAAGGTAAAGCCCTGCCTCCAGGCTTACTATTTTTGTTGGTATTGCCATGATCTGTTGAATCAATGTCTCCTTTTATTTGAGATGGGGACTCTGGGAAGTACAAGATCAAGACGCTGGCCGACTCA
Source organism: Homo sapiens (assembly GCF_000001405.40). NCBI lineage: Eukaryota > Metazoa > Chordata > Mammalia > Primates > Hominidae > Homo > Homo sapiens. The sequence continues at coordinate 13,953,980 of NC_000023.11, forward strand.
GTGTCTGGTGAGGGCTCGCTTCCTGGTTCATAAATGGCGCCTTCTCACTGTATCCTCAAGTGGTAGAAGGGCAAGGAGTCTCTCTGGGGTCTCTTATAAGAGAATTAATCCCACTCAGGAGAGTTCTGCCATCTTGACCATATCACCTTTCTAAAGCCTCCTAATACCATCATCTTGGGGATTAGGATTTCAACATAGGAATTTTGGGGGTGCATCATTCAGCCCACAGTGGAGTGCTCATTCCCAGCTCACCTGGAATGCTCTCAAGACTGGCTAAACTCTTCCCCTTATTGTCCTCTGTGTCCTCAGTCCCTCACAGAATGTTTATTGAATGAATGAATAGATAAATATAAAGAGAAGACAGACCTGGGATCAAATCTCACCCTGGGCCTTAAAAGCTGAGCCTCTGTTTGCCCATCTGTAAAGTGAAGAAAATAGCCTCCTTACAGGGTTGGTAGGAGGATTTATATCATAGCTACTTGGTATTTTTCTCTTTCCCACATTCAACTTAACCTCAGCCCTCTCCCCCTTTCATAATGGTATCCTCTTTACATTTTGTTCTTTCTTTTCATTATTTTGCTCGTTGTCAAAGGTAGAAGCAAATGAGGAAGTAGATAGATTTGCCTTCTCCCTGTCATCTGATCTGCTCCAAACCGCACTTCCATCCATTTTTTTGGTCCCTCCTTCATCTAATCATGAGTTTTAAAATATCTTTTGTGATTTGTGGGTCACAAACGAAAGCATAGCACACACAAGGATAAAACATTAGCCAATCAGTCAAGCTACATAATGTCCTGTTTAAAGTAAGGCAATCAAAAAAACCTAATTCTAATTCTAAAAACTGTTACGTTTCTTTTGATTTCTTGCAATGCAATTGAATTTGAGATAAAGAATCAAAATCCTCTTGGGGAATTACACTGAAGTAGCTTTCTATCTCCAAACAGGTCACATTTTGGGAGCAATTTCCCAATATGTAAAATGAATAATGATTGCTTTAGAATAATCATAATTTCATACCCAAAAGGGATTTTAACTCTGTTAATTTTTTCTTTGTTCTGTCAAATGACTGATTGTGAAGCAATGATAAATCACTGCATTATTTTTTACCACTTAATAGCATGCCCATTATCCCCCACAGTTGACTGTGTTTTTCTCCCTTGAGTGCATTGGGAAACAGCAATTTTGTGAGTCAACCTAACCATTGGAAATGCCATTTAGGAAGCCAATTTGCTAATCGACTTTTGAGTGTGTACATCTTTGTGCCACAGCAAAGGGCCAGGAAAAAGTATGTAGGAGTGCGGCTATTGAAGTAGGATTAATCTTCTCTCTGTTTTCGGCTTTCGCTTTGCTAAGAAGTTTGTGTGGGTGGTGAGAGCAGATTGGCAGTCTTAGAAAACCAGGCTCCTTCTCTGGGGGAGAGATGTCCCTTTGCAGCAGCTGTGCACAGGGCTTCTGCACCTCCCCTGGGGACAGCTTGGTGTCTTGGCTCTGCCTTCAGAGCCAGGTCCTTTGGGGACAGTTCTCCCCACTCTTCCTGATGCCTGTTGTGTGGTCGTGTCTCACCTCGCTGCCTGCTGGCCCACTTGAGCCCAGCTCCTTCTCTGGAGAAGTTAATTATCAAATCCTAGCAAGAAGGGCAAGTGGTGATGGTAAGTGGTCCTTGGTCTGCTCCAAGAAACTACACTCCACT